>NC_000014.9:62035955-62338985 GCF_000001405.40 Homo sapiens
GCTGACACTGTGCAAGCTATGTAGGCTCTGAGGATGCAGAGAGAGGGATCCTGCTTCTACTTTTAAGGAGCTGTCAGTCTGGTCAGGGGAATATTACAAGTAAAGGGAGAGCTTCAGATTATTTTGGTAAGTGCTTCCATAGGGGTAAGCACAGGGCGTAGGAGGAATGAAAATGAGGGAAAGGAACCCAAGCTGAGATTTGTTTTCTGTGGGAGGTGGAGAATAGATCTCAAAGCAGGTGAAGCTTAGAGCATTTTGAAGAATGAGTTAAAGTTGGAAATGAGAGTATGGGAGCAGAGACATCCTGGGCATAGAAACGTGAGGATCTGAAAAAAGAAAAGAGGTAACCACGCATTGGTTGGGTATGGCTGGAAGCGGAGATGGGCAGGGTGGGGATGTGGAGAAAGCTGAGGCTAGAGGTAGTGTTGAATACATGTGTCAAGAGTTCAGGAGAGAGAGGGATGGAGAAGCTGCCCTGCTGGCCATCAGTATGGAGGTGGGAGTTGGAGCTGTGGGTTAAGATTTGCAGAGACAGCATATGGACTCAGTGTGCTAGTCCATTCTCGTGCGGCTAATAAAGACATACCCAAAACTGCCTAATTTATTAAGGAAAGAGTTTCAATGGACTCACAGTTCCACATGGCTAGGGAGGCCTCATGATCATGGCAGAAGGCAAAGGAGGAGCAAAGGCACATCTTACGTGGTGGCAGGCAAGAGAGCCTGTGCAGGGGAGCTGTCCTTTATAAAACTATCAGCTCTCATGAGACTTATTCACTAGCATGAGAAAAGCACGGGAAAAACCCGCCCTCATGATTCAATCACCTCCCACCAGGTCCCTCCCATGACACATGGGGATTATGGGAGCTACAATTCAAGATGAGATTTGGGTGGGGACACAGGCACACCATATACTGAGCAAGTGCTCACAGTAGATTCCTGAGGAGCACTGGTGCCAAGAGATGGTAGAAGAAATGAGTTGGCTTCAGGGGCTGAGATGAACAAAGAGAACAGAGGAAAATGAGGCTGTGTTGTCATGGAGGACAAGGGAAGGAACTTGGTCAGTGGCCACGTGTTCTGCTGAGAGGATGGCAAAAGAGGACTGAAAAGCCTCCACTGTATGCAGCAACTAGGAACAAGTTATTGTGTTTCTTAGACACTTTTGCCTCTGAGCTACAGTCAGGTCTCAGATGCTCTGAGAATCTGGTCCCCACTTGAAATGAATTTCAGAAGCATGAGCTTTTTTTTTTACCCCTTTGGCTTAGTTATGGCAGGATTCCTGTTCACAAGGTCTTGTAGTTTTTTAGTGTTTTCTTTGTGTTTATGTAACTTCCTTGCATACTCTGTCATCTCCAGACTCTATCCTGTGTCTTAAATTTATATTAATTTACCAATAATCTCTTAGGGAAAAAGTTTACACGTCTTTATTAACTATCAACATGTGGTTCGGGATGTCTCTTCTAGAAATCAGGGACACATAATTAGCTTGTGTCTTAAATTGATGTTTTCAACACTATTCTTAATGCAGGTGCACAAACCTTTATCTGGAATTGTAAAAACCAAACCATCTAAAACTGGAATGTTTTTCTTGTCGTTAAGATTGTTTTAACTGAGATGAGGTTATTTAGAGTGTTTACTTATCTCTCTGTTAGTTTGAATAATCATGTTTTAATTATTAATGTGTTTTATTACAAGGTGTTTCCTCAGACTCCACTGGGGTATTAAATAATACATGGTACATGTACCATATTGTCTTTTTAAAATCTGAACGAACCTGAATCTTGAAACATATCTAGTCCCAAGGGTTCCAACAATGGACTTGGCATGTCTAAGCTAGTGACTCATCTGGGCTATTTCTGATTTCTTAAGTGAACCTGACTTTCCTGCCTGCTTTGTGGCCCCCCAGAGCCTTCTAGTGTCATAGAAGAGGGAGCTGGTGGTATTGTAATTGTATGTTGGTAACCTGTAGCCAGGCATGGGCAGAGGTCTTTTTATGATCACCATGTACATCTGCATCAGGCTTGAGCCTGGCATGTCATAGAGTCAATACTGTTGATTAAGCAGATGGATTTGTAAATAAGTGATTTTCCCTGAATTCACTTTTCTTTTCCTATCCTGCCTCCAGGCTTGGTTATAGCTCCACTCTGCCAGCTCTAAATAGGATGTGGATAGGGGTTTCTCCAGGGCCCACACATGGCCGGTAGTTTCGCTTGCAGGCATCTCTGATGGATTTTGCTGCTGCTAGAGTGTGGTATATGGGTTGGATTCTGAGGCCACACTCAGGCAAGAGTACCATAACCAATTCACAGCCTCTACTTTTGATACAGAAGATACATGGTACTCTTTCCTGAGTGTGGCCTCAGAATCCAATTCATATACCATACTCTAGCAGCAGCAAAATCCATCAGGGGTGCCTGCAAGATTAATCTACTGGCCATGCATGGGCCCTGGAGAAACCCCTGTCCACGTCCTGTTTAGAGCTGGCAGAGTGGAGCTATGACAAACCTGGAAGCAGGATAGGAAAAGAAAAGTGAATTGAGGGAAAATCGCTTATTTACACATCCGTCTGCTTAATCAACAGTGGCACATATTCCATGATTTTGTTGATCCCAGCTACTGTGGAAAGCAAGGACTCCTTGGGTCCCAGGACTCATTTGTTTTGTGTCATTTTGGTTTTGAGGCCCAGCTCTCTGTCTGGCCTTTATAGTTCCCTGGAACCTGAGGAATGGAACACCTGGCATTTGTACTTTGTGTTGACCCAGCAGGAAAATGTGATGGAAGGACTATGTACTTGAGAATCAGAAAGGGCTCACCCACATGTTACTTAACTTTTCTGGGCTTCAGTAACTTCATCTGTTGAATAATGATTTAATAGCTTTCTCTGAGGATATTGTAAGTTTTAAATGGAATATTATATGTAACATGAGGAGCACATGATAATGCCTAATAAACGTTGCGTAGAGTTCTTTTGTGCCTACAAAGTGTTTCTTTTGCTTGTCACAACAACTTTGTAAGGCAAGGCAGGGATTATTATTCCCATTTATATATGAAGAAATGGAAGGTCAGAGAAGTAAAGTGACAAATGGCAAGTCACACAGCTAACAAGTGGCAGAACTAGGACCCTAACTTGGGTTTTTAAAATTCTAAATCCTTTATGCTTCACTCCTCCTCTTCTTCAGTGAAGAAAAAAATTTCTGGCTGTAAGGGGAAGTTTTGATCTAGTTTAGTTTAATTCAGCTAATGCTTTCAGTGTGCTAACAGTGATCCATCTTGGGGTTGTGGAGACCTAATGCAGACCCTGCAGCTGCAGGGAACTTGCAGTGTTGAAAAGACAAGGCATGAGGTGCCTTGGTCATTATGAATAGAATGCCATGAAATCAGGGAGCAGTAATGAATGATATTTGGGGCTATGATATTCTTATAGATTCATAAAGTATTCTAAGCTAAGAAGGCCCTAAAATCCACTTCCACATATTATGTATGCTAGGTCTATGTTGGGATAAGAGAGGGTAGCATTAGCTATGTGTGAGGACGCAAGGACATGCAACCTGAAGAAATAAGACATTAAATGAATAAAATGTTAATAAAGATTTAAATAGCTAGTCAAGATAGAAGACATCACAAGATGATATATATTTATATGCTTAATGAATTTAATACATTTTTAATGCATTAAGAATAGAGACAGCATTTATTGCAGGAATTCAGCAGACAGAGCAATATAAAGTTCTTTGGCCAAGATTTCATAATTATGTGTTGACAGAGGCAGATCTTGAACAGAGATCTCTGAACTCTCACCTCTAATACTTTTGCACTTCACCACTATATGAGAATACATCTGGGCTCAAGTGATGGAAGCCAAATTCAGAGGGGCTTAAGCATACACACACACACACACACACACACACACACACACACACACACACGCACATACACACTAGATTTTACTGACTCACATTAGTGAAAAGTGATATGCTAGGAAAGCATATCCAGTGAGTGCTGGATACAAGAATGATTTGCTCCAGTTCACGGAGGGTGTTGAAAGCAGTAATCTAGCAGCAATCTTGGTTCTGCTTTTTTTTTTTCTCTTTTACTGTGTTGGCTTCTTTCTTAGGCAGAATTTCCCCAGATGATGGCAGATACCAGTTTATGTTCTACTTGTTTATCCACCACAGCTGCAGGAATGGGGAAGCTTGCTCATAATATTTCCAGCAAAGTCCTGAGGCTGGTTATCATTGGCTAGACTTGAGTTTTTTCCCCAGCCTAAAATGAAGGAATGTGGGATCAATCTCACCCAAACCTCATGAAGATATGGAGAGGGGTGGTTTTCTACAAGAAAATCAAGATATTGTTACTGAAAAAGAGAGAAAGATGCTAGAGGGTCAAAGTTAACATCTGCCTGCTACAACACATACATACAATTGGGACATTTCAAAAAGAGGTTTAAATAATAAGAACCCAAATCTTTATGTATTTATCCACATAGTGATTTCAGGTGCATACATCCAGATTTATATTTGGTATTTTTCTTTTGCTTGCAGGACTGACATTAACATTTTTTGTTTTGCAGGTCTGACAGTGATGAATTCTTTCTGTAAAGTGTATTTTGCCTTCGTTTTTGAAAGATATTTTGTCTAAGTATAGAGTTCTGTCAGTTTTTTTCTTTCTGCATTTAAGAAATATTGTTTCACAGTGAGATTTTAAAATGAGAATTCTGCTGTCATCCTTATCCATGTTCCTCTGTACATGAAACATCTCTTTTTCCTCTACTTTTAAAAAATATATTATTTTTAGAGCAATTTTAGCTTTATGGAACTGGAGAGCAGAAAGTACCAAGAGGTCCCATATACTCTTACCTCTTCCTGCCTTGTTTCCCCTGTTAACATCTTAGATTGGTGTGGTACGTTTGTTACAATTGATGAACTGATATTGGTACCTTATTGAATTAGGGTTCTCTAGAGGGACAGAACTAATAGGATAGATGTATATATAAAGGGGAGTTTATTAAGGGGTATCAACTCACACAATCAATGGGTCCCACAATAGGCCGTCTGCAAGCTGAGGAGAAAGGAAGCCAGTCCGAGTTCGAAAGCTGAAGAACTTGGAGTCCGATGTTTGAGGGCAGGAAGCATCCGGCATGGGAGAAAGATGTAGTCTGGGAGGCTAGTCCTGTCTAGCCTTTTCATGTTCTTCTGCCTGCTTTTTATTCTGATTAGATTGTGCCCACCCAGATTAACAGTGGGTCTGCCTTTCCCACTCCACTGACTCAAATGTTAATCTCCTTTGGCAGCACCCTCACAAACACACCCACAAACAATACTGTGTATCCTTCAATCAAGCTGACACTCAGTGTTAACCATCACACTTATTAACTAAAGCCCATAGTTTGCATTAGTGTTCACTCTTTGTGTTCTGTTCCTGGCTACTTTTAACTGATTTTAAGGAATTTATTATATGCCTTGATAGAGTTTTCACCATTTTTCTCAGGCTTAGACTGTGTTGAGCCTGTTGAATTGGTGGGCTTATAATTTTCATCAAATACAGAAAACTCTGGGCCATTTTTTTATTTTTTGAGATGGAGTCTTGCTCTGTCGCCTGGGCTGGAGTGCAGTGGCATGATCTCAGCTCACTGCAACTCTGCCTCCCGGGTTCAAGCAATTGTCCTGCCTCAGCCTCCTGAGTAGCTGGGTCTACAGGTGAGTGCCACCATGTCCAGCTAACTTTTTATATTTTTAGTAGAGTTGGGGTTTCACCATATGGGCCATTATTTTTTAGATTTTTTTTCTGCCCCTCTCTCCTTCAGGGTTTCCCATTACATATGTATTGTGCCACCTGAAATTGTCCCACAGCTCACTGGTGCTTTCTTCATGTTTCTTACGTTGATTATTTTTCTCTGTGTTTCATTTTGGATGGTCTCTATTGCTGTTTTCAAGCTCACTAGTCTTTTATTCTGCATTGCCCAAATCTGCCATCAATCCCAGTCAGTATATTTTACTGTGTTTAATTTTCATCTCTATAAGTTTCATTTGAATCTTTCATCTCTTTACCTATCAGGTTCAATCTGTTGTCTAGTTTGTTGAATATATGGAATATAGTAATATAAACTGTCCTTTCCTACTAATTATTCTCTGTGTAATTTCTAGCTCCATGTCAATTGATTGACTTTCCCCTTCATTATGGGTATATTATCTTTTCTGCATCCCTAAAATTTTTTTTCTTTTGCTTTTTTTTGTGGGGGTGGGATCTTGCTATGTTGACCAGGCTGGTCTTGAACTCCTGGCCTCAAGTGATCCTCCCATGTCGGCCTCCCAAAGTGCTAGGATTATAGGTGTGAGCCACCACGCCCAGCCCAAACATTTTTGATTGAATATCACACATTGTGAATTTTACCTTTGCGTGCAAGATATATATAAATATTTTTGAGCTTTGTTCCAGGATGTTGTTAAGTTATATAGTGGCTCTTCGATCATTTCAGATCTTGCTTTAAGCTTTGTTAGGAAGGGCTAAAGCAATGGTCTACCTGGGGCTGATTGTTCCTCATTACTGAGGTCAAATCTTTCTGAAGAGTTTACCCTGTGCACTGTTAATAATGAGGTTTCCATTCTAGTTGGAACAGGCACTATTTGTGGCTCTCAGTGAGCCCTGGGTACTGTTCCTGCCAATCATTTCAAGTGGTTCTTTCCATGATTCTGAATCCTCACATGCATGTATTGATCAGTATTCCGCTAAACACTCAAATACTGTATATCTCTGGAGTTCTTTCTCTTGGCAGGTTTCCTCTTTAATACTGTTTCTGTGAGCTCTTAGTCCTTGACCTCCCTGGACATCTTACTCCATCTTCTCAAATTAGGGAAACCACCCCAGCCTTGTCTTGAGTCCTCTTCTCTGAGCTGTGGCCTGGTAATTTTCTCTAGGGAGCCAGCTTGGACAATCATAGGACTTACCTTTCTCATTTCTCACCTCTCAGGAATCCCTGGTTTTTTGTTTACTAGAGTTCAGTATCTTGAGAACCATTGTTTATGCCCCCATCTTTGCCTGTTTTATGTCTATGTGGTGGTAAATTTGGTACTTGTTATTCCACCTTGATCAGAAACAGAAGTGTCCTTGATAAATTCTTAATGGTTTTAAAGGTTGCCTGTGGTTTCTCTTTTTTTTTTTTTTTTACATAGAAAGTTCTATTTTTGAAATTTTATTTCTTGCTTTCCAGTTCATGTACTTCATTTATTTTTCTCGTCCTATAGTAGTACTTCTAAGACCTCCAGTACCCCCTCAGAAGGAAGTGATGAGAATAAGTATTCTTGTCTTGAATTATCTCTGAGGAATGCTAAAGTTTCGCTATCGACTGTGATGCTTGATAGATTTTCTGTCTCAGGTTGAGAAAGTTATCTTCTATTCCTAGTTTGTTAAGACTTTCTTTTTTAAAAAATCAGGAATGGATGTTGAAATTTTTCTTTCTTTTTTTTTTTTTTTTTTGAGATGGAGTGTTTCTCTGTCGCCCAGGCTGGAGTGCAGTGGTGTGATCTCAGCACACTGCAAACTCCGCCTCCCTGGTTCACGCCATTCTCTTGCCTCAGCCTCCTGAGTAGCTGGGACTACAGGCGCCCACCACCATGCCCAGCTAATTTTTTGTGTTTTTGGTAGAGACAGGGTTTCACTATGTTAGCCAGGATGGTCTTGATCTCTTGACTTCGTGATCCACCTGCCTTGGCCTCCCAAAGTGCTGGGATTACAGGCATGAGCCACCGCGCCCAGCCTTGATGTTGAAGTTTTTAAAATTGATTTTCCACATCTATTGAGATGATTATATGTTTTTCATCCCTAACCTGTCAATGAGATTAATTATATTTAAGAGACTTTCATAATACTTAAACTTCTTTGCATGACTGCTACAAACTGTTTTTGTAGAGACAGAATCTTGCTATGTTACTGAGGCTAGTTTAGAACTCCTGGCCTCAAGCAATCCTCCTACCTCGGCCTCTCAAAGTGCTGGGATTACAGGCATGAACCACCATGCCTGGCCTATGCTATAGGCTCTTATTCTTAATGTACCACTGACCCTTGAATAACATAGATTTGAATTGCACAGTTCCATTTTTATGGGGGTCTTTTTCAATCACACATGGATCAAAAATACACAACTTGGAGGCTGAGGAGGGAGGATCATTTGAGCCCAGAAGTTTGAGGCTGCAGTGAGCTATGATTGTACCACTGCACTCCAGCCTGGGTGACAGAGCAAGACCCTGTCTTTGAAAAAAAAAAAAATAGGAAACGAAAGAGAAATTACAGTATTCCTGGGATTCAAAACTTGACTATATAGAGGGTTGACTTTTCTTTTCTTCTTTTAATTTTACTTTAATTTCTGGGATACATGTGCAGAATGTGCAGGTTTGTTACATAGGTATACACATGCCATGGTGGTTTGCTGTACATATCAACCCATCATCTAGGTTTTAAGCCCCGCATGCATTAGGTATTTGTCCTAATGTTCTCCCTCCCCTTGCCTCCCCACCCCCAACAGGCCCTGGTGTGTGATGTTCCCCTCCCTCTGTCCATGTGCTCTCATTGTTCAACTCCTACTTATGGGTGAGAACATGAGGTGTTTGGTTTTCTGTTCCTGTGTTAGTTTGCTGAGAATGATGGTTTCTAGCTTCATCCATGTCCCTGCAAAGAATATGAACTCATTCTTTTTTATGGCTGCATGATATTCCATTGTGTATATGTGCCACATTTTCTTTATCCTGTCTATCATTGATGGGCATTTGGATTGGTTCCAAGTCTTTGTGGGTTTTGCTGGGCTGACTGCCGGACTTGAGTAAGTGCTGATAAGCATATGTGGGGGTTATGTCCTAGAACCAGTCCTCTGCATATACCAGCGACAACTATTTTTAATACATTATAAATTTTGTGGAGAGTGCAGTGGCTCACGCCTGTAATTCTAGCACTTTGGGAGGCAGAGGTGGGTGGATCACGAGGTCAGGAATTCGAGACCAGCCTGGCCAACGTGGTGAAACCCCATCTCTACTAAAAATACAAAAATTAGCTGGGCGTGGTGGCACGCACCTGTAATCCTAGCAACTCAGGAGGCTGAGGCAGGAGGATTGCTTGAACCTTGGAGGCAGAGGTTGCAGTGAGCCAAGATTGCGCCATTACACTCCAGCCTGGGTGACAGAGTGAGACTATGTCTAAAATAAATAAATAAATAAATAAATAAAATAAATTTTGTTTGCTGCTATGTAGTTTAGGATATTTGCTACTAGGATCATAAGTGAGATTGATCTACTGTATAAATTATCTTCCTTGAGTTTACATTATTCTCATATAATTATATGGGAAGTTTTTCCTTCTAAAACAGCTTCTATAAAAGAGCAGTCACCTAGTCTTTGAAGGTTGGACAAAGGTGTATAAAAGCATCGGGGTATGTTAAGTCTTTTGGAATTTTTTTCTAAATACTATTTCTGTAATGGTTGTTGGTCTGTATGTTTTGTATTTTTCTTTTTTAAAATTTTATTATTATTATACTTTAAGTTTTAGGGTACGTGTACACAACGTGCAGGTTTGTTACATATGTATACATGTGCCATGTTGGTGTGCTGTACCCATTAACTCGTCATTTAACATTAGGTATATCTCCTAATGCTATCTCTCCCCACTTCCCCCACCCCACAACAGGCCCCGGTGTGTGATGTTCCCCTTCTTGTGTCCATGTGTTCTCATTGTTCAATTCCCACCTATGAGTGAGAACATGCGGTGTTTGGTTTTTTGTCCTTGCAATAGTTTGCTGAGAATGATGGTTTCCAGCTTCATCCATGTCCCTACAAAGGATATGAACTCATCATTTTTTATGGCTGCATAGTATTCCATGGTGTATATGTGCTACATTTTCTTAATCCAGTCTATCATTGTTGGACATTTAGGTTGGTTCCAAGTCTTTGCTATTGTGAATAGTGCCGCAATAAACATACGTGTGCCTGTGTCTTTATAGCAGCATGATTTATAATCCTTTGGGTATATACCCAGTAATGGGATGGCTGGGTCAAATGGTATTTCTAGTTCTAGATCCCTGAGGAATCGCCACACTGACTTCCACAGGGTTGAACTAGTTTACAGTCCCACCAACAGTGTAAAAGTGTTCCTATTTCTCCATATCCTCTCCAGCACCTGTTGTTTCCTGACTTTTTAATGATCGCCATTCTAACTGGTGTGAGATGGTATCTCATTGTGGTTTTGATTTGCATTTCTCTGATGGCCAGTGATGATGAGCATTTTTTCATGTGTTTTTTGGCTGTATAAATGTCTTCTTTTGAGAAGTGTCTGTTCATATCCTTCGCCCACTTTTTGATGGGGTTGTTTGTTTTTTTTCTTGTAAATTTGTTTGAGTTCATTGTAGATTCTGGATATTAGCCCTTTGTCACATGAGTAGGTTGCAAAAATTTTCTCCCATTCTGTAGGTTGCCTGTTCACTCTGATGGTAGTTTCTTTTGCTGTGCAGAAGCTCTTTAGTTTAATTAGATCCCATTTGCCAATTTTGGCTTTTGTTGCCATTGCTTTTGGTGTTTTAGACATGAAGTCCTTGCCCATGCCTATGTCCTGAATGGTATTGCCTAGGTTTTCTTCTAGGGTTTTTATGGTTTTAGGTCTAACATTTAAGTCTTTAATCAATCTTGAATTAATTTTTATATAAGGTGTAAGGAAGGGATCCAGTTTCAGCTTTCTACATATGGTTAGCCAGTTTTCCCAGCACCATTTATTAAATAGGGAATCCTTTCCCCATTTCTTGTTTTTGTCAAGTTTGTCAAAGATCAGATAGTTGTAGATATGTGGCATTATGTCTGAGGGCTCTGTTCTGTTCCATTGGTCTATATCTCTGTTTTGGTACCAGTACCATGCTGTTTTGGTTACTGTAGCCTTGTAGTATAGTTTGAAGTCAGGTAGCATGATGCCTTCAGCTTTGCTCTTTTGGCTTAGGATTGACTGGGCAATGCGGGCTCTTTTTTGGTTCCATATGAACTTTCAAATAGTTTTTTCCAATTCTGTGAAGAAAGTCATTGGTAGCTTGATGGGGATGGCACTGAATCTGTAAATTACCTTGGGCAGTATGGCCATTTTCACAATATTGATTCTTCCTACCCATTAGCATGGAATGTTTGTATCCTCTTTCATTGTATTGTATCTTGTATTGTATCCTCTTTTATTTCATTGAGCAGTGGTTTGTAGTTCTCCTTGAAGAGGTCCTTCACATCCCTTGCAAGTTGGATTCCTAAGTATTTTATTCTCTTTGAAGCCATTGTGAATGGGAGTTCACTCATGATTTGGCTCTCTGTTTGTCTGTTATTGGTGTATAAGAATGCTTGTGGTTTTTGCACATTGATTTTGTATCCTGAGACTTTGCTGAAGTTGCTTATCAGCTTAAGGAGATTTTGGGCTGAGACAATGGGGTTTTCTAGATATACAATCATGTCATCTGCAAACAGGGACAATTTGACTTCCTCTTTTCCTAATTGAATGCCCGTTATTTCCTTCTCCTGCCTGATTGCCCTGGCCAGAACTTCCAACACTATGTTGAATAGGAGTGGTGAGAGAGGGCATCCCTGTCTTGTGCCAGTTTTCAAAGGGAATGCTTCCAGTTTTTGTCCATTCAGTATGATATTGGCTGTGGGTTTGTCATAGATAGCTCTTATTATTTTGAGATATGTCCCATCAATAACTAATTTATTGAGAGTTTTTACCATGAAGGGTTGTTAAATTTTGTCAAAGGCCTTTTCTGCATCTATTGAGATAATCATATGGTTTTTGTCATTGGTTCTGTTTATATGCTGGATTACGTTTATTGATTTGTGTATGTTGAACCAGCCTTGCATCCCAGAGATGAAGCTCACTTGATCATGGTGGATAAGCTTTTTGATGTACTACTGGATTCGGTTTGCCAGTATTTTACTGAGGATTTTTGCATCAACGTTCATCAAGGATATTCGTCTAAAATTCTCTTTTTTTTGTTGTGTCTCTGCCAGGCTTTGGTATCAGGATGATGCTGGCCTCATAAAATGAGTTAGGGAGGATTCCCTCTTTTTCTATTGATTGGAATAGTTTCAGAAGGAATGGTACCAGTTCCTCCTTGTACCTCTGGTAGAATTTGGCTGTGAAGCCATCTGGTCCTGGATTTTTTTTGGTTGGTAAGCTATTAATTATTGCCTCAATTTCAGAATCTGTTATTGGTCCATTCAGGGATTCAACTTCTTCCTGGTTTAGTCTTGGGAGGGTGTATGTGTCTAGGAATTTATCCATTTCTTCTAGATTTTCTAGTTTATTTGCATGGAGGTGTTTATAGTATTCTCTGATGGTATTTTGTATTTCTGTGGGATCAGTGGTGATATCCCCTTTGTCATTTTTTATTGCATCTATTTGATTCTTCTCTCTTTTTTTCTTTATTAGTCTTGCTAGCTGTCTATCAATTTTGTTGATCTTTTCAAAAAACCAGCTCCTGGATTCATTGATTTTTTGAAGGGTTTTTTGTGTCTCTATTTCCTTCAGTTCTGCTCTGATCTTAGTTATTTCTTGCCTTCTGCTAGCTTTTGAATGTGTTTGCTCTTGCTTCTCTGGTTCTTTTAATTGTGATGTTAGGGTGTCAATTTTAAATCTTTCCTGCTTTCTCTTGTGGGCATTTAGTGCTATAAAGTTCCCTCTACACACTGCTTTGAATGTGTCCCAGAGATTCTGGTATGTCGTGTCTTTGTTCTTGTTGGTTTCAAAGAACATCTTTATGTCTGCCTTCATTTTATTATGTACCCAGTAGTCATTCAGGAGCAGGTTGTTCAGTTTCCGTGTATTTGAGGGGTTTTGAGTGAGTTTCTGAATCCTGAGTTCTAGTTTGATTGTACTGTGGTCTGAGAGACAATTTTTTATAATTTCTGTTCTTTACATTTGCTGAGGAGTACTTTACTTCCAACTATGTGGCCAATTTTGGAATAGGTGTGGTGTGGTGCTGAAAAGAATGTATATTCTGTTGATCTGGGGTGGAGGGTTCTGTAGATGTCTGTTAGGTCTGCTTGGTGCAGAGCTGAGTTCAATTCCTGGATATCCTTGTGAAATTTCTGTCTCGTTGATCTGTCTAATGTTGACAGTGGGGTGTTAAAGTCTCCCATTATTTTTGTGTGGGAGTCTAAGTCTCTTTTTATGTCACTAAGGACTTGCTTTATGAATCTGGGTGCTCCTGTATTGGGTACATATATATTTAGGATAGTTAGCTCTTCTTGTTGAATTGATCCCTTTACCATTATGTAATGGCCTTCTTTGTCTCTTTTGATCTTTGTTGGTTTAAAGTCTGTTTTATCAGAGACTAGGATTGCAAGCCCTGCCTTTTTTTGTTTTCCATTTGCTTGGTAGATCTTCCTCCATCCCTTTATTTTGAGCATATATGTGTCTCTGCATGTGAGATGGGTTTCCTGAATACAGCACATTGATGGGTGTTGACTCTTTATCCAATTTGCCAGTCTGTGTCTTTTAATTGGAGCATTTAGCCCATTTACATTTAAGGTTAATATTGTTATGTGTGAATTTGATCCTGTCATTATAATGTTAGCTGGTTATTTTGCTCGTTAGTTGATGCAGTTTCTTCCTAGCCTTGATGGTCTTTACAATTTGGCATGTTTTTGCAGCGGCTGGTACCACTTGTTCCTTTCCATGTTTAGTGCTTCCTTCAGGAGCTCTTTTAGGGCAGGCCTGGTGGTGACAAAATCTCTCAGCATTTGCTTGTCTGTAAAGGATTTTATTTCTTCTTCACTTATGAAGCTTAGTTTGGCAGAATATGAAATTCTGGGTTGAAAATTCTTTAAGAATGTTGAATATTGGTTCCCACTCTCTTCTGGCTTGTAGAGTTTCTGCCAAGAGATCAGCTGTTAGTCTGATGGGCTTCCCTTTGTGGGTAACCCGACCTTTCTCTCTGGCTGCCCTTAACATTTTTTCCTTCATTTCAACTTTGGTGAATCAGACAATTATGTGTCTTGGAGTTGCTCTTCTCAAAGAGTATCTTTGTGGCATTCTCTGTATTTCCTGAATTTGAATGTTGGCCTGCCTTGCTAGATTTGGGAAGTTCTCCTGGAAAATATCCTGCAGAGTGTTTTCCAACTTGCCTCCATTCTGCCCGTCACTTTCAGGTACACCAGTCAGACATAGATTTGGTCTTTTCACATAGTCCCATATTTCTTGGAGGCTTTGTTCGTTTCTTTTTATTCTTTTTTCTCTAAACTTCTCTTCTCGCTTCATTTCGTTCATTTTGTCTTCCTTTGCTGATACCCTTTCTTCCAGTTGATGGCATCAGCTGCTGAGGCTTGTGCATTCGTCACATAGTTCTCGTGCCATGGTTTTCAGCTCCATCAGGTCTTTTAAGGACTTCTCTGCATTGGTTATTCTAGTTAGCCATTCGTCCAATTTTTTTTCAAGGTTTTTAACTTCTTTGCCATTGGTTCGAACTTCCTCCTTTAGCTCGGAGTAGTTTGATCTTCTGAAGACTTCTTCTCTCAACTCGTCAAAGTTATTCTCCGTCCAGCTTTGTTCTGTTGCTGGTGAGGAGCTGCGTTCCTTTGGAGGAGGAGAGGCGCTCCGAATTTTAGAGTTTGCAGTTTTTCTGCTCCGTTTTTCCCCCATCTTTGTGGTTTTATCTACCTTTGGTCTTTGATGATGGTGACGTACAGATGGGTTTTTGGTGTGAATGTCCTTTCTGTTTGTTAGTTTTCCTTCTAACAGTCAGGACCCTCAGCTGCAGGTCTGTTGGAGTTTGCTGGAGGTCCACGCCAGACCCTGTTTGCCTGGGTATCAGCAGTGGTGGCTGCAGAACAGCAGATGTTGGTGAACCGCAAATGCTGCTGCCTGATCATTCCTCTGGAAGTTTTGTCTCGGAGGAGTACCCAGCCATGTGAGGTGTCAGTCCGCCCCTACTGGGAGGTGACTCCCAGTTAGGCTACTGGGGGTCAGGGACCCACTTGAGGAGGCAGTCTGTCCGTTCTCAGATCTCAAGCTGCGTGCTGGGAGAACCACTACTCTCTTCAAAACTGTCAGACAGGGACATTTACGTCTGTAGAGGTTACTGCTGCCTTTTGTTTGGCTATGCCTTGCCCCCAGAGGTGGAGCCTACAGAGGCAGGCAGGCCTCCTTGAGCTGTGGTGGGCTCCACCCAGTTCGAGCTTCCCGGCTGCTTTGTTTACCTACTCAAGCCTGGGCAATGGCAGGCGCCCCTCCCCCAGCCTCACTGCTGCCTTGCAGTTTGATCTCAGACTGCTGTGCTAGCAATGAGCGAGGCTGTGTCGGCTTAGGACCCTCCGAGCCATGTGCGGGATATAATCTCCTGGTGTGCTGTTTGTTAAGCCCTTTGGAAAAGTGCAGTATTAGGGTGGGAGTGACCCGATTTTCCAGGTGCCATCTGTCACCCTTTTCTTCGACTAGGAAAGGGAATTCCCTGACCCCTTGCACTTCCCTGGTGAGGCGATGCCTCACCCTGCTTTGGCTCATGTACGGTGCGCTGCACCCACTGTCCTGCACCCACTGTCTGGCACTACCCAGTGAGATGAACCCAGTACCTCAGTTGGAAATGCAGAAATCACCCGTCTTCTGCATCAGTCACGCTAGGAGCTGTATACTAGAGCTGTTCCTATTCGGCCATCTTGGCTCCACCTCCCTGTATTTTTCTTTTTAAAATTGCATAGTTGCTTAAACTTATTTTTTTCTCTTTGGATTTTTAAAGGTTCACTGTATGTATAGTCTTATATCTCAGTCGATCTTGTTAGTGGCTTATTGTTAAAACATGCAGTTTTTGGCTGGGCATGGTGGCTGTATTCCTAGCACTTTGGGAGGCCAAGGCAGGTGGATCACCTAAGCCCAGGAGTTTGAGATCAGCCTGGGCAACCTGGTGAAACTCTGTCTTTATAAAACATTAGAAAATTAGCTGGGTGTGGTGGCACACACCTGTAGTCTCAGTTCCTTGGGAGGCTGAGTGTGGAGGATCCCTTGAGCCTGGGTGGTTGAGGCTGCAGTGAGCTATGCACTCCAGCCTGGGAAACATTTTAAAAAAATGCAGTCTTTATCGTCTCTGATTTTGTTATGTTTTCTTTATATTAATATTTTTATTAATACCTGCTTTTATCTTTTATAGTTCTTCCTTGTATTTTGCTTTGGTTTAAACTGTTGGTTGATAACATCTTAAGTTGACCATTTATCATATTAGTTTTTCAATCTTTTTTTGCTTTCTAATATGTGCATTAGATTAATCCATGAATTTCCTTTAAGTACCACTTTAACTATACCCCACAAATGTATGATATGTGATGTGTTCATTATTTTTCAGTTGTAAATATTTTATCATTCCAATTATGGCTTTTTCTTTGACCCATCAATTATTTAAAAATGTGGTTTCTGGTTTCCAAAAGCATTTTTATAATTTTTAAGAGACTTTTATTTTTAACGGTGTTGAAATTAGAATGTGGTCTAATTGTAGCTCTGAAGCTTCTGTTCTCATGGCCTAATATAGGCCTAATTTTTGTAAATCTTCCACATATGCATGCGATTACTATGTATACTTTGATTGTTTTCCATCCTTCCTTAAGCTAGTTGAATCCCTCTAATGTATTATCTTCTGTGTGTTTGTGGGGTGTTATGCACTAAATGTTTACATCCCCAAAAAACACTCATTTCTTAAAACCATAATCCTGATGGGTTGGTACTTAGAAGTAGAGTGTTTGGGAATTAATTAGGTCATGGAGGTGGAGCCCTCATGAGTGGGATTAGTGCCTTCATAAGAAAAGGCAAGGGAGTTAGTGAGCTCTCTTTCTGTCATGTGAGGATAAAAAGAGAAGTCAGCTGTCTGCAGCCTAGAAGAGGGCCCTCACCAGAGCCTAAGCATGCTGGCATCCCGATTTCAGATTTCTAGCCTCAAGAACTATAAGAAATAAATGTCTGCTGTTTATAAATCTTTCAGTCTGTGATACTTTTTTATAGCAGCATGAAAGACATAAATTGGTTCTGAGCAGTGGGGTGCTGCTGTAATAAATATCTACAAATGTGAAGGCAGCTTTGGAACCGGGTAATGGGTAGAGGCTGGAAGGGTTTTGAAGTACATGCTAGAAGACGCCAAAATTGTCATGAAGGAACTTTTAAAAGTGATTCTGGTAAGGGCTCAGAAAAGAGGAGAGCTCTAGAGAAAACTCCCATCTTCTAAGAGAATACGTAAATAATCATGTCCAGATTGTTGGTAGAAATGTGAACAGTAAAGTCCATTCTGATGAAGTCTCAGATGGAAATGAAAAAGACGTTTTTTGGACAGTAGAGGAAAGGGGATCCTTTCTCAAGGACATGAGCCTTCTCCTGCCCTCAGACTGAAACTTACATCATCTGCTCTCCTGATTCTTAAGTATCTGGACTCTGACCGGAACTTACGCTATTGGTTCCCCTGGTTCTCAGACCTTCAAAGTCAGACTGAAACTACATCACTGGCTTTCTTGGGTTTCCAGCATGCTGACTGCAGACCTTGGCACTTCTCAGCTCCCATGATTGCATAAGCTCATCTCTTATAACAAATCTTTCTATACACATTTATATCCTATTGATTCTATTTCTCTGCAGAACCCTAATACAGTATTGTACTAATTTTTAAATTCCTTTGTTCATTCACTATTGAAGCATGTGCTTTATTCTTAATAGTATAATAGATGTTAAGGGCAGAGACTAGAAAAGTATGAATTAAGACTGCAAATTCCTCAGAAATGTTAGGGGAGTCACGACTACATAAACCTATTTAGAAAATGTAAATAAGAAAATAATAGAAGGTAAACTAAACTCTGTATGACAATTATGAAAATGAATGGAACAAAAGGCATTATTATACCTAGAGCAATTTTTTGTTCAATGGTGCCAGGCTTGTTTTTAGGTGGTTGAATGCCTAAAAAGTCGAGGTGCTTTTTGTGGAACCCCATGAAACTTTAATGGATTTATTTTCATCATGAATCAGGAACCATTTTACCAGTGGAAAATATGACTAGATTATGGAAGCCATTTAACAGTCATAGCCGTGAATGTGCATATCCATGACAAAGCAAGCTGGGGAAAGAAACATGATTAGCTATTTCCAAGTTTCTTTGCTAATATTCATGTGTTTTATTACCTGCTTATTCTTGTCAGCATGTGTGTGATAGCAGGCATCCACGGCATAGAAGTGTTAGGGGAAAAGTGAACATTTAGAAAACCTTTTCCATTTTTCTTTTTGCAAATGGAGAAGAGTTATTTATTATTAGATTTTATCAGGGAATCATTTGGGGGCTGCTATTCTAGTATAAGCATACCACCACCAAATATCTGATCTACAGATTGTATGATTTTTTTTTTTTGAATATGGCCTTTATAAAAGCTGTTACTTAGTGAAGTGAGTTTTTTTTTTTTTTTTTGGAGATAGGGTCTCACCCTGTCATCCAGGCTGGAGTGCAGTGGCATGATCATGGCTCACTGCAGCCTCAATCTCCCAGGCTCAAGCAATCCTCCCACCTCAGCCTGACTAGTAGCTGGGACTACAGGTGCGTGCCACCACGCTCAGCTAATTTTTGTATTTTTTTGTAGAGGTACAGTTTCCTCATGTTGCCCAGGCTGGTTTCAAACTCCTGGACTCAGGTGATGTGCCTGCCTTGGCCTCCCAAAGTGCTGGGATTACAGATGTGAGCCACTGTGCCTGGCTAGTGAGTCTATTCTTAATATTCAGTCTATTTATTTTCAGTTGTGATATATTTGGATATATTCATTATAGAGTCGATGCTGAAGGGAGTTTATAACTGCCTTATAGAAATTATCTCTGTAGCTTGACTTGCCTCTGTTGTGAGATAAAAGAATAACTTTAGAAATTGCCTTGAGGATGATTTACAGCATGGGATAGGAAGACTAGTGAATAAACTGAACAGCTAGAAAGCTAGAAACTCACAACACCTGAAAATTGCAAGAGCCATTCATGATCTTTTTCAGCCTGTTTACACATCCCAGGCCCTTCATTTTAGAATCTATGGCAATGAGATTAAAAAAAATCTTTCTAGTCAGAGAATTTGTAAATTAAAATGTTGACTCAACATTTGCTTGTAAGGATTCATTGGAGTGATAGAGAAATATTGGGGGTTTGGGGAAAGAAAGCAAGAACAACCGTTTGGTTTTGTGTTTTCTCTGCATGTGCAGAAATTTAATTATCAGGTCACCTCAGTTCTCAGCAGAGTAAATTACAGTCTTGGCCATTCATTTGTATGCAAATGCCACCATAGTAGGAAAACAACACAACTCTTGGGTCCTATCAAGCAATTCCCTTATAGGAGGCATACAAATGAGACAGCAGAGCTTAAAAGAGTCAGAGAGGCTGACAGTTTCACACTTGCTTTTGTCTAGGTGAATCTTTTTGCAGTGATGAAACAGCTTAGAGTAATCATCAAAGCCAAATGTTCAGAAAACATCGTTACTTGAGAGAGTCCTTGCAGTGAGAAAGGAGGGCGCAGTGAATCTGACTACAGATATGAATCTGTTTAGAATACTACCTGTGGTGAGGGTTTTGTGATCCCTGCAGTCAGAACCAATCACCCTACCTGTCAGTACTTTCATCATGGCTCTTCTTTTATCTTTGATGGATTTGGTCTGGCGGGGAAAGAAAATAAGCCTCAAAGAGGCTAGAGGAGCCCTTGATATAGGGTGGATCCCTTAGGTGAATAATCAGCAACACAAATCCCTGCTCAAAAATGCAAGGACAACTTGGGGCTGATATAGGTGTATTAGTCAGGGTCCTCTAGAGGAACAAAGCTAATAGGATGGATGTATATATAAAGGGGAGTTTATTAAGGAGTATAGACTCACATGATCACAAGGTAAAGTTCTGCAATAGGCTATCTGCAAGCTGAGGAGCAAGGAAGCCAGTCTGAGTCCCAAAACCTCAAAAGTGGTGAAGCCGACAGAGCAGCCTCAGTCTGTGGTCGAAAGTCCAAGAGTCCCAAAGCTGAAGAACTTGGAGTCCGACGTTCAAGGGAAGGAAGCATTCAGTGTGGGAGAAAGATGGAGGCCAGAAGACTCAGCCAGTCTACTTTTTCCACGTTCTTCTCCCTGCTTTTTTTTTTTTTGCTTTTAAATAGTCAAATGTTTATAATAAACGTATTTTCCAATCTCGAAATGATTATCAGTGGTAACAATGATCAACGTAAAATAGATGTGACAGGAACATCACGACGTTTGATTATACTTACAGGAAACACAAAGCTACAGTGAAATACTATCTCACGTCTACCAGGTCTGCAAAATCCAGCTTGGGCAAGGGTGTCACCAGCCCCTTCTTATGCTGGTGGAGGAGGGCGATTTGGTACCACCCCTTTAGGGGCCTAAATACAGCCCTCGCACTTCTACACCAAGGAATTTAACCTAAGAAAATAGTCTGACCTGGGCAAAAAAGGGTTTGTACAAGGAATAGTCAGGCTAGCATTGTTGGTTATAAAAGACAGCAAAAACCCTAAATTTCTACAGGAAAGGGGATAAAGTCTGGTGCTATAAAACTCCGTTTCCGGATGAATCCCACCTGTATCTGAATGCATGGGGCGCTCTCCAAGCTACGTTAAGTATAAAGGCCCCGAGTAAAGTAACTGACCTTTTGCAGAAACGCACGTAGATGTTCCTGCATAGACTTTCTTTGTAGACACATAAGAAACGGGTTTCTCTCTGCCCCAGGGGAGAACTGGGCCTTGGAGGTTAGGACTGGGAAAAACACATCAAGTCTTCACCAAATACCCATTCAGGCTCCTTGAATTTTCTACTCTGTGCACCTGAACACACTTTTGTTCTCTTGCAAGCAGTTGCTTTGCACTGGAGGCAATGAAGACACGGCGGAGTCCCAGCTTGCAGGGAGCTTAGGTTCTGACGGCGTCGGAGGACAACACGCTCTGGACGAGCGCGGCGCCCAAGGGTCAGCGGCAGCAGCGAGCAGGGGGCACGGGATGCAGGGAGGCTCTTCGGGAGGCATGAAAGTCAGACGTGTTCCGAAACGTGAGCCGCGCTGGGGGGCACGGCGCACGACCGGGGACAGGAGGAGGACACTGCGGTCGCAAAGCCCAGGCCGTGCAAAGGCCCCGTGGTCAGCCAGGAGCCCAGTTCTGCCTGCTTTTTATTCTGGCCATGGTGAAAGCTGATTAGATGGTTCCCACCCAGATTGAGGGTAGGTCTGCCTTTCCCAGTTCACTCACTCAAATGCCAATCTCCTTTGGCAACACCCTCACAGATATACCCAGGAACAATACTTTGCATCCTTCAGTCCAATCAAGTTGACACTCAATATTAACCATCACAATAGGTAAACACTTTTTCTCATAGGCATAAATATAGTGGGCTGAATATGGCACCAGAAGGGCCCAGGTTGTAGTATCATTGTATTCAGAGTTAGTTGGGTTTGACCTTAGTTCGTGGCTGTTGGGACAGGGAAGAGGGTCCAATAACTAGAGACATGGGGGTAGGGTCGGACAAGTAAGCTCTCGGCTGGATTTAAAGGTTTGTCTAGGAACTCACAATATAAATAGGAATGCCAGAAGAACTTCCCAGGTAAATACAGTGGGGAGTAGAGAAATGCAACATTTCATGGGTACTTGGGCTTCTTTCCTAGGTTTAGGGCAGGAAGACAAGTACTTATTGGCTCATGACTTATGGATTTGAGCTTTCTCAACTGCACAGAAATGACTTAATGCTGGGAATATTTGAGTCACCAAGGGGAGATCCTCTGGGTCTCGCAAAGGAAAGAGGTAAGGCTGCTATAAGATATAGATTTCTTTTAAGCTACTTAAAAAAACTCCATTGAGGCACACTTGAAGTACAATAAACCGCACATACATAAAGTATACAAGTTGATGAGTTTTGACATATTGTACTTGTGAAACAAATACCACAGTCAAGAAAACATATATTTACATCACTCCAAAAATTTCCTCCTGCCTCTTTGTAATCCATCTCTCTCTCTAACCCCACCCCAGGCAACCATGGATCTATTTTCTGTCACTATATATTATTTTGAATTTTTAGATTATTATAAAAATGGAGTTATATAATGCACATTCTTTTTACCTTTTTACCCACTAGTTTAATGCTTTTGAGATTCATTCGTGTTGTTGCAGGTATAAATAGTTCCTTCCTTTTGATTTCTGAGTAATATTTCATTGTATTTATATACCACAATTTGTTTATCTGTTCATGTGTTGCCAGGCTTTTGGTTTGCTTCCAGATTTTGACTATTACACATGAAGCTTCTATGAACATTTGTAAGTCTTTGTGTGAACATGTGTCTTTGTTTTTCTTGGGAAAATATCTGGAAGTGGGTGGCTAGGTTATATGGTCAAATGTATGTTATGTTTAAATTCTTTTTTTTTTTTTTTTTTTTTTGAGAAGGAGTCTCGCTCTGTCACCCAGCTCTGTCACCCAGGCTGGAGTGCAGTGGTGCAATCTCGGCTCACTGCAACCTCCGCGTCCCAGGTTCTTCTGTGAGTGATTCTCCTGCCTCGGCCTCCTGAGTAGCTGGGATTAGAGGCATGTGTCACCATGCCCAGCTAATTTTTGTATTTTTTAGTAGAGATGGGGTTTCACCATGCTGGCCAGGCTGGTCTCGACCTCTGATCTTAGTTGATCTGCCCGCCTTGGCCTCCCAAAGTGCTGGGATTACAGGCATGAGCCACCATGCCTGGCCTAAATTCTTAAGAAACTGCCAAATAGTGTTCAAAAGTAGTTTTATCATTTTACATTTTCACCAGGAGTGTATGAGGGCTCCAGATGCTTTGCTTCCTTGACTTTGATATGTTCAGGTTTTTAAAATTTTGTCGATAGCAAAGACATGGAATCAGCCTAAATGTCCATCAGTGGTAGACTAGATAAAGAAAATGTGGCATATATGCACCGTGGAATATTATGCAGCCATAGAAAAGAATGAGATCATGTCCTTTGCTGGGACGTGGGTGGAGCTGGAGGCCATTATCCTTAGCAAACTAACACAGGAGCAGAAAATCAAATACCACATGTTCTCACTTATAAGTGGGAGCTAAATGGTGAGAACACATGGACACATAGAGGGGAACAACAGACCCTGGGACCTTTGGGAAGGTGGAGGGTGGGAGGAGGGAGAGGATCAGGAAAAATAACTAATGGGTACTAGGCTTCATATCTGGGTGATAAAATAATCTGTACAAAAAAACCCCCATGACGCAAGTTTACCTATGTAACAAACCTGCACACGTACCCCTGAACTTAAAAGTTAAAAAAAGAAAAGATTTTTAAAAACAGCCCTCAATTTATCGGTATCTCATGTGATTTTACTGTGTCTTACCCTGATGATCACTGATGTGGAGCATCTTTCATTTGTTTATAGGCCATTTGTACACATTAATTTATGAAGTGTCTGGATTTTTAAATTTTGTTGGTTGTGTTATTTATGAGTTGTAAAGGGTCTTTATAAATTCTAGATAGAAGCCCTTTATTTTCCCTCAGCCTATGGTTTGCCTTTTTGTAAATGACATTGTTCAAAGAGCAAAAGTTTTTAATTTTGATGGAGTCCAACTTAGCAATTTTTTTCTGGTATGGTTAATGCTTTTGTATATCCTAAGGTCACAAAAGATTGCTCTGAAGTTTTTCCTTGGGTATTCTATAGTTTAAAGTTTTACAGTTAGATTTAGGATTAATTTATATATATGTAATTGATACATATATATAATTTATATATATGTATATATATACATATAATTTTTATATATGTATAGCTACATATATAAATTAATCAAAATCATATATATGTGTATATGTATACACATACACACACACACACACACACACACTCAATGTGAGATAGAAGGGTTGATGTTTCTTTTCACAAATAGATACCCATATGCTCAAGCATCAGTTTTTGAAAAGACTTTCATATTGAATTACGTTGGCACTGTTGTGAAAAAATAATAGACCATACTTGTGTGGCACTATTTCTGGACTCTGTATTCTGCTTCATTGATTTATTGATCTATCCTTTTGCCAATAGCAAGTTGTCTTGATTTAATGTAGCTATATAATAAGTCTTAAAATCAGATAGGTGGGTCCCCCTACTTTGCTCTTCTTAAAAATTATTTTGACTACTCTAGGTCCTTTATGTTTTCTTAAACACTTCAGAGTCTACTTGTCAAACTTGACAAAAAATATCTGTTTGGATTGCTTTAAATCATTACACTGGTTGAGGGAAATTAGCATCTTAACAATATTGAGTCCTCTATTTTCTCTCAGTAATGTTTTAATGCTTTTAGTGTGAGAGTTTTGAATGCCTTTTGTTAAATTTACTTCTAAGTATTAGTGCATTTTGATGCTCTTTCTAAATGGAATTTTTAAAAAATTTCATTTGTAATTTGTTAGTAGAATATAAAAATAGAATTGATTTTTATATAATGACCTTGCCAAATTCACTAAGTAGTTCTCACAGTTGATTTTAGCTATAGGGTTTTAGTAGATTCCCTACACTCCTTTTCTTTCATGATTGAGAAATATCCATAGGATGGTGAAATTTTTTTTTTTTTATCAGAAATTGACAATAAATTCTGTCAGCATTGTTTTCTGTATGTGTTGAGATGATTATTTGGTTTTTCTTTTTTATTGTGTTAATTTGGTGAATTGCATCAACTTTAGTATCTTAAACCAACCTTGCCTCTCTAGGGTAAACCTTATGTGGTCATAATATATAATCCTTTAAATACATTATTGGATTTCTTTTTTTAATATATTGCTGAGGATTTTTTATGACTATAATCATAAGAGATATTGGCATATGATTTTCTATACTTGTAATGTCTTTGTTAGAAGGAGTTTATATTAGGATTATGCTGGCCTCATAAAATGGGTTGAGAAATGTTCTTTCTTTCTCTTCTTTCTATAAGAGTTGTGTAGAGATTGGTACTATTTGATATTTATTGAACTCTATATCCCAAAACTGCAGAACACTCTTTTCAAGTGCATGTCATTATGATCAACTGTATGTCAAGGTACAGAGATAATAAAAGATACAGTATTGCATTGTGGGGTTGATAAACTGTGAAGTTAAATATGAGATGACAGTAACACAAAGGAGAGGGGAGGTAAATTATTTATGCTGTTGCAAAGTACAAATCATTGTAGAGTGGTATAATATTGTATAATGCAACGTGTAAATTTTGTAAATTGATATAACACTGGCTTAAAATAGACTGTGATTCACTTAGGACACAATCCCTAGAACAACCGTTGACAGAAGAAAATGAAAATAGGTATAGCCAAAGAACTTAATAGACAAATTAAAATTGAATTCTAAGCAAACAGGTTATTAACACATGCATAAAGTAGTAAGAGCAACTGAAGATGAAAAAACAGATGCAACAAATAGAAAACAAACAGCAAAATGACATACCTAAACCTAGCAATGTTCATACATTAAATGCAAATTAAATAAATATCTCACTTGAAAGTACAGATTGTCAAAATGAAGAAGAAAGCAAGACCCAACTGTATTATAGCTATAAGAAGCATACATTAAATATAAACACAGACGGGTTGAAAATGAAAGAATTAAAAAATATGAGTTATGCAAACTGTGAGCATAAGGAAGCTAGTGCAGTTACATTAATATCAGACAAAGTAGACTTCAAGACAAGGAGTATTAGGAAAAAGAAAGAAGTATGTTTTGTAGTGGTAAAGTGGTCAATTCATCAAGAAGACACAAAATTGTAAGTGTGTATGCACCTATTAAGGGCTTCAAAATACATGGAGGAAGACGTAACAAACTAAAAGGGGAAATAAAATTTCAAAATAAAAGTTAGAGATTTTAACACCTCTTTCTCAGTAGCTGCTAGAGCAATGAAAAAAAACAGCAAGTATATATATAATCTGTGTTCCCTTCTTTCAGAAATTGGATCTCCTCCAATTTCTGCCTGCTCTTGCTCACCATGCCTTCAAATAGTTGACTTAAAAAATGTTGTTGTGAATTTATAATTTTTTACTTGTAGAGGGGTTAGTTTGAATCACTCTGCCATTATCAGAACCGGAATTTTCAATATTGTAACTTGTTGCCTAGTATAGTGCTTTGTATGTTACTAATTGTAATGGAAGATTTTCTATTTGACTCACTCATATTTAACTATTACAAGTGCCATCGCTTTGTTCCTATGTGAAATGGAGTTGTCAAAACATCTCATACAAGGTTTGGGTGACAAAACAGATGTTTGCAGGAGGACCAGATGTTGATCTTTTTTCTGCCACTTACTAGCTATTTGATTGTACTGAAGTCTCTTAAGTAGCCTCAGCCTTAGTTTCTCTATTTGAGGGGGGGATGAGGGAGAATGAAGGAGTTTGTTTACATCAGTGTTTTTAAAACTTAATGTGTCAGAGTCTTCCTTCTCCC
Source organism: Homo sapiens (assembly GCF_000001405.40). Classification (NCBI taxonomy): domain Eukaryota; kingdom Metazoa; phylum Chordata; class Mammalia; order Primates; family Hominidae; genus Homo; species Homo sapiens. The sequence goes on from NC_000014.9 coordinate 62,062,378, forward strand.
CCCAGCATAATCTTATGAAAATGTAAAGCATATTAAAACAAAATAGCCCTGATTGAAAAGGGTGCAGAGCCCAGCCTGTGCATTGCATCCCTTACACACCTCCACGTCTACGTTGGCATTGAAGCTCCTTTGGGGAACCTTAGACTTCCTCAGGGAATAGTCTGAAAAAAATCAAGACTGGGTAATTTATAAAACTCTTTTCCTAACTTGTTTGAGTCCGGGAATGGCCAGATTGTGCTTTTAGAAATGTGGCCGTTTTTCCTAGGGTCTAATGTGGGCAGTTGTCATCTTTGATCTCCCTTCTGCTTTTTTTTTTATCCTTATTTCTATCCTTATCCAACCAACACAGGCAGCCATTTGCTGTGGATATTGGAGAAATCTCGTATCTAAGGGATTTCCTGAAATTGCAGTTGAAAGTAGCACTCGGGTACTGCACCACTGAGCACAACCCACCCCTACCTGTCTCTACTTCCCGTCTGTACGATGTGAGCAATACTTGCCTCCACTGCATTGCTCCTATGTGGGTGGGAAGGAATTAATAGGCTTGGAGCTACTCTGATCATTTATAATTTTTTTCTCCATCTGTAAAGTAGCAGCAGACAGGCTCAAGAAATCCTCTCTTTGCATCGCCAGTTGGTAATTTTGTTTCCTTAAAAGAAGCAACAAAATGAGCAGGTGTTGGGCACTTCCCACTTCCAGGCAGTGTTGTTAGCTCCTACAGAGCACTCCACCTCCAGGCTTGGGAAAAAGGATTGTAAGGTAAGGTGGGAAGTACAACCCACACTATCAGCTTTATCTCCTCCTGCCTCAGCCCTTGTATTTTCCACCCTTCCACTACAACAACCCTAATGGTGAGTTCTCAAAGTCAGACCCTGGGAGAGGGCACATGCTTTCCTGTGCGTATAAATGCCAAGCTGGAGAAAAGGATTTCCACAAAGGGCAGTGACATGATGGGGGATGCTGATGAAGACGATGAATATAACAATAGTAGTTAAACATTTAAAAAGTATACCATATGCCAGACATATGCTAAGGCCTTTACGTGGCTTATCTCATTTAGTCTTCTCAACAATTTTAAGAGGTAAGGGATATCAAAATGAGGACACTGAAGTTTAGAGAGATTAAAGGAACTTGCTTAGGTCCCAGACTCGCAAATATAATATCCCAGTTTTAAACTCTGTCAGCTTGGCTTCACATTCTGCACTCTTAACCACTCTAGCCGTGGGTGATACTACTCCCAACAGCCAGTTTCTGTCATACTAAGACCCCACCATCCCGTCTCTTTGGAAGATAAAGATGGAATTTCCTCTGCCCCTCCTTCAACTAGAAAAAAAATGATTAAAAATTAGAGAGAGGAACACTCTGGCTTCATAGCAATAGGAACTTGATATTGATAGGTCATTTTTGGATACCTTTCTGCCTGTCAAAGTCATTAACTGCCTGCCAGTGCAAGAAGCCCACAGTAGCACCTTGGTTGTGTGTTAATAAAGGGATGAAGGTGCCGGAGTACATGTATCAGAAAGATTGCGGGAGAGTCAGCTTTCTCTTTGGTGGCAGATGTTTAGATGATATCTGAGATCTGTCTGAATTCTGTGATTGAGTGAAATGAACAGTCTTTCAGCTTCAAGGTGTATCCACATTTACGATAATTGTGTAACTTTTTTTCTGTCACATTAGCAAGTTAATTGGATGAAGAGGTAAAGATTTTAATAAAAATTTCTACTGTATTATTTCCTTGGTACTTAATGGGAAAGGGATTTGAACTTGGTATTTATATGATGCTTCAGAAAATACTATCTTATTGCTGAAATAAGTGTCACAACTTAGATGAGACCTTGTGATTTTCAAAGATTAAGTTAAATGAAACCCACATCAGCTATTTAGTTGGTAGCATAGATACATTGAAAGGCAAGTAGCTGGGATCTTGCAAATAGACAAGAGCCAAACTTTAAATTTGAAAAAAAAAAAAAAAAAAAAAAAAGAAAACACTGGGGAGAGATTGGAAAATGCTATGGAAAAACCATTGACTTGGAACATGGTAGACTTTAGATTGGTGCTTGTTTGGTGCGATGGTGGGCAAATCACTTCAGCTTTTTGGCTTTAGTTTTTCTGTGTGAAATAGAGGGAATAGATGCTCATGAAAATCTTTTCCAGCCCAATATATGTGATTTTATTTTTCTGGTGATAAAACACAGTTGCATCCATTTTGTCCAGAATTTAAGAAGTTTTTTCCATGGGGAAACAGATGGTAGAGGGAGCGTAATGGACTATTAATAACATGGACTTCGGAGCAAGACAGCTTGGGTTTGAATCTTGGCTCACTGCTTATAAACTGTTATGACTGTGGCAAGTTATTAACCTCATTGTGCCTTAGTTTCTTCATTCATAGCCTGGGGATAATAATAGTACCTACTTTCTTAGGTTATTGTGAGGGGTAAATAAGTTAACATATGTCAAGCAGTAGAACAATGCCTGGCATGTGATAAATGCTGCATAAAGGATTGCTTTTATTACTGTAACAGTGCCACTATTGACTTCTATTGCTGCTCAGTGGCCTTTGCAAGAGATCGCAAGTTTCATTTTTAGACTGAGAATTCCCTGAGGTCCTTGGGGAGTGAGGCTTAGAATAGCACGTGTGGATGTGTTTATAATCCCACAAGGAACAATAAGCCTGTATGCACTCACATCTACACTACTACTGCCCTTTTCACTGCTCTGCTCTACCTTTATCCATCACAAAGAAAGCACTCTTCACAGGTTTCAGGGTGGAAGCAGGAGAGCTCCCTGAACCTTACTGTGAGGAGTAAGCTAGATAGGGCTTCAGCTTCCTAATGCAATGAAATCTGATGATATGCAGAGTGGTTAGGGACATAGATGCTACGCTTAAGTCCCAACTTTGGTAATGTCTTAAATTTGTTGCCTTATGACAAGTTACTTAACTTTTCTCTGTCTTTTGTTTCTATCTATATAATCAGAATAGAATTCCTACTTCATGGAATGGGTAGATGCAAAGTCCCAAGAAGGTAGCTGGTATATATGTTTAGTATATGGGAAATGTTATAACTACTGTATGATTGTATATCAGGCAAGGAGAATTTTTGCTCTGTGGATGATCAATGGCTCACTGAAAAAAAATCAAGAACCATATACTAATAAATTAGTTGCAATTATTAATTTTATAGATGGAAAGATATCCATGCATTGGCTAACTCATTTGAAATGGATGACTTATGACTACTTAAATTTTAAAAATTGGCCTAAAAATATAAATTAGAATGGAATCTCAGAGTTGGAAAGCACTCCAATTGTTGTCTAATCCAGACACCCCTCACATTCATGTATCTCCCCAGGTGCTTAGCTGGTCCTGTACTCTAAAGGTGGAAGTAGTTTGATTTTGTTCCTGTTGTCCCTGGATCTCTCCTATATGCATTGGTCCATCGCATCCTAGAGTGCTATGCCCAGCACATGGAGGCATGAAGAGACTGGTCATTATGGTGGTTTTCTGATGGAATGGTATTTGCCTAGCTTATTGGAGTAATGCTGGGAAATCCAGTCTCTTCTGACACTTAGGTTTTCAAGCCCTACTGTGGCGTTAGATGCAGCCAATAGAATTAAGTGAGATGACAAAGATGTACTCTTATGTTCATGGAGAAGCTGCTCCATAAAAGAGAAGATCAGTGAAAAACAAATCAAATGTTGATGCATGTCCAGCAGGAAGTTTGGAGTTGGAGAATTTTAGAGCTAGAAAAGACCTGGGAGATGATCCAGACCTTTAAAATGATCCAAAAACAAGGCATAAGAGAGATTAAGAGACTTGGCCACAGGACCTCCACTAGTTAATGTGAGTACACAGAGTGAGAGTTCTTTCCACCACCTCTCTCTGATTCTCCAGCACTATGATTAGAAATGTGGGTGCTAGAGACTGGCTGCTTTAAATCAGATCTTGGTTCTGCTCTTAATTGACGGTGTGATCTTCTGCCAGCTGTGTACTTCTCTCTGCCTCAGTTTTCTTGGAAAAATGGAAATAGTTGTAAAGGTTTTGTGTGTCGGGCACTTATGACAGTGCCTGGCACATAATGAGCACTCAGTAAGTGTGTTATTATTGCTAGTCTTCCAAAGAACCTCAGGAATGTCAGCTCTTAGACAAGCCAGAGAATACATGTTTTGACCAGGCTGGTGTTTAAAAGTATTTTCTCTCACTTGAAATATGGCTTTTTATTCCTTCCTGGCTTCTGACTCAGAAGTGATCTTCAGGACCCATCTGTGAATGAACAACCATATTCTTCTCTGGAATCACTATTTGACTTTGGGATATAAAATGATGAAAAATTATTCCCCATTATTTATGGTTTCCAATTCACATTCAGCAAATATTTACAGAGTATTCTGCTTTGTGCCTGGCTTGGAGATAGGGCCTGGATGCAAAGGTGGGCAGTCTGATGTGCTCCTCGCCCTCATGGTATATGCAGATTAGGTGGGGTAACTTGCAGTTAGATAGGTAATGCTGCCGTGGCATCCGAGGGAGCACTGACAAGAGAGAACAGAAAATTGTTTCACAGCACATGCAGGGAGCTCTTAACCTGCTGAACCTGCTGTAAGAGGTCAGGGAAGGACTTTCTGGAAGAAGTGATGTCTAAGCTGAGACCTCAATGATGAGTTAGATTCCTGACTAGTGTATATAGGGGCTGGAGAAGAGTATTCTAAGCACAGGGAACCGTGTGTGTGCATGTGTGTGTGTGTGTGTATGTGTGTGTGCATGGATATACACTCAGGCTTAGGAGAACTCTGGGTATTCACCAAGTCATTCAATATTTAACAAGTATTTATGAACTACTTACCGTGGAGAAGGCATTGTTTTACATATTGAGAGACATCAGTTAACAAAATAGGAAATATCCTTATTTTCATGGAAGTTATAGGGGAGAACAGAGAACTAAAGCTTAGTGCTATGAAGGCAACTACTTAAGGGAGGGTGTTCAGGGAGGACTGTAGGATGAAGTGCCAGTCAAGCTGAGACCTGCGATGTGAAGGAGCCAGACATATAAACACCTGGGGGAGGCAGAAGGAACAACAAAGTCAAAGAGCTCAACAGGAGGAACAATCTCGGCCTGTTGGAGAAACTGAAAGAGGGCCCGTGTGCTGGTATATCAAGGGTGTGGGAAAAGTGTATGAATAATTCAAAGGGTGTTTCATTAGGAAGGCTATTATCAAAAACACAAAAGACATCGTGTGTTGGTGAGGGTATGGAGAAGAGGAAACTCTAGCATACTGTTGCTGGGAATGTACATGGTGGCAGCTGTTATGGAAAACAGTATAGAGGTTCCTAAATAAATTAACAATAGGCTGGGGGCATGGTGGCTCACGCCTGTAATCCCAACACTTTGGGAGGCCCTGACCAACATGGTGAAACCCTGTCTCTACTAAAACAAACAAACAAACAAACAAACAAATAAATAAATAAAGCTGGGTATGGTGGTGCATGCCTGTAATCTCAGCTACTCTGGTGGCTGAGGCACGAGAATTGCTTGAACCTAGGAGACAGAGGTTGCAGTGAGCTGAGATTGTGGCACTGCACTCCAGCCTGGGTGGCAGAGCGAGACTCTGTCTCAAAGAAAAGAAAAAAAATTAATAATATACTACTATATGATCCACAAGTCCATCTTCTGGGTATATACCTAAAGGAGGTGAAATCACCACCTCATAAAGGTATCTGCACTCCCATGCTCACTGCAGCATTATTCACAATAGCCAAGATAAGGAAACAACCTAAGTGTCCGTCAGTGGACAAATGGATAAAGAAATTGTGGTACATAAATATGCCTTAGAAAGGAAGGAGATTTTTATATTGACAATGAAAAAAAAATTTTTAAAAAGGAGATCTGCCATTTGCCCTAACATGAATGGAACTGGAGGACATTATGCTAAATGAAATAAGCCAGACACAGAAAGAGGCATAGTGCATCATTTCACTTAGATGTGGAATCTAAAAAAACAAAACAAAACAAAACAAAACAAAACAAAACAAAACAGTTACCAAGGGGCAGGGGGCAGGAGTAGGGATGCATGTCAAAGTATACAAAGCGGATATGCAGGATGAACAAGTCTACAGATCTAACCTATAAGATGTGGATTATAGTGAATAAAACTGTATTTCATTAGGAGCTTTTGTTGAATAAGTAGATTTCAGCTGCTCTTGTTACACAAAAAAGTAACTATGTGAGGTGATAGATATGTTAATTTGCTTCACTCTAGGAACCATTTTACTATCTGTATGTATCCCATACCATCATGTTGTAAACCTCAAATATGTACAATACAACTTATTTTTCAAAGGTTGGGTTGTTGATGCTGAGAAAGATTCAGAAAATTTCTAAATGAGTTAAAACACACACACACACACACAATGAGTCTCTTTTCTCTTCTTTTTCTTTTTTTTGAGACAGTGTCTCACTCTGTCACCGAGGCTGGAGTGCAGTGGTGCGATCTCAGCTCACTGCAACCTCCACTTCCTGGGTTCAAGTGATTCTCCTGTCTCAGCCTCCCGAGTAGCCAGGATTACAGGCTCCTGACACCGTGCCTGGCTAATTTTTGTATTTTTTGTAGAGACAGGGTTTCACCATATTGGCCAGGCTGGTCTGGAACTCCTGACCTCAAGTGATCTGCCCACCTCGGCCTCCCAACGTGCTGGGATTACAGGCGTGAGCCACTGCGTCTGGTGGGGTCTCTTTTCAAAACTAGAAAGCTTTTGGAAAATAAAATCGTGTTGTAGATATTCCTTCTCCGAAGTGGGGATTGGCTATGTGTGTTTTAATAAATGAGATTAGATGAAGAGCATACATCCCATGGTCATTGACTAGAACTGCATATAAGGCAAATGTGCTGATAAACGTTCTGTTTCCAGTTATGAACACATTTAAGCAGCGTAACAAATCAGCAGGGCTGCCTGGCTCAACATGAGGGTTCATTATGATGATTATGGGTGTCCCAATGATTTGTCTTGGGTTCTAGCTATATACCGTATTTCTAATTACCTTCATGAGCATTCTTTGCTTTGGACTCAAATTTGTGTTGCAAAAGTGCTTTAAATTTTTTTTCTATCCAGTTTGAGTGTGCCTTCGTTCAAACTCATTGTCCACGTTCTTCTCTTCTGTTTTCCTGGAGAGTCTATCTCTGTATTCGAGCATATAGGCCACACAGGAGACTCATGGCTCTTGTTTACTCCCAGTCAACAGCTTTGGGGATGACGAAGAGCTGTCCACATCTTCTGACAGTGACGAGGAGGTGATCAAACAATTTGAGATTTCCGTGTCCCGGTCCCAGAGTTTCCGTTCAGTGACATCTGAGAAAGGAAAGCAGACAGGATTGGAGCAGAAACCAAAATTCAGCCGTTCGTTGTTGACACACGGAGAAGATGGCACAGAAGTATCTGCCTGCGAAGGTATCCTTTGCCTCACATCCTTTCTTTAGACCAGGGATGGCCAATGGTAAGAGTGCATCCGAATTATTCACCCTCTGCACTCTGCATCTGAGAGTCCAGAGAGGAAAAGAAAATGAGGCAGGATGCATTACGTGGAGCAAAGGGGCTGCTTTGAACCTCCCAAGGGGACTGCCATGCAGGAGGTTGAGAGAGGGAATGGATCAGGAGTGGGTGGGTCTCAATACTAGGTTGTGGGACCCCTTCCCTTTCTTTCTTATTGGCCACTTCTTCCTAAATTTAGAATAGTATTTGTTGAGCTTAGCAAATCTTGTTCCCTTTTGATAGATACGAAAATGTCACGTACTTGTCCACTGACATTGAGAGTCTGTGCCATTTCTCCCATTTAGAATCATAAAATAAGTTTTCCACATATCTGTATAACTCCGGAAGATATTTTGAAGCCTTTCTTCTAATTAGTTTGCATTACGAAATCAATGGGTATTTTTATCTTTCAAATAAAAAAAGTAGTGTAATAATATTAAATAACCTTTTTCAAACAGCACATGCCCCTGCATCCTTACTCTCAGTCCCTGTAGTTTCTGACACACCCCACCTGCATGAAAATTACTGGGTAAGCACAAAGTCTTATGTCATTTTCCAGCATCATCATCCTAAATTTACATTTCACAAAGGGGAGGGGATACTCAAAGCTAGGGCAGCCAGCTTGGGATGTTGGGCAGACCTTGTTACAGGTCCTCCTCCCCTCTCTAACATTAGACCCAAAGTAACCTGGAGAGAGGGTGCAAACAGAACAGTACACTATTTCTTTGTGCTTTCCCAAGCAAAGGTCAAGGTATCTATCTGACTCCTTCATGCCCAGAGCCCTGAATAGACAAAGCCATTGTAACAGGGAAGGGTCTGTGAAGTGTATTTGGTAAAAAAGCAAGAGAAAATGCTATGCCACCCACCTTCATGACCTGGTCTCAGTTACCTGAGCTCTCTAACCTTTCCTTCTTTCCTTTTGGGAAGGTGGTCAGTCAAATGAGGGCATAGCTGTAGATGTTCCATATTTTCAAACCCAGACAGATAAAAAGGAGGGTGCAGAAATTGAGAGAAGATAAAACGGGAGAAATTTTGATTTCAGGATGAGCACAGGACAAGCAGACAGAATAAAGGATTAAAGAGGTGGAATTAACAAAAAGACCCCTAATTTTCAGCAGGAATAACTTGCTATCCATCATGTAGTCTGACTTATTGACATAAGCCAACATCATGTATTTTATTGCCATTCTTTTTAGCTCAAATTAATAAGTAAAGGCCCTATATAACCAAACCACAACATCAGTGGCCGCTGACAGAGTCATTTGCCCACACCCCCTCTCTTGGCTTTTCTCTTTCTCTGATGTTACATCACAGCATTCCTTTCTCTCCATTGAGAGGGCAAATGTTAGCTAATGAAAGTTAATAGCAGTTGATTCCCTGAGAACAGCTTGTTTAATCCTAAAGCTAATGGCCCCATTTCCCAAAAGCCCAAGTGTCTGGCTTCTGATTTACACAAATGGCTGATGTTCTGAGAGTTCTGACAACCATTCTAACCCTTATCCTTCCTGGAACGAGCAACAAATTATCTCTTGTCCTAACTGGCAATTCTGAATTTTAGACAGATGGTGATAGAAAAGGTTAAAGAGGAAAAAAATCTACTACATTGAATGAAGTACCTGTAGATTTTGAAGAAAATCAGCAGGATTTTCACAGAAATAGCCACATGCCAAACTTTAGGTTACCAGACGCCATGGAAATGTTAACATGGTTTTTATTGCTTGATTTTTTTTGTTCATCTTTATATCAGTGGATTTTTTTCAGTGGTAAAGAATCATGAAAAGATTAAGCATGCACTCCAGAGAGGAATTTTTTGGTATGCCTATTCTCTATTTAGCTGTTTTATTCCACTGTAAACATTGTTTTGTAAGATCAAATTTAGTTGTAGAAACAGTTCTTCCACTTTAAAAATGCATTCAAAAGTGCTGGACAGTGAAATTAAAGGGCCAAATCTAAGTAAAATCTGAAACATGAGTGAGCTATTGGTAGGTTGTCTCATATTTCATCTTAAGTGAAATCCTTCATTCTAGATTCTGTGGTGAGGCTATTTAGAACCATGTTCCAGGCAAGTTCTCTTTTGTCCTGTGTATCTGATTTAGGATTATTGCACACTAATTGTCAATGCATTCCTGATAACGTTAAAGAGGGTTTTTGGTCTAAGTGGTCTGGATTGGAGGCCTGTATGCAAGGTCTTTAGACGTGAAAGGTTAGCTGTAGAATAATAGTCCATTTCCTGGGGCTTTTTCTTTTTTTCTAGCAGTAACCTTATTTTTGTGTATGGAATAGTTATTCTGAGGATATTTCCTACAAGCTAGATGTTATTACTCTGGTGTCCTCAAAACCAGCTCAATTGTCTCCAGAATGTGTACTTAGTTTTGTTTGAGATGGTATATCTGCCATGGTTCAATTGGAGAACTAGAATCAGCAGGATTACATGCATATATGTACATACAAAATGTACATGTACATGCAAACACCTGCACATGCAGGGGTGTGTGTGTGTGTGTGTACCCCAAGAGATTCATTGCAAAGAATTGGGAAGGTGGTGGCTGGCTAGGTAACAGAAATACACAGCCCCCATATTTGCGGTACAGGTTGTTGGGAAAGGTAGGGGGAAACTCTAGGCATGAGCTGAAGCTGTAGTTCTTAGGTTGAATTTCTTCTCCCGGGAACTTCAGTTCTCTTAAGGTCTTTCAGCTGACTGCTTATGTAGGATAATCTCCTTTGCTTAAAGTCAACTGATTATAGGCTTTAATCACATCTATAAAATACCTTCGCAGCAATACCTAGATTTAGTGTTTGATTGAGTAATTGGCACCTATAGTCTAGCCAAGTTGACGCATAAAACTTGCCATCACAGATGGTAAGCAGAAGTCTTTGTATTTGGGTGGTGATCGGGGAGAGAGGTTTGGGAGTATGAAAAAAGTATTTGAATAATGGGGTTTTATTCCATCAAAGTGGGATATGAACTAAGCAAGTGGAAGAATTTCTCTGTTAAAATAAATTTGGTTGATGTGACATAGTTATGGCCTATAATTTCTAAGAAGCCAGGATACGTTTCTCTGACAACAGGCAATTACTTTTGTGCGTCTATTGAAGGTGTCATGATCTTCTTTAATTTAAAGGCACGGGAAGACTGCTTTATGGAAAGGTGAATCACCTTTCCCTTTCCTCCTCCTCGCAACTTGACTTGTACCCCAGATTTGCTTCTCTAATTCATTCCTTGCTTGTCTGTCATGGAAAATGGTTTGTTACATTAATATCATTCTTATGTTTTTCAGTTATGAATAACTTTTCAAGGCTTAATGTAGCTTTTGAAAATTCTCTTATTACTGATCTTGGTATTATCACCGTAGGAGTTAAAGTCATGAGACAATTTTATGGGGATAATTTCTTGGCAAAGTAAAATTTTGTGCTGAAATCCTGCTGGGTTCTACACATGTTGATGGATGACCCACTGTTTAATAGGACATTTTCCTGTTCGCATATGTGAGGAATGGGTGTGCTAATTAGAGACTTAGAAGAAAATCCTGCTTTATGTTGTAGGTTTTTGCATGTGGATTTTTCCTTGTTCTGTCATTTTGTGTGGCCTGTTTTTAGGATGTTTGCCAAATAACCGAAAGTCTGGATGTAAAAATTTTGTAATGTCCCATAAAAGTGTTTCCAAGGGGTCTGAACTGAATAATGAAGGATAACGAGGAAGATAGGGAACTTTCTCAATGGCCTGCTGTGATTTTACAAAACCCCATATTAGGAGTCTGAAGTTCTGCCCCGAGGATCTGCCTGAAGATGTTTTTGTATGGTCTGGTTGATAACATATTTTTAAAATTTGAATGCTTACTATACATGGGTCATGTACTCTGGTGAACCCCTGTCACCACCACTCATATTGCTGCATACCTGGCTGCTTTCAATATTTGCTACCTACCTAGACTTTAAAGTTCTCTGAAGGGTAAGTGATAACGCATTGGCAGATAAAGACTATGCAGTAGATATATGTGGCTTAGTACCATCCAGAAGCTTACATTCTATTAATAGCTGAGGTATCAGACTAACAAGGGAAAACAATTGCTACCATACAATGTATATAGAAGAGCTTTATGACATAGACTTTGCCAACCCACGCCCTTGTCCTGTCTACATCTCTAGTTTTCTTTCATCCTGGGATGGGGTCTGCTGGAGGAGAAAAGAGGCCAAAGAGATAAGAGATCCTCAATTTCTCTTTGGGTGTGGGAGGCAAATAGTGGGGGCAGCTATTTCTTAGGAAGACCCTGCCAGCTTTTCCTGACCATCTGAGGACACTCTTGACATGTAGGAAGACGAAAGGGATGAATGGAGGTGAGGGGTGCTGAGAGAGAAAAGTGTGGAGACTGAAGGAGTCAGGGAAGTCTCAGGAGTTGGTGGTGCTTTGTATGGGGAGGGAGGACAGGACACAGGGAGGGTTTGAGGGGCACTGTGAGCAGAAATACACAGCTAGTATTTTCATAAACCAGTGAGACCAGAGGAATGAGACATGGTCACTTGGGAAGCAGTGGAAAATGGGGTTGGATGGGTTGGATGAGGCCAGTTCAGGCCAGGCAGGTAAGCAAGCCTAATATTTACGGAAGGCCTTGCTGGCTGCCAGGTGAATATTATTTCATGTGTCCACAGTGACCCTCTGATGGCTTTTATCATTTTTTAGATAAAGAAGCAAAGATTCAGAGAATTTGAATATTGTCCGGGTTCTTATGGCAGAGACAGGATTTAAACTCGGATCATACCAATCCAAGACCATGGATCAAGGAGAGAACTTTTTACTTGGTAGGATCACCAAAGCTTTTTGAGCAGAGGGTAATGTGGTAAACACTGAAGAGGAAAGGAAGCATGGTAGAGTCGGGAGACCATACGATCTCCATATTAGATGACTCTTTTTGCTTTTAGATCCATTGCAGAAGTCTTGTGGTCATTAGCTCCAGCAAAATGCTGTGTCGATTTTATCCTTTTGACATAAATATATATTCTCTACACTCATATTTAAAAAGTATTAAGCCTTCTGATACGCCACATAATGAGATAATGTTCTTTTTCATTTTATGGATCAAGTTTCTTCACTGTATGGATAGAATTATGTTTCTGCAGGTATTATTGGTATGGGTTCTGTTTCTGCAATCTTGATTGTTGTGACTGCAATTACTCAATTTCTCTAGGTAAAAAGGTGTTAAAAATAATGCATTTGAAATGGTTTTCTTATTGCAAATTTAGATTTGGATGGAGCCAGCCAACGGCGTTATTCTGAGAATCTCTCCTACGGTGAAGATGACCACATCCCTGCTCACTCACAGTCCCCATGTGAAAGAGGGGATGCCAAACACCACGGCACATCTCACCAAGAGTCCAGTGTGGTCCAAAGCCTCAGGCGCCAATCCACAGAGGGCAGCTTGGAGATGGAGACAGCTTTTAATAGCCGGGGATTTGAAGATTCCTATGCCACTGACAGCTCCTCCATGTGGAGTCCAGAGGCAAGTTATTTGTTTTTCATTCTTTCATTGGTTCCCTTTCCCCTTCCCCTCTTTCCACTCTCCTTTCTCATCTCTCTAAAAAAAAAAAAAAATTCCAGAAAGGAAGCATTACTTTTATCTGCAATAAATTTTTGTCCAGATGACCAAAATCCCATGCATGTCAATAAAAGAGTCATAAATTTCTCTCAAAATGGAAAAAAAAGGATGAACGGTAAAAAAAAAAAAAAAGAAAAAAAGAAAAAAAAATAAGAATGGTGGCAGAATGGATCCAGGAACAGCCAGGCTTTTCTTTTATATAAAGGCTTTTTATAGACTTAATTTTAAATAATGGAATTTTCAGTTCTTTAGAGGGACTGGTTTATTTACTTCATGGTTTCAATTAAGTGGAGTCTATTTTTATTTAGCCCAAATCTCAAGTTACGATTATTTGATATGAAAATTATTTGAAAATTGAACTAAAATGAAATGGCCTTCCAAGTGAAATTATACAAGGTGTAATGATGCAGATCTTGCACTGTGAATATATACAAAATATATTTTGTGCCTAGGAGACAGCATTAATCAGTAATGCCCCTCTGGCCATTGACATTGGTTTTGTAGTAAATCTCTGATAAAAGATACTTCTTCCAAAGTTCTTTTTCAAGTAAAGCTTAGTCCAGAATAAATGTAACAATCAATCCAGAGATATGGCTGGAGGTGATGATGGTAGTAGCTACCATTTATTGAGCAGTTAATATATGCCAGGCACTGTGATAAGGATTTTACCAAATTGTTTCCTTTTACTGGCCCTTACGGTTATTTTTCCATTAGATAGATCCCTCCTATCATGATTCTGTGACATTGGAAGGCATTAAGGAATGGTGTTTAATACCTAATTTGAAATTAATTTTGATGAAATAAGTCATATACATATATAAACCTTTAATATAATTTGCAGGGATGGGGGAAGAAGGAGAGAGGTGAATGGATTTTATTAGCATCCATTTGAGAAAATAAACAGGATGCATCTCTTATTAGGACTTGGAGTGTCACACACGCTAAATGCTCAAGGTAAAAAAAAAAAAAGGAATCACAGAAAACCCTGTTTCCAAGCCTTAACTGCTAACATGTTGGCGTGTGTAGGTAGTATCTAAGGAGGGGTATGCATACACATCTGTGCCCCTGTGTAGATGTCTCTGCTGAGGACCAGAAATGGTAGCTCACATATGTGGTTTGTGGCTTGTTAAAAAGCAGCCCTTCATATGGAGGCACCCAAAGCCATTAACTTTATACATTTTGTTTAAAAAAAGAAAAAACTCTGCTTACCCGTTAGTTTACTACCAAGCCGTATCAAATCCCACACACTAACTCTTAAAAAATATTTTGAATCTCTCTCCCAAAAACAAAACAGACCAAATGATTTGCCTGCCTATTGATACTCTGTCTCCTTGGTGATTGTGCCATGAGGCTTGGAAGTGACTTCTCCAGGTCACCTCCCATTTACCTGCCTGCTGGAGCTTTAATAGAAGACTCGGTATTGAGGGTACTAAATGTTCTCAGACTCCAAAAATACCCAGACATCTCTGTGTGCTCCATTCAACCTCCTATCTATTTTGAGAAAAAACTGTAATTTGGTGCTCCTACAGTAGAACCTCAAATCCAACTCGGAGGCAGTTCCCGTAACTGCCTGCTTTGCAGGCTTAGCTTGCCTTTTAAGAAATGATTTATTTGCCTCTTAGCTGTATTGAGAACTCTGTCTTCCCCTGTGTATCTGGCATCAGGAACATATTGTAGGCCTGTTTACTTTAGGCCACACAGATGACATCAACACTATCTTACTAAAACAGAAAGGCTTTCAATTTGACAGAAAATCTTTAAACCTACCTGGGTTTTGACAATTTGACACAAGTATTCTCATCTTAAGGAAAAGCCCAGGATATTGGAGCTCAAGGAATCATTTATTTTGTCTCAGCAGGAAACTGGTCGTGCAGTGTGACTACCTGTTAGGCTGATGGATTTTCGAGCTCTGCTCTTCTCTGCTGGCGAAGGCCTTTGGCTTTTTCCTGCAGACCCAGGGCTTGGCAGGAAAGACAATGGGAGTGTGGCTGGTGATTTTGAGCACACAGGGAGACAGGTGTCCCACTTTTCATCTCTGCTTTCCACTGATTAATTGGTTGGCCTTGAGAAGTTAATTAAAATCTGCCAAATGGGGATAAGAATGAAGAGATTTTTACCTTGCAGGAAGGTCAGATGGATTAGTGGTATTAACAGTACCCAAGTGAGGAGCTCCTTCAGTTGCCTGGTGAGAGGTAAAGTGTGTTGAAATAATTAATTGCTATGAAAATACCAGCATTCACAAATCTTTTTCTCAAATCAACCCAGGGAGGGGCTACAAAGCCCAGTTTTCATGGGCCACAGCTTGAATTGGCCTATCCAAAGCCCAGCCATTGGCAGGATCTGTTTATTCAGAGGAGTTCTTAGGACAGTCAGGAGCTCTACCCAGGACTCTCTTAGAAACCTGCAGGTGGAGTGAGCATTTATCCGAAGAGACAGCCTGATACATAAGTGGAGAGAGCTCCTCATTCACTAAAATATTTTTACCTTGGCATTGAAGTTGACAAAACTAAGAGCTATTAACTAACATTAAGAGCAGGGGCCTCAAAGGATGTGAAAACCACAGAGAGTGTGATTCCAACCCCCACCTTCCGTCTTCTCCCCCTTCATCTTGTGCGCTTGCTCTCTCTCTCTCTCTCTCTAGTGCTCTCTCGCTCTCTCTCTCTCTCTCTATATATATATATATAAACACACACACACACACACACACACATATGTCTATATGTAGAAATAGTTATGCCTAAAGGTTTGGGGAAGAAGAAAGGAGACTGTATGTTTCAAAATAAGGTTTGAAATTTTGAGTATTGGATACGAGTTAAGGCAGGCCTGGGACTCAAACTGCCAGGGCATGAGTCCTGGATAATCTTGTCTGGGAATTTGATCTGGGCTTGGGGGGAGAGAGCGTGTTAGTTATTTAGTCTTTCTAAGCTTGAGTTTCGTCCTCCATAAAATGAAGATATTAAAATACCTACCTCATTGCATTGATGTAAATATTCAAAAAGATAATGTTTCTTAGTTGGGTTCCTCAAAAAAGCAGAGCCTACGTAAAGGCTTTGTTCCCTGCTTTGGGAGTGCAACCCCAGGGAACAAAAGTGCGAGACAAGGGAAGTAAGGCAGGGAAGAAGGGAGGTCAAGTGTGAGAATACACAGTTGAATTGGCCACCACTCAGTATGGCTAATTGCCTGATCTTGTGTGATCACACTCCAAGAAGCTGTATGAACTGATAGGACAACTGACTACGGGGCAAAAAGTAGACTTCACATATATTGGTGTCAAGCAGGGTTCTGCAGCTGTCTAAGCCTTGGCGGTCGACAGAGAGACCAATGATAAGAAATGAGAATTATATTGTGTGGGTAGAAGGTAAGACTTTATTGAGTAGTTCCAGGCTGAAACTACTTAGAGCCCATATAGGCTGTGCCTTAGGGGAAGATGGAACATGAGTTAAGGCCAAGAAGATCTGAAGTGTTTAAGAGCCAATTTTTATAGTCTGTAAAGGATTTGATATGGTATTTGGCATAAGAAATAGTTTAGTAGATGTTAGCTATTATTACTTATGGTCAGAAATGCAATACAGAGATGATCAAGAGTAGGCTAAAATAGATGGGAGTTTTAGGAAGAGACAAGGGAGTTTGAGAGAAGATTCTGACTTGATTTTTGAGTTGGCCTAAATCCTTGGAGACTTGCTTCTAATATATATACACTAGTCAGTTGTATTCAAAAGTCTCTATAGCAACCACTTTTATCACTTGAAACTAAGTACCTCTGAATAGAAACACTCACGCATGATTGCATGCTCACAGGAAAGGATATAAGAAGCTTCACTTATTTTACAAGAAATCTAAATTTTCTTGCAGGCTAATTTGAATCTTAAAAGAAAAGGATATTTATTAGATGTCTACTGTCTGTCAAGTCCTCTACTTTTTACAACATCCCTACACAGAAGGTACCATCTCCATTTTACAGTTGAGGAAAATAGAACATGGAAAGGATTAAATGACTTGCCCAGTGTCATAGAGCTAGTAAGTGGTAGGCCTGGGCTTCCTAAGGAAATACGAACCCAGAGAACCATGAACTTTCACCCAGACTATGTGGGAAAGTTTCATTGATGGATGCACATTTTGAGGCATTGTATTATAATTTGAAACGAGATCTCTAAATTAGCAAGTTCTGGTGTTCAATTGCATAAATAAGAACTGGTTTGCAATAAGAATCAGATCAAAGTTTAGTTACAGGTAAGGATCATGCCTTCAGAGGAAAATAGAATTATTATTGACATTATTTATAATTTGTTAGTGGGGTGGTTCATTATAATAAATGCAGCCTAGCTCAGTTTTCCCAGTAAGGTCATCAGATCTGAGTGGCTGCATGTAAATTGCTACCCAAGGGTGACATTCCATAAAGAGGGATGTGTGTTTGAGAATAGGTAGCACCAGTCCAGTGGTGGGAATAGATATTTATGCAGTCTGGTCTAAGCCAGGTATTTTCATATCAATGAAAACCTCACAACAACACACCAGCAAGTAGGCACATTAATGTGCATTTTTAAGCTAGACTACCGAGAGGCTGGTCTATTTGGCCAGGGTAAAAAAGCTAGTCAGTGGTAGAGTTATGATTTCAATTTAGGTGTTCTGGCTCCAGGCTCAGTGTTGCTGTTTACTAAAGGGCTGTGGAGGTGTCCTCCTAAATCCTTGCTGCTCAAAGTGTGAGCCGAGGCTAGCAGCGTCAACATCCCTTGTGCCTGTCCCAGAAATGGCAGGATCTCAAGCTCCACTCCAGACCTACTGAATCAGAATCCTCAGATGATTTAGGTCTACATTAAAGTTTGAGAAGCTCAGCCCTAAACCTTTTCTCCCACTTAGATTGAAAATATACTGAAGCATCACCTTCCTGGGACTCCCATCAAAATTCTTGTCTGTAGAAAGCTCTTGCCTGTGGAGAACAGGCTCAGGCTCAACCATCTGTATTTAGGGACACAAGGAAAAGTTGCCTATGGACAATTGCCTGTTGACTTAATTTTAGATTTAGCATCTCAGTTGGTTTCAATGATCCTGGGCAATTGTGCTTTTTGAGAGGCAGTATATATGAAAACACTTTGCAAAAATATAAAAGCTTTAGTTATCCATTCCAAAAACATTCACGAAGGCGCACCATATGCTAGGCACTTTGCCGTCAAAGAATTCACAGTTTAATGCAGCGATAGACCAGTAAACAGACCTATCTGATATAGAGGGAATACACTGGCAGTTAGAAAGCAGGGATTCTGAAGGAGCACAAAGGGGCACCAACTGGCCAAAATGTAATTGGGTATCATCATTTCCATTTCTAATTGTTTCCTCTGCCTGCAACAGGAACAGGACAGGACCAATTTGCAGGTGCCATCCGGGGTCTCAGAGCCCATCTCAAAGTGTGGTGACCTAGATGTCATCTTTGAATATAGAGCCGCCAGCCAGAAGCTCACAGTGACCATTGTGAGGGCACAGGGCCTCCCAGATAAGGACCGAAGTGGTGTCAACTCCTGGCAAGTTCATGTAGTGCTGCTGCCTGGTAAGAAACACAGGGGCAGGACGAACATACAGAGAGGGCCCAACCCCGTCTTCAGGGAGAAGGTCACCTTTGCCAAGCTGGAGCCCAGAGATGTGGCTGCCTGTGCTGTCCGCTTCCGCCTGTACGCTGCCCGGAAGATGACCCGAGAGAGAATGATGGGAGAGAAACTATTCTATCTCAGCCACCTGCACCCAGAAGGGGAAATGAAAGTGACTCTGGTTCTGGAGCCAAGAAGTAATATAAGCGTGAGTATGTTAAATGGTGCTGCTAATGATGTGGTGTGTTCGAAGACCTGGGATTGTCAGCCCTTGATTTAGTACGTTCAGTCTGTGAATTCAGAGACTTTAATTTAATTTTCCATTTGGCTCTCCTCACCCTTGTAAGCCATGATTTGCACTTCATGGTACAATGGGTCTTTCATGCCTGTCTTCCTGATAACCTGATGGATAAATGCCCTGTCCATTTTAGGACAAAATAGCAGCAGTGTGGTAGAGGGCATGGAGAAAAACAGGGAAGGTGGCTTGGCCCTCTGGATTGTGGATAACTGATCCTACTCCTCCTGCCCCCAATCTGCATCATGATGAATCTCAGAGATGGGACTTTCTGGGCAAGGTTCTTAACGGGTATGCTGGGGCAGACTGAGAGAGCAGCCCAGAACTTCAGCTGCTTCTGAAACCTTTCATTTGTGTTACTACCGTCTTCCCTCATACCCCATTTCCCTGCTTGCCACAGGGTTTCAAGGAAAGGTGTCATAATTTACATGCCTACAGGATGGGCAGCTCACTACTGCTGTGGGTTATATGTCATGTAGTATGCCCATCTCCTTTTACAAAACCACGTTAACAGATCAGGGAGCTCTGTAGGCTCTGGATTCAATCAGTCATTCATTCAGAGATGTTTACTGTCAATTATGGTATAGGCAAAGTGGATGCAGGAAAGAACTAAGCAGGCGATGCCTCTGCCCTTGGAGAGCTTGCAGTCTAGTGGTGGCCAAGTAGGCAAGGAGACAGAGTGATAGGCTGCCGCTTGTTTAGAGGATCAGAGAAAGTTTCTTTGAGGTGGTGATAAAACGCCGGAACTCAAAGCATCGAGAGAGCGAGGCTGGTGCTGTGAGGAGGATGAGAGTTCCAGACAGAGTGAACAGCACATGCAAGCAGTCAGGATGTGGGGTGGCCGGGGGAGTGGGGAAGCTTGTCATATCTGAGGAAGAACAAAGGAGACAGAAAGTCTGGACTGTAGTGGTGGCAGATCTGTCTGCTTAAATGTCCAATGATGTCTCAAAATTAACGTCTTCAGGCCTGAAATCCTGATTTTTGCCTCCCTAAATCTATTCCCCCTGCAGTCTTCTCCATGTTGCTTAAAGGCAGTTGCATTCTTCCAATTGCTGGGGTCAAAAATCTCAGAAGTCATCTGTGACTTTTCTGTTTTCCACCTGAAATCCTATTGGCTCTATCTTCAGGTACAACCAGAACCTGGCTCTCTGCTGGATTACTGAAATAGCTGCTCAGCGGTGGTCTTTCCACTTCTGCCTTTGCCTCTACAGACTCTTCTGGACATGGGAGCCAGAATGAGCTTTTTAAAGTTATAAGCCAGATGATGTCTCAGCTCTGCTCAGATCTCCCTTTTTTCTTAATATCTGAGTAAAGCACATCGGAAATGATGGAAAACAGAATGCAGTGGAGATCAGAAGGGATCCTGCGTGATAGAGCTTGGGAATGGGGATGATCACACCCATATTTATGCTTGCTAGGCCCTATGCTGTGTGCTGGTGGCACGGAGTTGAATGGGGAAAATGAGCTAGTGTAAAAGAACTTTGCAGGTGGAAGTCTTTCATTCACCAGTTATTTGTTGAGCACAGTTATGTGCCAGACATTAGGCTATGCACCAGGGACTGAGAGATTTATACGGATTCAGAATTTGATGGGAGAGGCAAGCAGTGAGTGACAGGTGCCACAGCGGGAAGCTTTTATAGGAGCACAGGAGGGGGAGTGAGTCTCACTTAAGAGTAAGCAAATATTTCATTGTTGAATTTTTATCTTCTAGACAGCAGGGTCTGTAAGACATCTATCACGACCACCTAGCCCTGCCGTTTACAAACTATGTTCCATACAGCCTCAGGTTAGGTGGGGGGCGCTCTGCAGAAATGTCTGTGGTTTGGTAAACAGGATACTTTCCTGCAGATGGGCAGAATATTTGATTCCTTTTATTGGTTCTAATTATTGAGTTTCTGGTCAGAAATTTGAAGAAATGATTTCAAACATTGAGAAGAAAGGTTTAAGTCAAGTCTAATGCCCTTGTTTCTGGTGGAGGAGATGGTGTTTCAGGGGGACAGGATTGCCTGCCCCCACAGGGTCGATTCCTACTCCCGTGCCTTGAGGGACAATCAGTGTCCTTCTCAGTTTTGTGCTCCTCCTCCCGATGTGCCCGTGCCTGGTGGGGAAGTGTAGGTGCTCAGGAGAAGCGTGCCCATGAATAAACATGACAGAAAGCTCAGGTTCTCCTGGGCTCACTTGGTGCCTGCCAGGTCGCTGAGACCCACAACCCATGTGTTGTCTTTTTTCTCAAACAGTTGTAAACGTGCTCATTTGTAATGTAAGTTATTTCTTTAAAAGGCAAAATTTGGCACCTGGCATATATTTAACAACCTTAAGCAGAACTAGGAGCCAAATGTTCTATGTGGGGGTAGACGTCCAGTGGTCATTTCTTTTATAGTTAAGACACAACGCCTCCTGTATTGCCATATTCATCAAGGAGCTGCAGAGAACAGAAACAAACCTCAGGCCTGGAGTGGAGGGGTTCCTTAGAAACATCCAAGCACAGATTACACAGGGGGGAATTTGAGTCTATATTGAATGTATTATTAACTCTCCTTGTATCTTAGAGGGTTTGATTTACACTAGTAATAACGTCTTTGTCCGTTTTGCCTTTAGAGAGGAAATATTGAATGGAGACAGCTCTTGAAACAAATATGTCAGTTCCTAATGCAGGGATCTCATCCGTGACTGTGCTCCCTGGGCCCATTGTAATTCACGCCGAGTGCGCCCTTAGTCATCTTTGGCAGTCATTGGGGATTGGGTCACAATTTCACCAAACATAATATCGGCTTTCTCTAAAAGAGAGTAGTGCAGCGTGGGCCAATGGATTCTTTGTTGTTCTTCCCCTCCAGAGTGGAGGGTCTCCGCTCAGCCCATCTGCGGTTTCTCACAGTGATAGTACTTCATCCACGCAGTCGCTGTCTCATGGAGGGGCGCCAGAGCTGTTGGTGGGGCTCTCGTACAATGCCACAACGGGGCGATTATCTGTGGAAATGATCAAAGGCAGCCATTTCCGAAACCTCGCTGTTAACCGAGCACCTGGTAAGTGTGAGTCTGTTCTCCCAGCTCTGGTTCTTCCAGAGGCAAGTGGAAAGCCCTGTCTGCTTTCATCTTAGTTCTTTAATTTTTACCATAAAAATGATCTTATTATGGCTTAAGCAAGCTTTCACAAAGAGATACCTCTGTATTTTTTAAATGGCTCTCTATTTAATTAGACTTCTTTGCTATCTAGATGTTTCTGGACATGAAATAGACTGGCCTGTGTGTCTATATTGTTTAAAGGAAAAGAATGAACAGCATTTTCAGCAACATAATGTGTATGGGCAATTAAAATCTGCTAATACGTCCTAGGCCCTCAACTTTAAAGAAAAAGAGCTCTGGCTTTGGAGTAAGGCAGATCTGGGATTGAATTCCAGCTTTACCTACCACTTAACCACTAGCTTTGATCTGATCCTGTGCAATTTATCCCTTTTCAGAACACAGCTAACTCATCTGACAAAAAAAGATATTAATAGTACCTTCCTGATGGAGTTGTTTTGGAGTTTAAATGAAATGATTTATTTAAAGCATTTAGTACCATGCCTATCACATAGTGAATGCACAAGAAATGTTAATGGTTGTGGTGGTGACAGAGAAAGGAAGTAAAGGAGGCAGATCTGGGGCAATGCAGGACTGGCTTTCTAGGGGAACTGCCACTTTTGAGATTGTCACTGGAAAGAGGGGTTCAAGGTATATCCCCAGAGCTGCAGTCCAAGGTTCAGAAAGCCAGACTCAAAAAGCTGCTGTTTTCAGTTGCCTCAACAGCCTCTCACCACCTAGGA
The DNA here is from genome assembly GCF_000001405.40 of Homo sapiens. Lineage (NCBI taxonomy): Eukaryota > Metazoa > Chordata > Mammalia > Primates > Hominidae > Homo > Homo sapiens. The sequence continues at coordinate 62,085,165 of NC_000014.9, forward strand.
AGTTAGAGATTGAACATTAGAAGCATGCTGTTAAAAAGTTAGCTTACCTTTTTATGATCTTGTTTTGCAGCAAAAAAGCTTGAAAGGGGGGCAGGAAGATGATTTCTTTTTTGCTTCTGCCTTCTGGACCTCATGCAAATACACCTAATTGGAGGACTTAATTTGGATCTGGAATGCTAGCTGCAAGAGAGTCTGAAAATGTTGTTGAATTTCTAGTCTTTTGAGTCAGGAAGGTAAACTAGAAGGGAGTAGAGTAGAGGGCTAGGGAGCCTGCCCACCATGGGCACCAAACTGTTATTGAAAGAAGGATGAAATCAGTATATTTGTGGCAGGCTGAAAGAGTCAGTGGGCTCAGGCCTCAGGTATCAGCAGCAGGTGAAGAACTAGGAGCACCACTGGAAAAGAGTCATCTCCTACAACTGAATCTGGGCTCTCACTCTTTTTTTGCCCTTAACTATGCTGCAGCCCACAAAGGATCTGTGGAATGGGGGTATCTTGTTAGTCAACTTGTATGAAAACCATTAGGAGGGCAAATTAGTAAGGAATGCCCCAGCACTTTGGATAACAGAATAGACTGGGTTTATCAGCCATATTCTATGTCGACACTCAGAGCCACATGAGGGCTATTTAGAATGCATAATAGATGCTTATTATTAATTGCATAGCTAGACTCTTTTTGCTAGATACCAATTTGTTTTCCAGAATAGCTCTGAATTTACTAGAGATCTGTCTGGATTTACTACTTTGCCTTCTGAACTTTTGCTAACCTCTTTTGCTGTCCTTCTGAGATCAGGTAAAGTCTGAACAATTTTTTAGGAACAGGGTAGAGATGCAGAGAATGATGGGGTTGTGGATCACACAATCATGGCCTATTCAAGTCCATGCTGGGAAGCTTTATTTGGTATATTGGGTGGTACCGGGCAATCCAGAGGAGAGGTACATCATCGTGCTTGAGAAAGTACCAGCTGGAGGCCAACAAACCAAGGTGTGAATTCAGGCTCTGCCACTTATTATAATAGTTGTGAGTTACTGGCTAGGCACGGTGGCTCAATGCCTGTAATCCCAGCGCTTTGGGAGGCCGAGGTGAATGGATCACCTCAGGCCAGGGGTTTGAGACCAGCCTGGCCAACATGGAGAAACCCCAGCTCTACAGAAAATAATAAAAATTAGCTGAGCTTGGTGGTGCACGCCTGTAATCCCAGCTACTTGGGAGGCTGAGGCCAGAGAATCGCTTGAACCGAGGAGGTGGAGGTTGCAGTGAGCCAAGATTGCACCACTGCACTCCAGCCTGGGTGACAGAATGAGACTGTGTCTCAAAAAAACAAACAACAACAAACAAACAAACAAACAAAAAATTGTGTTATGAAACTGTTCAGAATCTCAGTTTCCTCATCTATAAAAAAGGAGTCAGTATAGTGTATACTTTATAAGTTTGCATTCCTGTAATACATGCAAAACTGTGATGTTGAGGATGGAACTATTATATCTTGATAAATATCTACATAAATATGCTAAAGATGAAATTCCTGTAACAAATATTTAAAACCAAATAGGAAAAAAAGGCAAGTCCTAATTTAGAAATGGATTTTATTCCAGAAGTTTAAGTCTATTTGGCATTTAGTACATGATTTGCCATAGGCATAGTGTTGCAATAAAACTTAAAATGTAACTGACATGTTGTATCTTTGCAACCCATGGAATAGAAAACAATGCTGCCGTGATGCTAGTAATTAAAACAGAAAGCCAATAGTGAAGACAAAAGTTTTTTGTCTCTGTAGAATGCTGGTACTTGAGGAAAAGCCAGTTTAATTAGGAAGGGATGAGAAAGTAGAAGGTTCCTTTGTGGAGCTTCTGAAATGGACCTCTTGGGATTTTCAAGGGCTTTGGATGTCGACGGCCTTGGTTTTTCATTATGTCTCGCTTCATTATGGCACTCACACTACTTTGACAGTTACATGGCAAGCTTGGGATACATTTTTAGTTCCCATATGGAAGAGAACAAGAGAGAGAAAGAATGAGGGGACACGAGTTTTATGAGGTAACTGAGAAGAGTTGGAAGGAAGAGGGGGAGAAGAAGAGAGGACAGGAGCCAGGAGAGGAATGGAGCTGTGAGTGGGGAAAGGCGGAGGCCGCATGCCAAGTGCACCGCTCCCCACGGCAGAGGGAGAGCCGGCGGCAGCCTGGGGCCTGCTGCAGAGTCCACCACAGGGTCGCCGCCGGCCAGGGGAACTTGTACCACTGAGGGCCATGACAGCTTGTGGTTGAGGCTCTCGGCTCAGGTGCAGTTACCTCTTCCGTGACCTCAATCATGCCCGACGGGGCGGTCATGATCACATAAAGAATGGTTCTTAGGGAAGTGTGAAGGAAAATAGGTTGAGCCTGAGTGTTAGGAACTTTTCTTCTCTTGAATATTGTTAAGGTTTTACATGTTGCTGGAAAGAGAGACAGCGGCTAGGATTTAGAAGTGAGAATCTTTTTGCCTCAAAATATATCATAAAACAAAAGGCAACTTTGAATTCACCAACCTGACCCGGTTAGATAATCGGATATTTTTTAAACTTTTCCTCCTAAGTAAGACAGAGGAACTGAACAAACAGTAGATGAAGTTCTTCTCCTCTGTTGGGGTTTAGAAGAAATAAGCCACTGAGATAGAAACCCCCTCCCCTTCTGAGGTAAAATCCTTGGGCGAGAGGGCTCCTTTCTCTGATGGGCTGGAGGTAGTGGGGCCAATAATAGAAATGTGAGTCTCTGCCGGCTCCAACCAGAGCCTCCACTGCACAGCCCCCAGCATGGCTAAAATGAAAAATTTGCACCAAGTATTGGTGAGGATGTGGAGAATACATTCTTGGTGTGAGTGTAAAATGGAACAACCACTTTGGGAAAAGGCGTAGAAGCTTTTTTTTATATAAAACTAAACATGCACTGAGAATCTAGCAGTTACGTTCTTGGGCAGTAACCGGTAAGTCAAAAAAGAAAAAAAGACCCATGCAAGAATGTTTATAGCAGCTTTATTCATAACGACAAAAACTAGACAGTCCTCACGCCCATCTAGAGAAGAGTGAATAAGCAAATTAAGATATATAATTGAATACTATTCAGCAATAAAAAGTAATAAAATTAAATGTAGGCATTCAACAGCATGGAGGAATCTCACAAACTTACTGAGTTACCTACTGCTTGATTCCATTGGTAAGAAATTCTGCAGTAAGCAAAACTACTCTATAGTGGAGAAAAAAAGCAAAGGAGTGGTGGTGTCAGGAATGGTATTGGTGCTAGGATGTACTTGGTAGGGACATGAGGAAATGTTCTGGGATGATGGGAATATTCTGTATTTTGTTATTCTTTAAAATTTTTTATCTATATATTGATAGGGATGTGAGTTAAATGGATGTATGCATTTGTCAGAAGTTGGTGAATGGCACTGAGCTTTGTACATTTCACTTTAGGTAAATTTTACCTTAAAAAAGTACTGTAAAATATTAAACTCTAGCTAATGAAATGCATGCTGAAATTTTTAGCATTGAAGAGCAACAATGGCTACAATTAAAATGGATTAATGGATGAATAGAGGCACAGATATGTGAGAAAAAATAAAACAATCGAAAACTTAAGGTGGTGGGTATAGGGACCTCCACTGTACTATTATTTCAAATATTCTATATATTTTAAATTTTAGGTATAATATACTGGGGAATACAATCTAGTGTGGTATGAAGTAGATAAGCTGGGTCAAGTTGGTAAAAATAAAATGAGTCTTAGCCATGCATAGGGACTTCTGTGGTTGGCAATACTTTTTTTTTTTTTTAATTAGAGTGATTGAGATGTCACTCTATTTCCCTAGATAAACCTTGGATCAGAAAGATGGGGTACTGGCTGGGCTTGGTGGCTCATGCCTGTAATCCCAGCACTTTGGGGGGCCCAGGTGGGCAGATCACCTGAGGTCAGGAGTTTGAGACCAGCCTGGTCAAAATGGTGAAACCCCATGCCTACTAAAAATACAAAAAATTAGCCAGGCATGGTGGCAGGTGCCTGTAATCCCAGCTACTTAGGAGGCTGAGGCAGGAGAATTGCTGGAACCTGGGAGGTTGAGGTTGCAGTGTGCCAAGATCGCACTACTGCACTCCAGCCTGGGCCACAGAGTGAGATTCCATCTCAAAAAAAAAAAAAATGGGGTACTGAACATCTGAACCTGAGGGTATCTTTTCTAGTGTCCTCCATAAAGCACATCCATCACAAGGGAAAGTATTTGGCTGGGCATTTCTTCTTTTCGAACTTCATTTCTATGTATCTATCTGTCTATCAATCATCTTTTGGTGAAAATGCCCATGTTATAAAGTGTTGTGATTTTTTAAAAAAAATCATGTATGTGGGCTAAGAAGATAAAATAGGCTATTTGAAAATTACTGTAACTAGCCTATAGAACCTATTTATAAACATAAATAAGTACGGTAGCAGCATGAACTTATCTTAGTGCAAATCAAGTAACAACATGCCAAATGTCACACCAGCCATTTTCAAGGTGATGTCTCATTTACTACACGTGGTCAGTGTTCAAAACTATTGTTGCTATTAAGATGGTATAGGGTAGTCTACAAATCTTCTGATGGCAAATGATAACCTCCAGGTCTGTCCCTGGCTAATGGTCCAGATGAAAAAGCAGTGTATAGTGTCTAGCAGACATCTGAAATCCTGATGTGCATTTACAAATGCTTTTGGAAAAGTTAGCAGTAAGAGTTAGAAACATTTGATCATCTTTTGAATTTGGCTTCACGGGAAAGCAATTCAGTAACAACTTTGCAGCTCTATTCTGTTCTTATCCTAGCCCTGCTATCCAACTGCTTCATGGCCTCAACATTTGATTTAACCTCTCTGAATTACATTTTCCTTATTAAATGAGGTTAACAAGCTAGTGTTACAGATATACTGCTATGTTTCAAAAAAGTTAGGTATTGTGTTGACAGGTTCTCTTTCTCCATCTTCAGCTTTGCTATGTCTCCTTCTACAGTGTATTACTGCATTGTGTTTATATGTGTATATGTACAGATATAATGGTCATTGTCAAAAACTATCATTAAGATGTTCCCTCCAGTTAAAAACAAGTTCCCCAGCTTCTCAGCATGTGCATGATTAGCCACACATGATAATTACACCCCAAATGATAATACTTAACAGCAGCAGCATATTAACCTTGTTAGGCACTCACAATAGCAGAGACTAAAGGAAAGAAAAACAAGCAAATCAAGCTCCCTCATGTTTTGTGTGAAGAACAAGTGGGATTCAGAAAATGTGCTCTACAGAGTGCAGGGAAAAAAAGACTCAGTGAAAATGAACATATATGAGACATATGACCTTCTTTTAGAATCCTGGTCCAGTTTTTGTTAAATATAGTGTATTAAGAGCCACTGTCTGCTCAGAGTCATGGCCATTTCATATGAAAATTTAGATGAGGCACTAACTTATTGAGTGCATAGGTGATATTCCTTTTTCTACATCAACTCTAATTCTCATGATGATATCAAAGTTAAAAAATATTAAAAGCAATAGAAAAGAAAAGATAGTTACTATGGTGTATTAGTCTGTTTTTATGCTGCTGATAAAGACGTACCCAAGACTGAGTAATTTATAAAGTAAAAGAGGTTTAGTGGACTCACAGTTCCACGTGGCTAGGGAGGCCTCACAATCATGAAGGAAGGCAAAAGGCATGTCTTACATGGTGGCATACAAGAGAGAACTTGTGCAGGGAACCTCCTCTTTATAAAACCATCAGATCTCATGAGATTTATTCACTATCATGAGAACAGCACGGAAAGACCCACCCCCATGATTCAGTTACCTCCCACCGGGTCCCTCCCACAACATGTGGGAAGTATGGGAGCCACAATTCAAGATGAGATTTGGCTGGGGACACAGTCAAATCATATCACATGGTATGTCAATTATATTGCAATAAAGATGTTAAAAAACCCAGTTACCTATAGAGGAATCACAGTAAGACTGAGGACAGACTTTTTAACAACATTAATGGAAACCAGAGGACAATGGGAAAAGAATATCAAAGTATTGGGAGAAAAATACTCAGCTTAGCATTTTGTTCCCTGAGTGAAGGAAAAATAAAGATATTTTCCACAAAGTTTGACAGAGTTTTTCATTAGGAAAAAGCAACTAAATGATGCAATTCAGAAAGAAAGCAATTGAAATTAGAAGGAAGTAATGGGAAGCAAGAAGGAAGAATGAACAAATAAATTGGTTAACATGTAAGTAAATATAGGCCTGCATGGATTGCCTAAAGCAAAAACAGGAGCGGTAGGAAAAATGACTACTATTGCGGGTACTACCACAAAATGGTAATAAAATTCTAGGCAGAAATTACATAAATATGGGAATGGGATAGTGACTCCAAATGATTTTTGACAAGGCTGCCGAGACCATTCAAAGGGAAAAGGATAGTCTATTCAACCAATGGTGCTAGAAAAAGTGGATCTCAACCTGCAAAAGCATGAAGGTTGGATCCTTACCTAACACCATATATAAAAATGAACTCAAAATGGATGAAAGACCTAAATATAACACCTAAAACTATAAAACTCTTTGAAGAAAACATAGGGCAAAAACTTTATGACCTTGGATTTGGCAGTGATTTCTTGGATATGACAACAAATGCATAGGCAACAAAATTAAAAATAGACAACTGGACTTCATGTAAGTTCAAAAATTTTGTGCATCAAAAGATAATAGAGTAAACAGACCACCCATAGAATGGGAGAAAATATTTGCAAATTATATATCTGATAACAAACTAATATCCAGAATATATAGAGAACTCCTAAAACTCAACAACAAAACAGTGTGAGTTTAAAACTGGATTAAAGACTTGAGTAGACATTCCTCCAAAGTTGATATATAAATGGCCAATAGAAATATGAAAAAATGCTCAAAATCAATCATCAGGAAAATGCAAATCAAAACTACAGTGAGATACCACCTCATACCCATTAGGATGGCTACTATAACACACACACACACACACACACACACACACACACACACACACACACACACACACTAACAAGTGTTAATGAGAATGTGGAGAAATTGGAGCCCTTGTCCATTACTGGTAGGAATGTAAAATGGTACAGCTCCTATGGAAAACAGTATGACAGTTCCTGAAAAGATGAAAAATAGAATCACCATATAACTCAGCAAATCCATTTGTGGGTATGTACTCCAAGGAATTGAAAGCAGGGTCTTGAGAAATTTGTACACCCATGTTCATAGCAACATTATTCACTATAGCTAAAATGTGGAAGCAGCCTAAGTGTCCATTGAGGGATTAATGTATGAGCAAAATGTGGTATATACATATAAGGAATACTATTCAACCTTAAAAAGGAAAAAAATTCTGACATATGCTGCAGTATGGATGAACCTTGAGGACATTATGTTAAATGAAATAAGCCAGTCACAAAAAGACAAACACTGTATGATTCCACTTATAAGAGGTATTTAGAGTAGAAAAAAAAATCATAAAAGCCAGTAGAATGGTGGTTGCCAGGGGGTGAAGGAGAGGGAAATGGGGAGTTATCATTTAATGGATATGGAGTTTCAGTTTTTACAAGATGAAAAGAGTTTTGGAGATGGATGGTGGTGATTTTGTACAACATTATGAATCTAATACCACTGAAATGTACACTTAAATATGTTAAAATGGTAAATTTTGTTGTGTATATTTTAACACAATTTTTTAAAATTGAAAAAAATACACTGGAGAGAGATCAGAGGATATTGCAAAACCAGGTTATGAGTAAGAAATATGACAGCTGGATGTTTAGACTGATGTTGCTTCAAGGAAAAGAAATACTAGTATTAAAATGAAGAGATTAGCAGGCTGTATGTATGTGGGAGCAGGGAGTTTATGGGAAATCTCTGTACCTTCTGCTCAATTTTGTTAAGAAACTAAAACAGTTCTAAAAAATTAAGTCTATTTAAAAAATTAAGAGATTTAAAAATAGAAGAGAGTAGAGATTTTGATTAATTTTAGACATTAAACCAAGTGAACATATTAAAATTTTAATCTTTTAAACCAATAGAGGGAATAAATGAGAATAAAGCAAATGTAACCAATTCAATAGAAAGCAGAGAAAATACTTTTTAAAGTGTAGAAAAATGTGTGATAAATAGAAAGCACAAACCAAACAGTAAATATAAATCAAAATATATCAGTAGTCATAATAAATATAAAGGGACAAAAATTGCTATGTAAAAGATAGATATTAGATTAAGGTCTCTCTCTTTTTCCCAGTCCCTGCCTGCCCCTCTTCCTCACACTGCCTCATACTATAAACACACTACAGTTTATACTGGGTCCACCTAGCTTTATAATATATAAGGAAGGAAGCCATTAATGACCAATGAATTGGGCTTAGCTCAGGAATGCAAGAATGATTTAATATTAGCAAAATCTGCTAGTGTAATTTACCATATTAACTGGCTTACGAGAAAGCCTTATGATAATCTCAGTAGATGCAAATAGAAGCTTTTGATTAAAAAATAAAATTTTTGAAAAAATTACGATTATCTCAATAGATGCAAAAAGTTGCTTTTGGCAAAATGCACTCTTCATTACTGACAAAAATCTTAGCAGATGTGTAATAGAAGATGTATTAATATAGACTAGGCTGTGATGTAATGATTAAACCCTGCTGACTCAGGGGCTTCACACAGCAAAAGCTTATTTCTCCTTTGCATTACAGTCCAAAGTAGTTATGTGACTGTTCTCTAAGCTGTAACTCAGACATACAGGCACTCCCCGTTTACTGAGGTGATGATATTCAAAATGTGACCTCCATTGTTGGCATGGAAAGGGAAGAGACAGCATGGGAGATTTATTGCTTGGGTGGGAGTGGTTGAATATAACCATGATTGAAGGTGACATTTATCACTTCTCATATTCCATTTTTCAGAACTCAGTCACATGGCTCAGATAATTCAATTCTGGTGTAAAGACCACACTGTTAATTTGATATTTGACCTGAATTAAATGTCACATTATTCACCTGAGAAAGTTTACTGGGCCTTTGTGGCTCAAAGCCTTTTAAAATCTCTTTCTTCAGAGATCCGGAATCAATCAACTCTTCCAGCCAGGGCTGAATTTCTGTATTTTCTCTTTTTTCTTGCATACTGGTCAGTTCTTTCCCAAGCTTAACTTTTCCCCTCTTCCCCCTAAATGCAGCCAGTAGTACTGAATACATACTTCTAACATTCCATTTTTCAATTTCTTTTTTTAGAGCAACAAACTCATTAGGCACATGTTCTTTATTCTAAGTTATAGCAGGTGGAAGTGTTACCATCTCATAATATGGATTATGGATCTTCGCTGTTATATCCTCTGATATTAGTTTATTCATTACCTGATACCCAACTTCTAGACCAATCCCCAATCTTATTTTATTTTATTTTTATGATAGCAACGTTCCAGTTCAGGTTAGTAATTACTGTATCAGTCACATATTTTCAGGAAAATAGCAAATATTCTAGGTATGTTTGATCAGAAGTTATTATGGGATTTAAACATTGGAAGACAAGGTAGTAAAGATCAGGAAGACTGTTTTCAGGAAGTTCAGGAGTATAAGGCATTACAGGAGAGATGTCAATAGGCTCTGAACTGTTTGCACACAGGACAGGCGATTTTTTTATAGGGATCTTTGATCAATATGGGCAAAATTTTTCCATTCTCATCTAATGATCACTATGGGCAAAAATTTTCCATTGTCATCTTCTAATGCCTACTCATGCCTGCAACCGGTTCTAGAGTACTGGGGCTCTCTCTCCTTCCACTTTCCTGTCTCTTGCCATAGCTTTCTTTAGTGGAACCTTACTGATAAGAGACTAGGGGAATGTCATTTTAAGGGTTTATATCTTTCACCCAGGAAAGATCTTAGAATGGTGGATATCGTAGTAAATATCAATAACTAATAATGTGGCACAGAAAGAAACTTGCTCAACTTGACAGTGGATATTTTAAGGAAATCTATACCAATTCTTAATCCTCAAATCCCTTTATAGTCAAGAGCAAAATAAGGATTCCCACCAGTAGTTTTGTTTAATATTAGACTGGAAACTTGAGGCAGTTAAGTATAATAAGAAAAATAAATAAACATTTAAAGATTGAAAGGAAGAAATGAAGCTGCCATTCATTATTTGTAGAAAATCTTATTATCAACATTAAAGATAAATGAAAATCTATAAAGTAATATTTCTTATATAAAATCAGTTGTGTTATAATACATCAGCAACAATCAGAAAGTGGAGCTTTAAAATGTTACTATTTATAATAGGAACAAAATATCTACGATACCAAAAAATAATAAAAGATGAATATGAAAATTATAGAAAAACAACAGAACTTTATGAAAGACACAAACAGAAACTATATACACACACACACAAACACACACATATCTATATATACTATGTTCATTAGCAAGAATATTCCATATTGTAAAAACAACAGTTTTTTTTCCACATTATATGTCCAGTACAATACCAAGTAGAATCCCAAGTGTTTCTTAGTATTTTTGTTTTAGTTTGTTTTTTTATCTTGTTTTGTTTTTTACAGAGCTTGGCAAACTCATTCTAAAATTCATATGCAAGAGCCAATTAAACCAAGCAAGAGAGTAGAATAACTAAAATAGCTTTTAAAAAGATGGTAGAGGGATTATCCCTAGCAGATATCAAGACATGTTATAAAATGATTATAATAAATATTGTCAGACTTAGGGAAAGACACTGAAGCTTGGAAACTTGATATTTGACAGACATGGTATTAGAAATTAGTGGGGAGATAATGGATTATTTAATGAATAATCCTTCCCATATACAAAATTTAGATCCCTACCTCACACCACATGCAAAGCTCAATTACAGCTGTATTAAAGATCAAGTGTGAAAAACAAGATCTTAAGATTCAGAAGATAATATGGGAGACTATTGAGTTTGGGTAGGGTTTCTTTTAAAAAGCATCAACTTAAAAGAAGACACCAATAAACCTGACTCCACAAAAATTTAAAACATTTGTACTGCAACTGACTATAAATGAAGCTGAAAGGCAGGTAGAAGGTAGTAGCAATTAATACAACTGGCAAAGATTTTGTGTCTAGAATTTGTAAAGAGCACAGTCATTCACTTCTAGGTATATCCTAGAGAAATTTTTGAATATTGATATAATGCAAAATAGAGAAAAACGTTCACTGAAATCTTTTTAATTTTTGGTAATTATAAGCAATTAAATGTTCATTAACAGAATGAAAAAATGAATTATAATTTATTAATACATTGGAACATTACACACAGAAGATAAAATAAATGAATCACATACATGTATACATAGAGATAATATAAAAAATTAATGGTAAATTAAGTTTTAGAAGGACATACACTACAATGTTAAATTTTCTAATGTGCAAAATTCTATTAAATATATTTTGGACACCTCTATTTACATATTGAAAGTTTAAATACATCTATGGAAATGATAAACTGGAAATGATAAACTCCAAATCCAACATAGTAATTACCTTTGTTGAGAAAAGAAGTTGGACAGGATCCCAAAGAGGGAGACTAAAGGATCTTCAGTTGCAATGTTTTATTTCTTAAAAATCAATAAAAAGGCAGAAACATTAGTAGCACATGTGACAAATTCTAAATATCCTGTCAGTTTGTGTGATTTTTTTATTTTCATATATGTTTAAAATTGTTTATACATATTAATAAATTAAAAGGGAAAGTTAAATGGCCAAATTCCTTTCCCTTACCCTGTATCCCAGAGATTCATAGTTCCTCTGACCCCTAGGCCAAGGCTCAGCTCAGCAATTCGTAGAAAATTATGCTGTAAATGGGTAGGTATTTTGTGGGGGCTGTTTAACTACGGGGTACCATGTTGTTTCTTTGGAAAAATGCCTTCTGAGTTCCAAATGACATACTTTTGTGCCATAATAATTTGGAGATTATGTACTATTATAAATATTTTAGTACAAGTGGCGTCTTCCTTTAGCAAGAAAAAGGGAAGTGACTAGTAAAACAGTTGACAGGGCTGTCAAGGGATTATGACCCATTCAGTGTTTTGCTAATGGTTCTGAGTTACTAAAGATACTATAAAGCTTTCTGAATCACCACCAGAAAAGAAAATATTGCTCAGCATTGTTTTGTAGCCACTATTACCAGTTTCCAAAGATTAAAACACAGCTTATTTAAATGGCATATTTACTTAGCTAGAGTCTTTCTCCATTCAGTCTGACTGGTGTTCATCAGAGTAAGTCACGGAACCCCAAAAGACCCTGGTCATGCTCCCCAACTATTCCACAGAAGCAGAATTTCCTGGGCACAGCCTCTGCTCTGAAAGTTAAGAAGTAGGTGCATTATTACTGTTAATAGATGTTTCCGTTTTGAACTAGAACAATGAACATTTTCCTTCCTTTTGTCTGGTGTCTTCAGACTGGATTGCTTTTAAGATTATTATTATTTCTCTGCGTTATACACATACAATCCAACTTCAGTGATAGTAATTTGGTAGTAAGTGGCCTTTCTCATAATTAGAAAATACTCTTATGGCAGGATAAAGCTTGAAATTGCTCTCTTTGTGAAATGAGCATGCTTTTGTTTGCAAGATTAACTCAATTCCCACTGCTATACCTGGCAGCACAATTGCCCAATCAGTTTGGTGACTGGACTGAACTTTTTCTACAGGAATCATGTAGCTATGCAGCTTCAGAAACACAAATCCACTCCCTCATTGTTGGTTTTCTGACAGCTTTTTCTGTAGAACAGTTTGAAGAGAAGAGAGCCCTGTTTCTGAGACAGAGAAGTGTTTTCACACCTGAAGTGTAATTTCACACCTTGTGTTTCTCAGCAGATAAGTGCATAAAATAACACATCAAACTGAAATAGAAAAAGATCAACATAGAAAGAAAACTGCAGGTTGTAATTTGTTTCCTATCTTACAATGCTTTTGGAGAGAACAGTAAATTACAGAGATCTGCGTTTACGCTTTAAAAAGTTTGACTGGTCGTTAGGTGGGAAAATGAGCAGTAAACACTAATCAGCTTGCTGCCTGCATTGAACAGAATGTACAGAATGATTGAATTTGGGAAACACCCTAACATTTTGAGTTTTAAGGAGAATAATGTGTGCATGTTAGTAGTAAAAGTTGCAGATAAAGGTCAAGACATTTATAAATTGATTTTAATAAAAATGTGATTGAGGAGATAATTATTTTATGATGGTTCCATTCAGGAATTTTAGCAAAAGGAGATCATGTTAGTAAAATTTGAGTGCTTTCTTTCCTTTCTATATTGACGCTAGTCACTGTTTTCTGGCACTCTAGTGGAGGGGTTCTACGATGAGGAGGTTTAGCTTTATTGCACAAGTTTGAAAACTTGAGACTGAAAGAAAAAGTTGAGCTTCCTGACTAGACATGAACATTCATTACAAAATATTTATTGAAGGTCTAGCACATGGTAGTCACGAGCTAAGCATCAGGGGTTCAATGGTTAATAAGGAAATCCCTCTCTTTACCACTGGAAAACTGCATCTTTGCAGACAAATAGGCAGCGATAATACTGGTGATAAGTGCTGAGACAGGCTAAAACTAGGTTTTAGTGGAGACTATAAGAGGGTTATCTGAACTGGTGGGAGTGAGAGAAAAAGGTCAGAAAGGTCAGCAAATATTCCCAGATAAAGTGATATCCAGATTGAACTTAATGAACAAAAGTCATATGAGGCTGAGTATTAGTGGGGATGTCAGAGCATGGGGAACATGTACAGATGAGACAGGGAAAAAGAACAAATTGGGTTGGAGGAGGGGAGGAAGTTCAATGTAGTAGAATGCAGTGTATAATGGCAGCAGTGGTAAGCAATGAGACTAGAAGATAGGGCCAAAGAAGACAGTCTACACCAAGAAATTGAGCTCTCATCTTGAGACTAGTGGGAAGTATTGAAGACTTTGTTTGTGTTTATTAGTGAGAGTGACATGGCCAGATTTGTATTTCACAGAGATTGCTCTGGCAGTCCCCTGACTAGAAGGTCAGTGAGGAAACGTGAGGTAATAAAGGTGAGAAATGCTGGCACCCTGAGCTTGCAGTGTACACAGAGTTCAGAGGCACTGGGGATGGAAAGAAGTGGGTAGATTTGGGAGCTGTTTGAGAGTTAGAATCAACAGAATGTGGCAACTGATTGGGTGGACTGGGAATGAGGAAGTCAGTCTTGTGAAAAATGAGGTCCTGATTTCTGACTTGGATAATTTGGTGAATGATGCTGCTATTCACAGGGATAGGGAACACTGGAACAGCAAATGTTTAGAGTTGGGGGCATATTGAATGTAAGATTAGTGTAAGATTTCAAGAGAAGAAGTGTAGTATTCAGCTGGATCTCGAGTTTGGGAGAGAAGTTGAGGCCAGACCTGTGGACTTGGTAGATGTCATTGAAACTATGGGAGTGGATGAGATGGTCCAAAGGATATGTAGATGCCTGGGCAACATAGGGAGACCCTATTTCTACAAAAAGTTAAAAAATTAGCTGGGCATGATGGTGCATGCCTGTGGTTCCAGCTACTCAGGAGGCTGATGGGGTAGGATCGCTTTGGGCCCAGAAGTCAAGGCTTTAGTGAGCTGTGATCATGCCACTGCACCCCAGCCTGGGCAACGGAGCAAGACCTTGTGTGTCTGTCTGTCTGTCTGTCTGTCTCTCTCTCACTCACACACACATGCACACACACATACACAGACATATGAATATGTAGAGAGTGAGAAAAGAATTCTCCAATTCAGGCATAAAATAGCAATTTGACTATGAAAAAATCATGTAGAGCAAAATGTGTATATTTATCTTGTTACATAAATAAATGTAGATGAAGAACTGTGCCTGCCCACAAGCACCATTGCACGTATGCCTGTGCACGAATGTATACACCCTGTGCATGTAGAAGTACTAATGAACATCAGCAATGTGTGCTGGATAGTGAGCCACATGAAACATTAGGTATTCAAGGTAATAATTCCCTTCCTTAATAATTCATGCAAGATGTGTTGCCCAACAGCAAGAACCAGGCTTAAGGATACTGATCAGTATGTTGAAAGGAGAAATTTGTAGCCCATATAAATGTTACAGCTAGTCTAGCCAAACAGAGAGCACTAATGTTTCTTATCATCCCCACCCCACCCTTTTTTTTTTGTCTTAGATACATATGGAAAACTCTTTCTCCTCAATTCTGTGGGTCAAGAGATGTCCCGTTGCAAGACGTCCATTCGGCGTGGTCAGCCCAATCCTGTCTATAAGGAGACCTTTGTTTTCCAGGTGGCCCTCTTTCAGCTGTCTGATGTCACGTTGATGATTTCCGTTTATAACAGGCGTACTATGAAGCGTAAAGAGATGATTGGCTGGATTGCCCTGGGCCAGAACAGCAGTGGAGAGGAGGAACAAGATCACTGGGAGGAGATGAAGGAAACCAAAGGCCAGCAGATCTGCAGATGGCACACTTTGCTGGAATCCTAGGTTTGCTAACCTGCATTTGTGTGCTGTGTCCACCTTGGTTACCTGTGTTGCTGTCTACTGACACTAAGTGTCCTGGCAAGGGTTTCAGGGTTTCAAAAACAGATTCCACTAACCCCTAGGACATTGTGAGTGGGAGTTTTGGGTTTCTCAATGGTCTGATTTGGATTTAAATATTGTAATTTTAAAAACACACATACACAGTGAAGTGTCCGTATGGAAAATATTATACCACAATTAAGACCACTGATGAGTTAATTTGTGCCAATAGATCATTGAGTTTTAGTTCAGGGTATGGGGTGAAGCTTCTTCTGCTGTCTCTGTTTGCTTGAAGAGTAACCTGAGATTGCAAGGGAGCTGTTAATTGTTACTATTTGCAACCATTTAGGTGGATGAATCAGAATTTTCTTAATATGGTACAAAAAACTCCAAAATATAGATATGAATCAGATGCTGAGCCTCATAAAAGAATCAAACTCTAATCCATAAACTCTTATTTCACATTTTTCTCTTTATCAAAGAAACCTATTTACCTAACGAGTAAATATTATAAACTTGCACTTTTAAAATAAATTTGTATTAATTAAATACCTCTTTTATCTTATATTTTGTGGTTTCTATGAGATTTGGTTAGATGAATCATTTTGAAGCAAGAAAAGAGTTCAGAAACTACTGTTTTAAGACAACTTGTCTCCTTTTGAATATGTAAGATTTCAAACTTGTGACTTTCAAGGTTTTTATGCTGTCTTTCTCACCCAATAAGTTCTTACAGAATAAGAAAACAAAAAACAAGACTACTGCAGTCATAGATTTATTGATTTTTTCTGCTTCTGGTGTTCTTTTGGATTATCCTTTTTCTATGTTCAATTATATATACTCATATATGAATATTTTGAATGTACTGCATGTAAACCATGCTCTTTTTAAACTGAGTATTTTCCATCACTAGAGCATAGTAAATTGTACACAGTGAGTCCTTAATAAATATTGATTTGATTGACTCTTCAAAGTGAACATGTTATAACACCTGTGAATGGAGAAATATTTTCAGCTTGTGTGGAATGACATTAAGTTTTTCTTTGAGCATTTGAAGTGCCTATAACTGTCATTTTTTTATGGCATTTGCAGCAACATATATTAGTCACTACTTGCAATCTGGGCATGTGCCATTCAGAATACTGATCTTGTATGGTTATGAGCATGGGATTTTACTTATGACTTAATTTTACATATTTATGCAGTGCATGTTTACTTTCCTTATTCATAGGTCTGGGCCCTTAATTTCAATTACTTTAAATTGGCATTAATAAAAAAATAGGGAAAGAATGTATGTACATTTAATCCCTGCGCTCAATGTGCAGCTCTTCTGAGCAATTGCTCAGTCACCTATTTTTAGTTTCTATGTTTCATTGTGGACTTTTTCCTGTCTGTGGGAAGAGTGATAGCTAGTGATGGCTGTATACAGTTAAAAACACATAACTCCTCCTCAGCTCCACGTTTTGACAGATTGTAAGCGTAGGCTGTAACACTTGAAGAACATATTTATTCCTTACAGTGTGTAATGGTTATCCTGACAAGACCAGACTAGGGCACAGGATAACTCTACTATGCTTTCAGGGTTCAGTCTTTGAATGAAATGATTTCATATGGAAGAATGAGAATTTGCCAAATAAATTAATACCTTAATTACTTTTCAGGTCATGGGAGTTTCATATATATGGCTGCTCAGTTATTAGGAATATGTAATAAAACCATGTTCCTCTGGGTTTTTACCCTACCTTTCTTTGGGAGATCTCAGAGTGCTTTTCCAGCATTATATCCATTAACTGCTGAGTGGTCTTTGCAGCGTGGCTAAGTCATTGAGTAGAACTGAGTGCGATTGATTAAGTAGCAGCACAAAGAAGTGGCTTTTCACATCTCTTACTCTTTATGCCTTGTGTTTAAAGGGAAGTAGAACAGCCTCGCTATGCTTTCCTTTATGCAGTAACATAATAGCAGCATTCATTTTAAAATTTACATTTGAAAAAAATCTGTATATATTGTACAGACAGCCCTGAATTTTTCCCTCTCATATTTTCCTGCTGCTGCATCCTTGTTTCTTGGTACCCAATAATCACCTATACTTCATTTTCTGTTCCCAAGACCCACCCATTTTTAAGGTTTTCGGCTGGTGTAGTGAAGATATTTGTGTGCTTGATCTGCCTTCCAATGGTCTGTTTATGATACAGTTTACAGGAATGCGCACCATTTTAAGGGAAGGAATGCCTGAAAACATTTTTTATTTTTATAATTTTACTATGTTGGTGCTACTCACCAAATAGGATGCATGTACATCTTGAATATACAGCAACATTCACCCTCAGCTGATTGTATACATTTAAGTGCTGAAGACAAGATATATAACAATATGTGGCTGATTTTTTTTACCTTTATTTGAAATTCTAGTTTAGTAAGATCTTTTGATTTTGTGCACTTAAACTCCCTTATTTTCTTGGCAAAGTCTAGACACAAATGCATTTAACATGTTTTTCACTTGAGCTTTTACATTTGGTTTTCAAAAGAGTTATGAAAGATAATTAGTTGGTTCTGCAGTAAAAAACTGCTTTTGCCTATTTCTTCCAGCTAATGATTAATATCTCATAGGGAGATTTGACATTGAAGCAGCACTGGTTTTTGTTGCTTGAGTAGGTCTTTCAGCGATTTTGCCTGAAGAGCATGCTTTTAAAATAATATCGTTAAGAGTAAATGATGCGCTGGGTTTATGGAAATCTGCTTTATAGTGTGCCTTCTTTTAGGGTGTGAGTTTACACTGAATTGAGAAATCCTGATTTCACCAATTACGGTGGTGGCTGTTGTACTCTCTACTCCCCTCTGACTATTGTTGAATTTTTAAATGGACCATTCACCAGGCAGCCGAACACCTGCTCTCCGTTCCCTCTCCTTCACTGGCTCCCAGTGTGATGCACAGTTGTTTTGGACTCTGTTTTTGCTGATGCTGCATAACTGTTGGAGGTGGGGGTGTCTTGCCTTCCCTAACATAAGAAGAATTTGTAATGTCTTTGGATGTGGCATTCCACCTGCATGAAATCAGGAAAAGAATCATCACCATGTTTGTGAGAGGGAAAAGAGTATGGCATTGCATAGTCATTCGCTTTAGGCACTATTAATTCTGACATCCTTCATTGAAAATTAACTGACATCAAATGTCAATATTCTCCATAGTCCTAGGTGCCAGTGAGCCTGAAACACAGCTTCTGCCTTTTCAATGTGTAGATTTCATGATATTTTACAAATTATTGTTACCTCTTGTGCAGTTACTGTGCTTTAGATGACCTTATCTGAGAACCAAAATTCTTTTCTTTCCAGATGAAGTACTATTTAAGTAGAAACTAGCATTAGGTTAAATCAAAGTGCTTCTCTGATAGCCACCAATTTGATTTAATTGATGATTCGGTGTGGACACCACTGTGGGTTTCCAAAAAAACTGGTTATCCTTTTGCAGCAGAGGACTTAGTATTTTAAAAACAGAAAAGTAAGTAGGAAAGTATTATTTGTAAATGTCATAAAACCAGATGGAGGCATATTCTTTACTGATAAAGAAACAGGACTAGAACACGCATGTGGTATCTCCTTTTACTTTTGAGGAAACTGTGGTTAAAGAACATTCTATTCTATTTGATCTAAGAGCAAAGCAAATGATGGATAATCCTGAAATGGTAAAAGTATTTTTGTCTTAAAAATTATTCATTTGGGCAAAGTCATTTACAACAAAATAAAAAGTCATACAGCACACCTATGGAAGAATTAAAGAATACATAAATGTGCTGGATACATTTAGCATCCTCCAGTGAGTTGTATGTAAGGAGAGTAAACTAATAAACCAAAATACATATCAGATCAACTAGCTATCACTTTTCTAAAACTTGTAGAATTCTGAAAAATATTTAAAGATGGGAGAAACGAAACTGTGCTAAGACAATGAGATTGGCATAGCACAGTGAAGTTGGCACAAACTGTGATCCTGGCCTGGGTTTACATGAAACTCTGCTGTGTGGCCTTAAGAAAATTACTTAGCCAGCCTGTATCCTGGTTTCTTCAACTGGAAAATGGAAATAATACCTACCTCATTAGGTGTCTTAAAAGATATCAGTGAAATCACAGATGTAATGTGCCTAGCATAGAGCCGGGCATGTAGTTAGCATTCCGTAGTTCCTCCTTACAGTCATGCCTGAAAAAGAAAATATTTAAGATGTGTCTTCTTTTTCTAGCAAATGTTATTATAACACTAGAGAAAAACAAAAACCAACGTTCAGATACTGTAACAAGGATAGGCTCATGAAGCCAGGCTGGATTCGTAAATAAAGGAGGCTTCATCAGGACAGCCTAATCAGAGATAAGCCTGGTATGTGGAGGAAATTGAGCCTTAATAGAGTCCAACTGTGGTAGAACCAAGTCTTTGCATTTATCCCCTTAGTTTGGAGGGAGTACAAATCCTTGATGGTTTGTGTGTACCTCTTGATCGATCACAAACAAGGCCTCTCCTTGTCTCCAGTTCTCTTATTCATAAATGGACAAGGCATCTTGTCGCCTTTATCAAAAGAGTTGGTGACAATGGCAGTTTGACTACATATTTCAACTGTGATCCAAAAAAGTAAAATAAATGATGTGATACTATACTGAGACTGTTTTAAAAATGGATAACACTTTCTTTAAAACCTGCATTATATATCCATTTTATATCCTGATAGCCAAACATTTTAAAATACTCTAATAACACAGCTCTCAAAACGTATCTGTTTGACTGGAATGTCCTGCTCAGAACAAATTATCACTGTTTCCCTTATGAGATCCTAATGAAAGAAATTCAGTTGATACTACTTTTTAAAATGGGTTTTAAGAGTGGCTTGTTGATATAATAGCGCATCCACTTGTTCTCAAGTGATTCAAACCTTGAGTAAAAAGGAGAGTTTCTGGAGAATTTAGAAGAATCTTTGTTGACATTTAATCTAGAGAAGTCTTCAGGAGCAAACCACTTCAAGTTCAGTGTAACCAGGTGCCATGAGTCAGTCATGTGCTACTTGTGGTTTTAAACGAAACATGATTCTGGGATGAGAAGTGCGAGGCTACACTCCTAATATAATCAAATTGCCAAAGCACTGTTTTGAGTCCTCGGTATCCCAATTAAGGAGAAACATGAAGACATTGGAGAATCACTTAGCTTAGGGCTTTTAGTAGGGAATAATTAAACATGTAGGGAAGGTGAAGGAGTTAGATGGGAGGTAAGAAGGCTGAGGAGATTTCTAGTAACAATGATCCAAAAGTTCTAACCAGGGGGATGGTGCACACTTTCTCTTCTTGACCACATGGATAGATTTCAGAGCATCCCTCTAAATCAAGTCTGGAGAATTATGTGAAGGTTGTTTCTCATTAATTCAAAATGTATTCATTGTCTAGTACTATGCTATCTGGGCTGGCACAGAACTTAAAATCTCTTTGGAGTGCTATGAGTGCACATTGAAGCAGTTGGTCATCATTATACAATGATGCTTACCAATATACAACTGTTAAGTTAGTCTAACTATGTGCCATAAACAGTAGAGTTCCTTGTTACTAGTATTGGAAGGTGAAACATTGGCTGAATTTATTGGGGCAAGTGTCTAGGAAGCCTTGGACTGGCAGTGAGTCTTGGTTGCATTATATGGGAAATTGGTGGGGATGGGGGTGTCATAGAATCATCATCTTTGGAAGTTTTTTAAAATAGAAAAATGTACTTGAAGTCTTGGTTCTGCTAAAGAAGAATGAGAGGACACCCATGAATATACCCTTTATAAAGTTCCTTCTAATATTTAGGTGTAACGTTAAAAAAGAATCAACAATAACACTCCAGGCCTGTCTTCTTCCACTTTGGACATTTTTTCCACATTGATTTTTCTCTGCATCATAGAAAGTTTTCTCTGAAGAGTTCCTATTTGGGTTTTGTTTAGGGCTTTGGGGATGCCTGCAGGCTCAGGGGGAGTTTCCTCTCCTATGGTGCTTTGACTGTTTTTGTTTCCCTTGGGTCACAAAACCATATCCTAGACACACAGACAATAATCACCTTATTTATATCCACTGTGGAACCTGTGAAACAGCTCGAGGCTTTACAGAACAAGCTCATAGGCAGTCATGGAGATCTGAGGCCTTTCTTGGAATGAAGCCGCTAACTTGCTAACTGCTTTCCATTGCTCACTAATGCTGCCTTAAGGTTTCTTCATGGGAATTTTTACTTCATGCCTTTGAGTGACAGTGTTACCAGTTTTACCTTGAGGATGATGAGAAGGCTGACTTCCTATTGTATTGCCATATTTATGCATTATTTTTGTTTACGTCATTTCCCCCTTGAAGTATCTAGTTGCTGGGGTTTTGTTTGTTTTATACAAAATTTATTCATTCAAAAAGATCTTTATAGGTTGGGCATGGTGGCTCACACCTGTAATCCCAGAACTTTGGGAGGCCGAGGTGGGAGAACAGCTTGCGTCCAGGATTTCTAGTCCAGCCTGGGCAACATAGTGAGATCTTGTCTCTACAAAATACCAAACATTCGCTGGGTATGGTGGTGTGCGCCTATAGTCCCAGCTCCTCAGGAAGCTGAGGTGGGAGGATTGCTTGAACCTGTGAGGTCAAGGCTGCAGTGAGCCGGGATCATGCCACTGCATTCAGCCTGGGTAGCAGAGTGAGACTCTGTCTCAAAAAAACCAAAAAACAAGACCTTTTTAAGTGTAAATGTTCCAGACTCAGGGTTAGGGGTTGGAGAATGGCAGATGGATAAAATAGTTTAAGTTCAACAATATTTTTTTGTTGTTTCTAAATATTCTTTTTAAAAACTAGAGTCTGATAAGAAATCTAGGTAAATAATAAGATCTTTTATTAACCTTGAATTTTTGGCTTAATGTATTTCTGTAATTGTCTCTTTCCCCCTTTGAAAGGCAGAAGATTTAGGGAAGGTGAAAGTTATTACCCTGTATCTAATTAAGAAATAGGTACACTTGTTTGTCAGTCTATGCTTTCATTCAAAATAAATGGATATGTTTTGTATCTGGGGGAGGAAATGCATCATTCCATTCCAGCAGTGAAAAGAATTATAGCATCAAATAGGATATTTAGTATTCTTGACTTTTATAATTAAATACTGAATGCCCTTTGCAAGACAGTAAGTTAGATCCTGGAATGCTAGGTCTGTACAAACTTGACACATTTCTTACAAGCTCTGTGTTTTAATAGTCAAAGGCATTGCTACCCTTTGCTTTTTGAAAGAGTGAACTGGTAACAGTAGCCGCCAGAGAAAGAGGTGACAATCTAAACAAAGAGCCCTGCTTACCTTTCTGTGACTAAAACTAGTCTTAAAAACTGAATACATTTGGGGCATCCTTATGAAATAGGTAAAGGTCAACATTGGGAGTGTCCCTACCTTGGCAGATAGACCAATACTTTTTTCCTAGACTCAACCCATTTTTAAAGCAGGAGTTTTTCCAATGGATTTATTGTTTATAATTCTACTAAACATGTCTTAGTCCACGCAAATTAACTCAAAATCTTTGGTGGCCTGAAAATTCTGACTGAAAGCAAGTTTTTCGTGTTGCCCAGTTGATAGTCCATAATAAAAAATGTACATATCTTGTTTAAAAAAGACCTTGATGTTTGAGAAGAAATATCGGAAGTCTGCCAGTAAAAACTCTGATTAAGTGAGGAACATGTACATTAAAAGATATTTTCATGTAAGTTATTTTAAGATAGTTGCATTCTAGGACCATGTTTCTTTTTTGAGAGTGTTTCTTTGTCAAGTTCCTTATAGCCAATGCCTTGACCAAAGCTTACTAATTTTGCCACATTTCCTTGTGGGTTATGATAATCTTTATTAATTCACAACTCTACCAAATTATAATACAGTCTTTTATTATGCCACCATATGAATGCAGCTGCAAATTCAATTTTGTGAAATACAAAGTCCTTTCCAGAATTTTAAAACTTAATTTCAGTATAGATTTTAAGTTTGTGAATAAGAAATTAGTATTTGTATACCTTATTATGACAGAGGTTTCTGTTACAATATTTTCTCTTATAGTGTTGGGATAGGATTTGACCTGTATTTTCAGGTTAAAGCTGGTCTTTGAGATCTACTTTTTAAGAAATTAATAAATTTTATTTTTTAGAGTTTTAGGTTCACAGCAAAATTGATCCTAAAATATAGAGTTCTCATATACTCCAAACACAACCTTCTTCCCCGTGAACATTTTGAACACCACAGTGCTATATTTGTTACAACTGATGAACCTTCATTGACATAACATTATCACCCAAAGTGCATAGTTCATATTAAGGTTCACTCTTGGTGTTGTGTATTTTATGGGTTTTGACCAATGCACAATGACGTGTGTCCACTATTGTAGTATCATACAGAAGATTTTCACTGCCCTAAAAATCCTCTGTGCTCTGCCTATTCATTCCTCCCTCCCACCTAAGCCCTGGCATCCACTGGTCCTTGTACTGTCCCCAGAGTTTTGCCTTTTCCAGAATGTCATACAGTATGTAGCCTTTTCAGATTGGCTTTTTTTTTTTTCACTTAGGGATAGTCATGTAAGTTTTCATGTCTTTTTATGGCTTGATAGTTCATTTATTTTAAGTGCTGAATAATATTTCATTGTCTGGTTGTATCACCATTTATGACCTATTTGCTCTTATTTCTAGTTCCAGTTGCTATGGCAAATTTTATTAAAGTGCGTGCTCTCAGGAAAAGCTGCATATATTTTATATGATCCATCAAATAAAATGTAGCAACTTCCAGTCTAGAATAAATTTCACCTATATGATATTGAGCTTGTTTTACATTGGGGGAGGAGATTTATGAAAAAATATAATAATTTCATAATTTATATTACCCTATCTATGAGTTTTTCCCTCCATTGGAATCTAAACAGAAAGTTCTGAAGGTTATGAAGACGTGATCCCAAATTTAGTGACTCTGTAGTGTCTTTTGTTGAGCAATGAGTTAAATACCTGTCGATAAAAAGTGTTAATTATGTTATTACTGATTCATGATAGAAAATCACCTTCTGTCGCTAGTTTATATGACTTTACATTTACCACTCCTGCCAAGAGAAAGGAAGCTTTGTGATTGTGCCCCGTCATAGTTAATTGTACAAATCAATTAAAAATGGTATGTAAGCATCTGGCTCACACAGCAGCTCTGAATTCTGAATGAAAAGATAACCCATGCTAATGTATATGTTGCATGAACAAGTAGATGGGTGTTGGAAAGAAAACACTGATAGTCACTCTGGGTGAAGGGGGAGGCCTGGCCAATGATTTGTATCTGAGAAACATTTTGAGATTATTTATATGTCTTCTGACTGCCCTTTGCTTTGTAGCTACAGCAACTTGCAGAACCTGGCATTATTGCAGAGATGAAGGTATAGTTGTATAAAGAATATTGGATTAAAGTTGATGAGGCCTGTGTTCTGATATCAAATCTTCCACTAATGAGCTCTAAAATGAATATCAAGTCACAATTTTTTCAAGCCTTCATTGTTGCATCTATCAGATGGGAATAGTAATACTCATTTTACCTATTTTTACCAGGTGGTTGTAGGAACAGGATTCATTCATTCCTTCATTAATATAATGAACACTTTGAGACCCCACTATATAACAGGGCCATACATATGACAAGGTGATAGATGGAAAGACGTTTTGCAGAATTTTTGAAGACTTGCAATGTTTTTGAAGACTACAGGATAGTTTGTGATTTTTATATTAAGGTCGTATCAACTCTTTATGTCAATATATCAAAGTAATTGACACTTTTAGAGCTCTGCCAATCAGTGGGCCATATTCATAGAATGTCAGTAATCTGTCTGAATACAAGTTATAGTTGGTCTTTAGCTGTTCTGTCTCTGAGGAGCTAGAAATAAAATATTAGGTTCTAATTTTTTTTTGTTCAAACACTGATCATGTAACAAACTGCAAATCCATGTTTTCAGCAGGTTCGCCAACCTTTGAGTTGAATGCAGACCTTTCTTTAGAACAACCTAACTTTGAGTACAGGCAAAGTATTAAATGGAATAGCTTTTCCTCCCCTACAAAGTGGATTTGAATACAGTCCTTAGAAAAATTCTTCCCCTGCCAAAAAAGGTCCTTCAATCTCCTTTATTATTTTTCTTTTGAAGAATCAAACTTGTCCATCTCTCCCCTCCCAAGTGACTTTCCTCACTCATGTAATCATTTTCTTCATAAATGCCCTTTTACTATCCCACAGAAAAAGTAAAGATTTAAAAAATCATTTTTAAGGTACATCCAAGATTTCATAGCAATATTTTATTTGTGTTCACAGTGCAAGATAAATCTGACTTTCTCAATATTTTTGGTCTTCATATGGCATCTGAAACAGTTGTTCACATTCACACATTTATGTTTCACCATATGCATACTGTGTACAGCTCTGTTGTTCTAAAATATTTTATTGGTTTTCCTTTATATCTCAACTTTTGATGGGTGTCCTTGAAGAACTTTCATGAAAAAAATGTAAATGTGAATGATTCATTCATTTTGAACATATGTAACTATTTTAGGAGATTTTCAGGAGATTTTACCCTACATGGAGTACACTGTTCTTAGCAGGGAATGTGCTTTATATTACTATTCTACTCACAGCTGGATGCTGCAGATGTATTAACATTGTAAACATGTACTTTTTCTATTCTATGCTTACTTTAATACATTATTTATATGTGCTAGACTGTGCTGAGTTTTGGTGGTTGTCAAAGGCAGTCAGTAATTTTATAAATTTCACTTTTGTGGATAGTTAAGTATAACATGGTTTAGTATAAAATCTGGTCTTCCTCTAGATTTCTAAGTCACTAGAAGAATTTCTTGGCAAATTGATTGTTCAAGGCCAGTTTTGTTAGTTGTAAGGTGGAAGCCACCCCAATCCTCTCCCAGTGTTTCATAGGCATTTTCAGACCTGGATGCTATTATAGTTCCTCCTCTAGTTTTCCAGTAGAGAATTCGTATGTGGTCCAGAGGTTCAAGAGAGAGAGAGAAAAAATTTCTCCTCAAAAGAATTGAACCCTTACTTTAGAAACTTCTGACAATCTTCAGAACATTCCATGTGGGTGTCCTTGTGTTTCTCATAGTATGACTTATTGATTCATGGTGTCTCTTATTAAAGAAGCATGAATGTATCACTAGCTGTTACCAGAACAAACAGCTGTAGAATGTAATGACCCATCCTATTTCTAAATTTACTTCTATCAGTGGATAATTTGTGTATAGGAAAAGGTGTGGAAATTTTTTAATTGTTAAAAACTGGAATACCTTTCTACCTTTTGTAGTCTTTAAGATTTCATAATGATGGTTTTAATGTATTACTATCTTACTATTATGTATTGTGTTTAAACAAGACCAATCAGTGAAATATTGAATGTCAATACTTTTTGTTAGAAATGCCCTCTGAAAATGTTAGAAAATGTAAAACTTTACCTGTGACAAGGAATAAATTCATGATTAGAAGAATTATACTGTTTTTCTTGTGCAAATAATACTTAAGGCAGATGTTCAGTCTCACAGTGATGTTGGAAAGCATATTTTATGCAGTCTAAACACTATTTCTGTATTAGATATTTAAATGCATGAGGATAAATTCTAATTGCTTTTTGTTTAAAACAGAAACATAGAAGAAGCATTAGCCCCAGTTTGTATAAAATGTCTGCTGCAACTGAATTCATGATAGTTCATGAAAACTGAAAATCATTCCAATTTTGTAAAACTGCTGCTACTGGTTTTATCAATAAAGTTTTAGCAGATGGCTTATATGTACATGTGTGAAAATTTTTTATGTTAAAAAAAGATACAGTTTTGCAGCATCAACATGCAAATTTTATGGGCCTGAATGATACTGCTTATTTTAGTATATACAAAAACCATTAACTTCAAAACCATACCAACTGCAGACATATATTTTAGAACTATAAGCATTACATGTATGATCCATACAGTTTATTTGGTTTCAGGGTGCTGTAGGCTTTTATGGTGAACACATATACAAATCAACATATACCAGTTCAAATGCTGACTTGAAGAACATCAGGTAAGGAGCTATATAAATGTAAGGATCACCTGAATTAATTAAATTGCATCTAAAGGGGATTCTGAGAAGGCAAACTGCAAAGTGTAGGTGTTCATGTACAAAAGTGTATGTAATTCCTCATTAGAGAAGCTCTTGTCCAGAACACTTTCCCCTCTATGAATACCCAGTTCTCAAAAGTTAACAAGGCTCAGATGCAACAAGCTAGAAGTAGAGGGAGCTGAGTTATTATATTCGGACACCTACATAGCACTCAAAACATGGCTGACTTCCCCCAAACAGAAAAGCATAGAGAAATACAATTCTATAGATGTTTCAGTGACAATTTTTAACAATTTTACAATTCTGTATTAGTTGAGGTAATGTTACCTGTTGTAATAACCCAAAATGTCAGTTGACTCACATAAGAAAGGTTTATTTCTCCCTCATCTGGGATGTTTTTGGCCATTCAGTTTTCTTTCTAGCAGTATCTCAGGGATTGAGGCTCCTTTTGTGATTTGGCCTTTCAGAGTCCTTATGGACTTTGAAGGAATGTATTGCCATGCAAATGGAGGAAGAAAAGCCATGAGGGTCAAATGATGTGTTTTAGGGGACAGGCTTAGAGGTGCTGCTCTTCACTTCTGCCCAAACTCCGTTGGCCAGAACTAGTCCAATGGGTCCACCTATATTTAAGAAGGCTGGGAATTGTAGTTTATTTATATGCCCGAGAAAATGAAACAGTATTGGTAAGACTCTTGTTAAGTCAGTTAAGTTATGGCATACTTACATTTTTAAAAAAATTATTTGAAATGTTGTGGTACTGGTGACTATTTATGAAAAGCTTATTGGTTGCTTAAGTTCTTTCTAACCCATGACAGCACTAGAACACTATGGGCTGATTAAGGGTTCTACTTGTACTTTTACATCCATAGTCACCTTAGACTTAGACCATTTCAACACTTGAAGGAGCATTGTTGCAAATAAAGACTATTTGAGTTCACATTTCCAAAGCCACAGGGCAAAGAGTTTTGAGCTAGTAGGCTGAGCAAGATTGACCATTTCTACATGTGTATGTGCACTAGTAGGTACATACATATATGGCATACTGAAAACATTAAAGCAAATATATGAGCAAAAGAAGAATAATGCAGAAGAAACATTTTTCCATATATGAATCTTAGAGTATGTCATCTGGAGAGCTTAAACTTGGCAAATGATTGCTATCTTGTGGCATTGCTTCAACACAGGCTTACCCATGCTGAAATGTTAAAATAATTGAGACAGCCATCTATGACTCTGGTTCTTTGGTTCTTTTTTTTTTTTTTGTCTTTTGTAGTAATTAAAAAATTGTGCTGTGTAGCATTTTATTGATAAGTCAAATAAGTCAAATCACATTATATGTATTGTAAGCTTCATAGTCTCCTTACAGTTTCTCTGGGGTTGCTCCAGAAAGATTCAGAAATATGGCTCAAGGGGAAGCTTGGGTGACATTTCACAGTGCTGATAAATTTTAATGTGCATTCCACTACATAATAAAACATCTGATTCTTTTCAGTAAACAGATAAGAAGTAGGAGACAGGATTGGCATTATATCTATGGTCATGTCGAGGAGGGACAAGATTGAGTGGTGAGAAGATTAGAATTTGGATAGATTCTAAGGTAGGTAGTATGGAATTTTAATATGTATTTTAAAATCCAAAATTGTTTAGTGAAAGATTCTAATCTTACAAGGAGAATTGCAGAATTTATCCAATTATATATGCAGACATAAATAACACAGTCGAGATTAAAATCATACCTGTTTTCTAATTCCAGTTATGCCATCAAGGAATCCTGTGATCTTGGATTACCTTGACCTTTCTTTCGTGTCTTCCAACATCTGTTATATCTTGAGGTAGTCCCAGAGGAGGAGGGGACTTGGCAATTATTTGTTGATTTAAACTGACAATAGTAAAGATTTCCTAGTCCATTCAGATAAAGTATAACACTAGACATACCATCCATACTGGTCAAATTACCTAGCTGCTCCCAAATACATTTTTTTCTCCATAAGATATAGCGTGTTGTTATGGAGGCTGCTTTTACCTGAGGTAGAGGAGTATTTTAAGGAAAAATGAAACCGTTCATCTCGGAGGTCTCACAACCACTTTAGAGGGTGTGGAAAGACAAGAATTAGGAAAATATATAAATGACTTTAGGTGAGTATTTCCCAATGCTATTAAAATGCAGGTAGTGACCTTTATAAGATGTTTTGAAAAGGAAAAAAAAAAGTCACTTTATAAACACAATGTCTCATTAAGGGAAGAAAACTATTTTCTGTATAACAGGCTTTCCCCCAGCTCCCTTCTTCTGCTTGAGTAACTGTAAAGACAGCAACTAGTGGCTGCCTTCAAGGTTAGTGTAAGTTCATGAACTGATAGCTACGTAGCTAAGGTGAAAACAGGGACCTCAAACCAGGCAGGGTGGATTCATCTATTCCCAGGCGTTCTTGGTTACCTTTGATGTACCAGGCACTGTGTGCTAGACAGTTGGGACACAGTGTTAACCAGGTGAACTAGCTTAAAATCTGGTGTAATGAATATTGTGAAATAGGATTGGTAGGGTGAATTGGGAACATAATTAGGGGGCTAATGTAGTCGGTGGGAGGCTGTCAGGGGAAGCTGCTATGAGGAAGTGGTATTTAAGCTGAGACGTGAAAGCTGAGTAGGAGTAAGCCAGGTAAAAGGGAGGCACATTAAGAAAGAAGAAACAGCATGTACAAAATACCTTAGGCAAGTGAGACCCTTCCCTATTCAAGGAAACTGAAAAAAGTCCAGCGTGACTGGACCTTAAAGAGCAAGGAGGAGAGTGTTTTGAGATGAGCTGGACAAGAAGACAAGGCTCATTGAGATATCAGCTGCATCTTGCCCTTATTCCAACGAAGAAGGAAGCAGCAGTGGTGTACTTCTGGCTAGGACCATCTCCTGGATGTGAAGTGTACCCGTCTCAAAGCCCCCTGTCATACCCGATAGCTGAAACTTTATCATCAGATCTTCAACCCACTGTGGCTTATTATTACTTCTTCAGACAGTTCGATTTTAGGTTACCAGCTTTTTAAATCTTAGGGCTAACAAACTGTTAGCTTTGCCACAGGCTTTCAGTAGGTGCTGAGAGAGCAAGCAGGGGGCCCTGAGAGTGGTGGGGCCGCTGGTGTAGCCCCTTCAGCCTCACAGAGTGCCAGCCACCAGAGGAATCAACATAACACTGCACAGCAGCCCTGCCCTGGCTCCAAAGACAGCAACTTTTCTTTCTAATTGATTCCCAGTCGTGTTCTCTTCCTTCCAGGCCCTGGCATGACTCTACAGGGAACCAGGGAAGTGATGTGTCTCTTCTTCAGTGCGATTCTCTCTCCGAAGATAGCTTTGGGTAACATTTCTCTAGTAGATTTTTCATCTTCCCTTCTTTAATTTGGCTTACTGGCTACCCAAATTGCCCACTTTGATGTTCTAATCATCCCCCATCCCCAAGAAAACAGCCCTATTTAACAACAACAACAAAAGCAATGTAAAACATGAAAACATAGCTTGAGATATGAGAAATTATGCAATCATTTGGGGAAATGTATACTAATGTGTACATGTACACTAAAGTGTACTAAAGTGCTAAATCATGCACACCTCTAGTCTCCTTTGTGAAAAATACCTTTGCTTTTGTGCATTTTCATGTTAAAGAAGTTTACATGTTGGCCTGAGGTTTTAAGTAGCTGTTGGACCAAAATGAGGACTTTCTAATTGTGTGAAGGACGTGTTTTAGAGCACAAGAACTTTTTTTTTTTTTTTTTTTTTTTTTTAAATCTGAGGCCCCCTGCCAGTAGGCAGCCACAGACAACGCCAAAAGGAATTAGACTCTGGGCTGATTTTTATGGATTAGTTAACATATCCCTCCTCAGAATCTATCAAGTGCTCAAACCTGCAGACACAAACACGAACACACTAGGGAGGAGAGTCCCAGAAGGCGGAAGATCCCGTACTGCTCATCCCCAAACGCCTCACCCCGGGTCACACCCACGAACTCATCCGGTTCTCCCTTCTCAGGGTCCTACTCCAAGGCGAAGAGTATCCCAGAGGAAGGGTCAGGGTCTTAAAAAAAAAACAAAAAAAAAAAACACTGAGCCAAACCCCGCTGCTTCCTCAGCCGCTGAAAGTGCCGCCCCACCCCTCTCCCCAAACCCGACCTCCGTAGGGGACACCGAGCCAAGGCCTGCAGCGAGTGACCTGCCCGGGGAGGCGCGGGACCGAGGCTCACCTACCCGGGCCCGCGAGTCTCGCCCAGCCCCAGCCTCCCAACCCACTCTGCCGGCCCCAACTTAGGCGAGCGCAGTCGGGACCCTTCTGTCGGGGCTCTTTGTTCGCCGCCCCTCGGCGTTCCAGCTCTCAACCTTGCTCCCAGCAGCCCCCGCCGGCGCACTCGACCTACAGGAAAGTTGCTCCCGAGCTGTGGAGGGGCGTCATCGCCTCCTAGCAACGCTCCTAGCAACCGGGTAACATCTGCTCCCTGTGGTCCAATGCGAGCTGAGAACAGCTGCGCGCCCGCCTAGCGCTGCGAACCCGGAGTGAGAGGCGCTTCAGAGACTGGAGGGACGGACCTGCAGGAGCCAGGGCTGCCCGCCGAGCTGCAGTTGCCGCTACTGCCGCTGTCAGCGCCCGACTGAAGAGTGACAGCCGCAAAAGCAGGAGTGAGCACCGAACCCCGCGCTTCTACCTAACAGGTGCATGCGCCGATCTGGTGAGTGGACCCAGCTCACAAGGTATGTCTGGATTCATCCAGCCAGGTGCCTTCCTCCGAGCTCAGAAGGGACTCCTTTCCTTGAGGGGGAGGATAGGGACGTGTTCCGGGATCCCACCCCGCCCCCAACCACTGAAGAGTAGCCAGCTGCTGGTCCCAAATGACCTGATTCGATTTTTTAAATGTAAACCTTAGGATTGGTTCTTGGGTGAAGAGTCCGCTGCTCTTCGCTATTAGGTTAGCGTTCGGAAGTTTTCAGTCCTTGTTTTCCCGTTGACTTCGCTGCCTATGTGCAGCTAGGCTGGAAGCAGCAATCGCTGATAGAAAGCCTGTGGTTAAAGCTCAAACGACATAGTGTAGTCTCGACTAATTGAATCAACACGTATGGATAGCAACATTCTTTTTAGGTCCTCCTCTGGAAAGGGTCCATTTGGCCAAGAGCACTGTTCACTGTTACTCAACCTCCTGAAAAGTAACCATAGTAACTCACCTCTCTTTTGATGGGATCCTCCTTATTGGCTGCCTATCTTCCTTTGGAAAGCGCATCTCTCTAAATTTAGAAGATGATGAGATCCGTAAGCATACATCCATGTAGAAAAGGTGCAGTTAAACATGGCCCTTTAAAGAAATGCTGTCTTCAAAGAAAAAGTAGCATTTGGCGATTTCAAATCTTGTGAGAAAGAATGTGCATTCCAAAGAAAGACGGGGTTCGTGTTTTGAGCTAACTGCTGGTTTGTTACTTTAGAGGGAATACTTCCTGAAATTATATAAAATCTGGCATTAAAACTTAAGAATGACTCTGATTTTTTTAAAAAAATATCAGCCTACTGATAATCTTCCAAAAATAATCTCCCAAGTAAATAACTGGTAAGATGAGTTATTCAGTTATTTCCAAATGTCTTAGGATAGTTAAGATTCCTTATGTTTAAACTTAAATCTGGACAACACTGAAGTGATTGTGTGTGTTTGAAGGTTTATCTATCTATCTAGTCCAGACCAACCCCATCTCAAATATCTTAGATAATATCCTCCTGCTGCAGGCTTTCTCCTGACTTGAGAACCAGTTCATGTCAGTGCAGTCCTGACTCGCCCGATGTTATTTGTGTCTGTCTCCTTGTTTCAAGATCTCAGGTAACCATTCATGAGCCTGAGGCTGTGAGAAATGCTCGCTGTGCAAAGGGGAACTCTCACCAGATTTTCTGAAACTGTTCTAGAAATACACTTTTCGGATTGATTCAGCATTACCAGGTAATTGCTAGCTTAAAAGAAATTACTGTTTAAATATGTATCCAGAGAAATGAATGCTAATGTAACATTACCATAACTTATAAGATCAATATAAGGGGTTGTTTATATAGATGGTTGCTGGGTAGAAGTCAATAGAGGTTTTCTGTAAAAAGGACATTTGTGGGCTGGCTGATTTTCCTCTCTAAGATCCGTGTGAATAGGGTGGGCCAAATTAGGTAGCCTGGCTCCGGAAACATGCCAAGCGGAAGCCTACTGAGCACACGAGTGCATGTCCGAATGAAGGAAGTGAGGAGAACTCTCCAAGTTGCAGAAAGAGATTATTGTGATGTTTCAAATTTAATTTGCATAAGGTCATGAGGATAGAAACTTATGAGGCTTCAACATTTTAAACTCAATTTTCAAGACTGAATACGTCTTAAATGAGTGTTCAACCCTCCAGCATTTGTAACTTTCACATGTACTGTGCCCTTCCTATAGGTAACCAGCCTAGCAAATTGCAATCAAATTTATAAGAATATACCATGCTGCATTTCATCCCATTTCTTTCCTCCCTTTATAAAAATAAATAATTGACAATTCTTATTCAGAAACCTATTTGAAAATTTATTCTGGTCTAGTGGTACAGATTTATGAATACCGTGAGACTTTAAGATTATTGATCTCTATAGTCACTTGTTTAAATATCTGTAGTTTAATAATTTTAAGGATTAAAGATTAGCATTTGAACTGTCAAAAATGTTGGTTTTGTTGGCCCTTAGCACCATCCATCCTTCTTCATTTATCATACTGACTGTATTTTATGGTGAGAAACAACCCAAAGAGACCAATAATATTTACCGTCATCTGCCATGAGATGTGTACAGAGTTCCATTCATGCTATCAATCTGAGGAAAGTTTGAGCAAAGCAGCCACAATTATTGGTTCATGTAGGTGAATTAGTTGTGTGATTAGTAATTTATACCACAGCCTGTCTCTTATGTCATGTGCATAAAAGTTGAAGATCATTCAGTGCCCTTTAATTTACGTGAATCAGTCTGCCCTTTCGTTGAGACTGCTGCCACAATCCAAAAGGGCAATGAAAGAGGTTCTTAAATTTTAATTTTGATTCTATCATAAATGTGTAATATGCAGACTATATCCTGTGCAACTTTGATAAACGGATCTGTTTGAAAAGTCATTCATCAGAAAATTTTATGGTATTTAGCTTCAAAAAATAAAAATAAATCAAATGGTATCATTATAATATCCACATTTAATCCTGGAGACATTGGTGGGTCCAAAGTTAGAGTGTGGAAGAAAATTCCACCAATTTTTATTTAAGGATCTAGTCACCCTCATCAATTTGAACACCAGCTGCACTTGTATATGTAATGGGTTATAAAGAAGGCATGCACTTAGGAGTATAAGATTTGGCTAAAGCTGAGATCAAGCAGGTTACTAAACCAAATTCTAATTTCAGTCTTTTTTACTCATATACTCTATTTGGAAGTTTTTAGGCATGTGTGAAAATTCTATGTTCAATTTTATGTCATGTAAACTTCATGGAATTTAGAAGACGCCTTGATGCAGACAGAGATGTTGAAAACTTTTATCAAGAGGTTGAGGCCCTTACCTCCATACCTGGGCTCTCTACTGATGACTCATGTCAGCTGGCATCCCAACAATAACTCTAAAGCCAAGGAATAATCAGTTCAGATTGCTCTATTTGTCAAAGCAATATGCCTCAGAAACCTAGAAAAAGCTAAACTGCTAACTCTGAAGCAGAGGTAGGAGTACATTGACCAAAACCATTCAGCACTAAAACGAAGGAAGGATACCTTTGAGTTTTGGGAGAGGCCAATCCTTGTCGATTCTTTTTTCCTTTTTCTTTTTAAGTTGTTTATCTAAATAGTGTTAATACATTAATGTTTACTCTTTGTAATCTAACACCATTTTTTATATTTTCTTTTTTCCTAATTAAATTTATACAAATGGGCTAATTAACAGAGCCATCCAATTCACTGCAATAATTCTCAGCTGGGGGGAAGGGGTGGCGGAAGGATATTACTGAAAAGCACTAAGAGCTAACCAATGTTGTCCTCAATATTGTAATATAGCCTTATGTTTAGAAAACAAAAGAACGACAGAAAGTGAAGTGCAGCAAAAAGGCTTCTTGGTAGAAACACAAGAAACACAAGATCTGAACATCAGTGGTGCTTAGAAGGACAGGAGGTACACGTTTGAGGCTGGGAAGTCTACTCTGCGTGTGTATTTCAGAGTACATATTGTTTTCAAAGTGCTTAGGAAAAGGGAGCATGAGTAAGGAACATGAAGAAAAGTTGGGAATATTGTAAAGAGAGACAAGACTCAAGAGCCTAGAACCTCAATTCTGCCTCCATGTGCTGCTCATTTTACTGCTTTATGGCTCATTTTCTCTCTATCTAATGTGGGATATAAGACTACAAGCTTAAGTAGATTGCTTGAGCATGAATGTAACACAATTTAATGAAGCAACTGTAGCTCTGTAAGAAAAACTTTTATGTTCACGGGTACCTGTGCAGGACTGTTACACGGGTGAATTGTATGCCACTGGGTTTGGTCTACAGATTATTTCACCACCCCCATAATAAGTGTAGTACCTGAGAGGTAGTTTTTGTATCCTCACCCTCCTCCCTCAAATAGGCCCCTGTGTCTGTTCTTTGCGTTCATGTGTACTCAGTGTAGCTCCCACTTATAGATGAGAAGATGCAGTATTTGGTTTTCTGTTCATGTGTTAGTTCTCTTAGGATAATGGCTTCCAGCTCCGTCTATGTTGATGCAAAGGACATGATTTCATTCTTTTTTTATGGCTGTGTAGTATGGCTGTGTGCTATTCCATGGAAGCACCTATATAGCTCTTTAGCGAAAAGGTACCCTGTGAATGAAAATTATTTCACCACTAGAGCAACTCCAGGTGAAACACAAATCAGATACCATATGAGTGAGGGCAGAGAGTCACCCAACTCCACGCGAATCCTCATGTGTTTTAAAGTGAGTAAAATTAATGATTAATTCAATCTTATGTTTTTTTACAACCCTTTTGGGATAGCAGAAGCAACGTTGGCGTGGATAGATGTTTTTGTTAATATACTCAAGCATGGAGTGGTGGTGGTAGTGATATCAAAGTGGAAGACAATGTGAGTGATATAGATCAGGTACTTTTAGAAAGGCTGCTATTATCCATAGGTTAGGGATTAAAACTCTTTTCTTTGAGTACCAGTCCTGGGTATCGAGGGAAGTTGTAGTATCTCTCTAGCATATCTCTAGGTATGGATTTCTTGGAACCCATATACTGCAATGTGCTTCCAAAAAAGCAATTTTCTTTCTAATTCATTTCTACTTTCCAAGGTAAAAGATGGGGTAAAAGGAAGCATCATTCCTCAGAATCAGGAATGCACTTCTAGGGGGTGGAAAATCAAAAAGTTTACCCAAGAAGCCTCCTGCACTTCGCCTCTAAATTTCTGTCATTAGCAGGGCCAGATCACGGCAGCAACTGGCTTTAGTGCAGCATCTAAGGAAACCTAATGGTGTTCTGTTTGGTTCAGAGACCATTACCATTGGAGCAGGATAGGCTTGTGGAACTGGTGGGGTTTTCTTTACTATTCCATGCCTGTGCTTGGGGTTATCCCAAGGGACATGGATGCAATCTAGTACCAGACAATGCTGCTGGTATCTTGAGAAACTCTTCTAAGTCATTGGCTCTCAGTATTCCTGGAAGTTCCTAAGAAAGTCTGCTCGAGCTGGAACTTGTTAGTAATTCTAAATTGCCAGTAAAGTCAATATTGTGCTTGGGGTGGATAAATCTGAAGAAACAGATTGCTCCATTGATTTGGAGATAAAACCTGACACTGAGTTCTGCTACCATAAAGGATATTATCCAGAAAGGTGATAGGCAAGGGGGTTATGAGAGAGAAGAAAGATGGCTGATGGAAAATTGTTAAACATCAACAGAGCCAAAGGTCTCCAGAAGGCACAGCATCATAGCCTTGAACTTTGCACCCATCTACCTTCTTGAATACACTCATGAATGCTTCATGCAGCCCATGCTTAGCACTAAAGAGAGGACCAATGTCCTAGGTATAATATAATGCTGCTGAGCAGGATATGTACTTATGATTTCAAAATGAAGTCACTGCAATAATAATACGTAACATTTACTGAGCAGGAAATATGAGCACATGTGACAGGCACTGAGTAACTGCTTTTTAAACATCATCTCTTCTAATTCCAGTAAAACTCAATGAGTTTGGTATTGTCCCCCCGTTTAACAGATAAAGAAAAGTTAGGCTCTTTGAGTTTAAATATCTTGGCCAAAGTCAGTAAGCAAATAAACTGTAGAGCTGGTATTTGAACTAGTGCCGTTGGACAGAACTAGAAGGTTATGCTGAAGTATTTCAAGCCATGCAGTGAGACTGCAGAATGTGGTTAGCAGGGACAGATGGGGTAACTCTTTCTAATCAACTGTGGTCATGGCCCTTAAGGAAATATCTCCAGTAGCTTTGTCACCAGCAAATCATTATTTAGCTAGATAGGGACAATTGCACTTTTAAAGGCTCATGCCAGGCTAACATGTTACAAAGAAAAATCAGTAAGACATTGTGAAGCTGAGGTGCCTGATTTATCTATAACACAAGTCAGTTGTTGATCTGAGATGGAACCCACCTTCTTTCTTGTCATTGATCAGCCTCCACCCCTTCTGTCTGTGGGTAGGATGCACACATCTAATAGGATGGTTTCAACTCTGTTTTTGGAATGTTTTGATTTAAATGTTGTGGGGGGAAAAATGAAAGCCAAACTAAAATTAGGATATATTGAACTGATCACTTCTTCACCATGTCTCCAGCTTTGAGTCTTGACAAAGAATGGATTGCTTTGACAGGAGTTGTTCTTTTTACTGTGGTCTGTTATCTCAAAGTGTTTGTAAATTAATTTGCTGATGATGTTTCCTTAATGTACTGTCTCCAGACCATGTACCAAATGAAATCACTTACACCGTAATAGGATTTCAGTTTTCTGGAGGCAGAAGCAGAGCAATGAGGAAGAGCATTTGAGCAATCATTTGTAATTACATTTTAAACATTTATTTAAAGAATTATATAAAAATTATATTGCTAGAACTCTAATGACAGGGATGGTCACTCTGTTCTGTAACTTTTAATTTGTTGGTTATTTATGTTTTATACTACCAAATACACTGAGCTTGGCACAGATATTTTATGGGCCCAGAGGATATAGCATTAGAAACAGCTTGAATATTCAAGCCATCATTAGCCATTTCACTTTCAGAGACAAATTTAGGCTCAGCCTAATTCAGTTTTGTAATTTACATACTGTTCTCAGAGCTCAGAACACTCAGAATGTGAAGACATAAAGTCATTTCATTTTTTTTCTTGTCTATTTCGTCATCTTTATTTGAATAATAGGCTGGGTTAAGTTTGGCCTTTTAGTTGCAGGAGAACTATAACCGATTTACACATGTTTACTGAATCATAACAACCAAACTTCTTTGGATAGTCAGATCAACTTTAATTAATTATCCAGATGATTACCTGTATGTTTCAAAAATAGTTTACACCTCCTTCACCCAAAATGCATGACCAGTGGCAATACACCAGAAATATTTGGAGTTGTTATAGAATCTGTACTACGTTTTTTCAACTTGATCATTTGCAATATCTTCTTGCAGTTTTTTTTAACTGTCTAATTACAATCTAGTATCTTTGGGAGGCAGGGTGGTGGAGTCTTTGAGTCAGAGCTAGGAGGCCAGGCTGGGCTCTGCTTCTATGTGGTAGATTTGTGACTAATGGCACAAATAAGGTCTACAATTTGATTGAGTGTTTACTATATGCTAGGCACAGTGCCAGTCACTTTCCATGAATTATTTCAATGATCTTATGAGCCAGTGTTATTTCTATCCTTACTTTACAAATGAGATTTCTAGAGAGTTTATGTAATTTGCTCAAAGTCACTCAAATAAGAAGCAGCAGAGCTGGAATTCAGACCACTTCCATCTGACTTCAAAACCCAAACTCATAGCCACGTGCCAGAATGTAAATTATTGAACTCGTCTGGGCTGTAGTTTTCTCATCTGGACACTGAGGAGGCTGAATCAGGTGATGGATACATAGTTATCAGCTCCGAATGTTTTGAGTTCTAATCCAGCCAAGCAAACAGATGTAGGAACTTATGTTTGCTATATATTTTAACCTAAAAGTGGCTAGAACCATCCTCCAAAATTGATACTGAAAACATTTTAAATAGCTAAACAGCTTTCAGGGAGATAATTGTCAAACTGATACCAGCTGTGAAGGCTTTTCAGCATTTTAACAACCCATGTGGGTATTTTTTAAGAGCAATAAACTAAATGGCTAAGTGTGTTGCCCACGGAGGAGCTGAGACTCAAATCTAGAACTCCTGGGAATTTTCTCTGTATTTTCAGGATCTGATACATTCAGTATATTAGGCTAATTGGTTGATGATAGCCAGACAGTCTTTATGAACCTTGGAATCATTTGATATGATTTTTTTGGTCTTGATCTGTCAAATAAAAATATCTTTCCTGGAGGTACACTTGGGATCCAGAACTATAAGTTTATTTGTCATTTGGTTCTCTAATCTGCCACCTGCCTTCCCTTGTATTACTCATTAAAAGATTCTTAATTGGTCATAAATGCTGTAGATATTGCATTACATTGGAAGATAAAATGAGCAGACATTTTAAAAAGATACATATAAGAAAGTCATGTTTGCTCATGATGAAGTTACTCATCTCATTTTCTAGCCTTTTCTCACTGTCACCTACACTATAGTAATTCATTAGAGCTTGTTAAAAAAATTAGAGACCTGCCCAGCTATCATGCTAATAATAGCCATTGATGCTTCTCAATGTGAACCCAGGAAAAGTGACTTCATTCTTCACTATTTAGTTAAAATGCAGTCTGGCTTTGTTCATGAGGCTAAAGCATCTAAGCCAGTGTAGGGAAGCAATAGCAACAACAACAACAATCAATCAAACCAATTGCCTGGCATTCTATTGATATGGCAATCAGCTGATTGACTGAATGTTCTGCTCTTAACTTGTTGCCATAGTGCTACTACTACACCTGCTGAATGCTGCAACCTAGAGGCTCTCAAAATGCAATCCCCAGACTGGCAGCATCAGCATCACCTGGAAATTTGTTAGAAATGCAAATTCACTGCTGCTAGCCCAGATCTACTGGATTAGAAACTCTGGGGGTGGGACCCAGCAATTTGATTTAACATACCCTCCAGATAATTCTGATGCTCACTAACATTTGAAAACTACCATTACATCAATTAGTGAAACAGTTTAAAAAAAAAGTACAAGTAATTGTCACACGGGATAACCCAAAGCTTCACCTAATTATTTGATTAAATCCTTAAAAAATATACCAAAGAAAATGCAGTTTACTAAAAAACAGCCCCTGAGAAACCTGGTTTCAGTGATGCTTTCTTTGTTCTCTCTACAATCAGCTTTGTTCTTCTTTCCTAAACTTTTGAAATCATTGAAAACTCTATATAAGCTGAGTTTGCTTACTGAATTCAGGGACTGTGTAGGTATAGTAGTAGCAACTATTGTCTTTGCTTCAGTTCACTTGTGAATTATCATGACATATTCATTTCTTTTAAGATCAGATACACCACTGTTTTAAAATTCTTCATTCCCTTAACAAAACATAACAACTATAACTTAAGGCTTTCTTGGGTTAATAATCCACAGTGATGTCAGTGGAAAACTGGAATGCTTGGGAATGATTTTGTAGCTTTTCTTACTGACTGAGGAAAATCATTTAGCTACAAAAAGTTGCGGGAAGCTTTTGTAGCTTAGATGCACTGAGTTGGAGGACAAACTAGAAAAAGCAAATTCTTGAACACATTTAAAATATTTAAGCTTAGAAAAATTTAAGATTTTAGAGGAAAACCATCAAATGTCTTGCTGTAGATTTATTTAACTAACACATACATTATTCATTCTTTTGTGAACTAAATGGTTTCAACACATAGAAATATTTGAGGATGTGTATTAAGGGTAAAATAAATTATGTTTAAATATGAAGTTTCTTTCTGGCCTGGTCCCCCGAGGTTGAATGAGAATTGAACTGGACTCAATTTGTTTTCTAAATTCATTCAGTGCTTTCTCTAGAAGCTGCTTGTCTTTAGCTTTCAAAGTAGATCTTGCCTCCTTTTTGTGATATGAGTGCCACCTAGAGTACACTCTGAGAACTCCCTTAAGCACTATCGTTAAACTAAACGATAACTGAAAATTGGCTTTTGGAACTCCGTCCTTCCTTAAGCAAGTAAGAACCTCAGTAGCAATCGTATTTTAAAGGAGAAAACAAAGGTCTTCACTTTCAGTATTATGACAAGGTCAAGTTTGCAAGTCAGAACGTTACCTAAATCTTTCATTTACTTAGAACACCATTAAACCATGTGTTAGGACGATGGCTACACCATAATCATATCATAGAGTGTTTTGTCTACAGATACACCATTATTTCTTTAAAGTGTAATTGGGCTGCCAACTATTTTATGCCAGTTTGATTAACCTAGTGACACTAAATGATCTCTCTGTATTAGGCAGTTTAACTAAAAGAATGATGAAAAATTTCTTTTCTCCTCCCATTACATTCCATTTCAAATTTGGGTGTGTTTTGACATTAAATGGCATGAAATAAAATAGTATATTGGTATTTGACTTCTGAGGGGCTGCATAAGGAAATAAACATGAGTATCCTATCTAGAACATCTGTTTTGGGTCTGAATGGTGGTATTTTCCTGCCTGCAGGCTTTTCAATCCAGGGCAGTTGTCACTGCTTCACCACGTTGAAGGGAGAATACCAATTTCCAGGATCACCAGTTTATTTTTATAGATAAAAGTTATATTATAAGATACTATTTGCCACAATAAAATCTAACCTTTCCCCAATTATTTTATTTGTTTAGCTTATCCAACAAAAGTATTAACATATACATTAACAACGTCGAAAGTAGCCTACTTTAAGAGAAAATATGCAGAAGAAGAAGATTTACATCAAGATTACCATGGGTATTTTCCAAAAGTAAGGGTTTACTTATTATTATTTGTTCATTTTCATGAATGTTGTCAACATAAAAAGCTGTAGTTTTTGTTTT
The DNA here is from genome assembly GCF_000001405.40 of Homo sapiens. Taxonomy (NCBI): domain Eukaryota; kingdom Metazoa; phylum Chordata; class Mammalia; order Primates; family Hominidae; genus Homo; species Homo sapiens. The sequence goes on from NC_000014.9 coordinate 62,127,986, forward strand.
TCTAAATATAGATTTAATGATCATGTTTGCTTTCCAGCACCTGATATTACCTGAGGACAGAACTTGCATTCTCAAACTTTCTCTGGAGAAGCTCAGGTTTCTTGAAGACCCAGAAACCTACTTAAGAAGGTCTGTGTTAATTAACAATTTGCTGAGGAAGATACATCTAGAGACGGAGAAAGAGAGCTATGAATACTTTAAAGAAGCTCCCTGTTATAAGACTGCATATTCTGATACAAGAAAACGGCTGAAGTTTATGGTACAGGAATGCTGTTCTCAGTCTCTCTATTATGAAGAGCTGCATTCGTATCATATTGTGCCTTATGCTTCGGAGAATGCCATTTATGAAATGGGCTACACTAGCAGCCACTTGGAGCAAAATTCTCAGTTGCTTATTTATAAAATGAATTAAAGTAACTGTTAAGTCCATTGATACTTTGTTTCTAAATGCTTGAACTGTTTATAGTGAAGATGTTAATATAAGGCACTCATTACCAGTGCACTTGATATCAAAGATGAGATGCATGCTGAACTGATTGGAGAGAGCAATGGTTATTACTCAGCAGTCCTTAGAATCATCAAATTGAATAGAAAATATGTTCACATATGATAAAGCGGTCAATTAGTGCTTTAGAAGCAAAGATTTTTTTTAAACATAAGATGTGTAGGAAGGGGCCTACGTTAAACAATTACACAGATGAAAAATTTTCTTTTATGCCTTGATTTCCAAATTCTGCCACTCTTACTGGAAAGTAATGAAAGTAACAGATTAAATTGATAATGCCATGTCCCTGAGGATGAAGGGTGGAACACATTTAATTTTCTGTAAATGATATGAGGAAGGGCTGGTTCTTTCTGAAGTGCTTTGACTTGTCAAGCATTGTGCCAAATAATTGACACCATTCTCCTTTTACCATTAGTAGCAATTCGAGATGGGGCAAAGACACTGCAACTAAACTGCTGAATGTAACAACCAGATTACTCCAAACTGATCCATTGTACTATTTTGCGGGGAGGGCTTAGACTTTTCTCTTTAAAAGTGAATTTTAACGAAATAGCCTTGCAGATGGGCTTATCTATAAGTTCTACAGGTTGGTTAAAATTTGTGGTGGGCCTTTAGTTAGCCGTTTACATTTTATTTGTTTTTTTTTATAGGCTGTGAAGCTCAGGAAAAGGGTAGGCAGGTAAAATTTGTTTTTAATGAGTTGATACTTTTTAGAAACCTTATCTGCAAAAATTAATGAGAACAACAAATTCCACATGATGTTATTTCTTCATCTAGCTAAGAGTACATTTAAGGCTGCCTGGATGAAACTTTGCACTGATTTTTGTATAATAGTTGATCATTCACTATTTGACAAATTGTTTCAGAATGCCTTTGGTGGTGAAGTTTAGATAAGTCCCTATGTTTTGCAATTTTACAGATAATTATTTAACAAGTTGGATAGATTCATGAAATTGTTTGAAGTGGTTCATACTGTTCTTTCAGGTTTGAGTGAGATGTCAGATTTCAGTGTCTGAAGTTTTGTCCTATGGAGCATATCATTTAAAGAATTGTCATTAACTGATAAAACAGATTGGAAAAACTAGGTGCCAAAGGTGTATTTAAGAAAATACCAAAGACTCAAAGATGAGTGTTAGGAAGACTATGATAATGAAGATAAGAATCTAAAGTAAGGATTGCATAGGACATAGAAGAACATTGTTAAAGGGGTTTGGAATGATTTGCTTACTAATGTACTTTCAGAACACTTTATACATAATAATGGTAATCAAGGGCACTGCTTTAAATGAAGATACTACAGACCTTTAGGAATCATATGCCTTGGAAAACAATCTATGTATGGTGACTTGTCAACAAAGTATCTTCCCTAGTTGGATGCCAACTTGTAACCAAGAAGACTTTCTTCTATTCAAGAGAAATTTGGTTTTAGTTTTGATTTAATACTTGGTCCCTCTAATTAATCACTGGGGTGATTAACATGAATTCTGTTGGTATAAAGAGTATTGGTTCCCTAATTAGCCTGCATTGTTGAAGACCACATAGATGTATTACTGATAAGACTATGAGGCTCATGTTTAATTACTCAATCAAAATTAGGAAGAAATGCTTTGGAAGAAACTAAAAAATTACAATTTAGGTTAATTTTTAAAGGCAATTTAGTATACATGATGAGCTAGCTTTGAAATACAGATTTAAATGTTTAAAAATTAATTTGAGGGCAAGATTTGGTACCAAAGTTTCAAAAATTTTATTTCACTGCTTATAAAATACTTTATCAGAACACTTATTTTAAAAAATAACATCTTATTTGAAAAACTCCAAATTTGATGGGATAGTTACACCATCATACAATTTTAAAGGTAGAATTAGCTTTCTAATACTTTAAAATATTTTCTGAAATGAACATTTCACTTGGTTTAGGACCGTGTCTGTAAGTAAAAGACACCAATGCTAATAGATATGACTTACAAAAATGCCACATATCGAAATTGATTGAGGATTGAAATATATATACTTTGGCATTGAGAAGAGAGGAAGAGAAAAAAATAAAAAAAGTGTGACATTGTAATATTTATTGTATTTAATAAATCTTGAAGAAAGAACTCTTGAGCAATGAACCAGTGACAGATATAAAAGCCTGTTTTATTTGATGACATCATTAACTGAGTTTTCTCATCTATACATTCATACATCGAGAAGGAACTGTCTTAAAAACCAGTGTTTCTTTTTTTTTTTAAGTTCTAGCGTACATGTGCAGAATGTGCAGGTTTGTTATATAGGTATACACGTGCCATGGTGGTTTGCTGCACCCATCAACCTGTCATCTACATTAGGTATTTCTCCTAATGCTATCCCTCCCCAGTGATATTTGTTAATATGCTTTTTTAAAAAAGTGTCTGCCTTGAAACTGGTAATTAAAAAATATCTCCTAGGGCATTTAATTATTTTTCCCAATAAACAACTCATAGATAACGGGTTGACTAATGTTATCTTTATTTAGAAAATTTGTATGTAAACTGTGTAAACTTGTCTGAGTTAACCAATAGACTACCGGGGTTTTAGCATGGTAAACTGATATACAGGGAGACCCAAATACAGGCTTGCTTTGCTGACTACCCAGCGTGCTTTATTACAGGAGATGCAAAAGGTGGAAGACCAGTTACACCTTTTTTTTTTTTTTTTTAAAACCTGGACATCCTTTCTCTGGTGACAAGAGCCATCCTTATGGTAAGGAAGGTGAGATAGAAAATGGAGAACCTTTGGTAATGTTGATCTTTCTTGTGGGTGTCCACCTAGCCTAAAAGCCAAGTGAAGAAGAACATAAAAAAGCAGAAGAGGAAAAATGAAGAAAAGAGGAAAAAGAGGGTGGGGCCAGAGAAATAAAGAGTAGGATTAGTAAGTGAAAGAAAAAGTTGCTTTGTTGTGTGGGGGGGGTGTTCTTGCTTGCTATACTCAATTTTGCTTTCCCGTGTCTGCTGTACACAAAACACCTGATCTCTGCAATGTATTGCTCCTTTCTTTCATTCACCTGTGATGCATAAGACTAGATTATTTTCGGCATATCTACTGTTTGCAAAGTGTTACTACTGAAAAATATCCCTGAAACTGAGCTCTTTGGGTGGATAAGCAAAGGAAAAATAGAAAATAATTAAGGTAAGGGAAAGGCTAAAGGATAAGCCTGTGTATAAATGGGAAATGGATAAGCTCAAATGCATTATCTGGTTTCAATGTAACACCCAAGATTTAACAAACTCAGTGCTAGAAGACTTGAAAATAAGTGTAATTTACCACCATCTATTGAGCAGCTATTATGAGCCAGGCACTGTGCTAGGGCTGGGGATACATAAGTGAATAATGCACAGTCCCAGAACTCAGATTATTTGGTTTTGTTTTACCAAATCCAAATGCAGTACCTGCATTTCTCTTTTCCAAACTGAGATGGCTATCAAACATGTCTTTCAGAAAGTGTTTGCAGGTGAGAAGATGCGCAAGGTGAAGGAAAGTTTTCCTGACCCAGATCTTAGAAGGAAAGGAGAGGATACATTTTGCTTTGTGGCATATTTATTGTGGGCAAAAAGCTACTATTGCCTAAGGGAAGTACGGCTGACCTTAGCCCATCCCTGGGGCATATCTTGTGCGTGTGGTGGGGAGACAAATCAGGTAGGGAACAATTCCTTCTCGCCTTACCTCTCTAGCTTCCATGTTCTTTTATGGAACAAATCAGATTAATACTAATGTTAAGGAGAGCTTTAAAGGAGAAAGAGAATCAATAAATCACAGCCTGAAAGTTGTGTATGTTGTGTGCAAGCTCAGAGGGGCAGTCTTCTTCAATTTGCCTTGTGCTGGTGAATTGCTTGAATGAACTTCGGTATTTCTTAACACCAGGTACTGGAGCCCACCTTCTTTCTCTCCCTCTGGTTTCCTCTTTAAATCACAGCCTGACCCCAGTCTTTATAGTCCATTGTAAGTGGAAGTTATAGCTCTATTCTTCACCCACACCTTGCTCCCTATCATTGATACTTAGAAGAAAGTAACAATTTGCAGTACTGGCTGAACTCCTTTGGGAAAGTTTCTGGAGTGTATCAAATAAGAATTCATCATAGTAACATGGTCGTTACTGGCTGAACAAAATTCTTTTTGAGACTATTGTACTTAGTCATTAAATAATTGTTTACTAAGGCAATTTTCATGTTTCTGGAATTCAGTGTAATAGTTAACAGCTGTATATGTCTCACAAAAGAAACTACTTAGGTTGGAAACAATGGAAGGTTGTGTATAATTAATTCAATCAGGTCATGAATATTTATGTAACATATGGCATTTTAATTTATATGTTCCCATTCTCATACTTCATTACTATACAGCAGCAACAAGATAAATTTCAGGTTTTTTGTTTTTTTATTAAGTGGGCCATGTCTAAAAGTTGTCACATTCCTGGTTGAATATTATGGACAAAATTTCCCCATTAAAGTAGTTTTGTCTTTCTCAAGGATTATCCTTTAGGGTTGGGTGGATTAAAAACATTACATTAGTGCTTCTTGAGCATACAAGTCACTAGGGATCTTGTGAAAATACAGATTCCTTTTAGTAGGTTTGGGATGAGGAATGAAGGTCTTCATCTCTCAAATCTCCCAGGTGATGTGGATGCTGCCAGTCCATCGACCACACTTTGAGTTGGGAGATTCTACATCTTTTGAGAAATATCCACACTGAAGCCTATACTCTTAAACTTTCAAAGACTCTGTGTTCATGTCTGTGTTCTGCAAGAATTTTTTCTTTTAAGAAATAAACTGCATAAAGTAAAATCAGAAAACCATAACACTGGTTTTCCAAATTTGCCACAAATACTGTAATACTCTGTAGAGTAAAATGCAAAGATTATTCCTGTTACAAGTTTTCTCTGTATCAAGTGCAGGAAAGGAACATGGGTAGAGTCATGTACCATTCTTATCAGTCAGGAGATGACACGTGGTAAATTTCTCTTCTTGATTTTCCTCTTGATTATACTCACATAAGGGAGCTCCATTTGGTAACAAAGATGAAATTCTGTTCACAGTTAACAAGAATTTAGCAACTTCTTGCTTGGCAAAATCTGAGACAACCTTACAAAAACATCCTACATTAAATTCAGAATTTTGGGTAGCTGCATAAGCTGAAGATTATGGAAAACCTGAGCTGAAAATGGCACCTGGATCTGTAACTTCTTGTCTTGAACTCTTTTTTGAGCTTTATTCTGTGAGAGATCTTCCCCTACAGTGATTTTTTCTGTTTCTCCTCAGTCGCTGGGGTCTCAGTAAGGGGTGGAGGATTGGTGTAAATGAGACAGTCACATAAATTGTCTAATTTGAGCATGCCAAGTGATTTTTGTCAGCCTCTTTTGGTCATAAAATTTTGGTATAGCTATTGTGAAATATAGTGTCATAAATTTGTCATAAGCCATTAATGAAGGAAGAGAAGCAGAAATTTATTTCTGTGGGAATGCACTCAAATATCAAGCAGATGGTGTTCTACAACATTTATTTGGGAAAATGTGTATCTGTTACATAATCTGAAATATGTCTTTTTCACATTTAAAAATATTTGGGTCATGATTTAGAGTTTTTATTGGATTGTTTTTTAAACTGAGAGGAAGAAGAAAGGTAATTGTATTTTAAAACATTTGACATGTTACTAATAAAATTTTATTTCTGGTGAAATATAGGTGCCTTTGTTAAGTAGGGGAGGTGGGATCATGAACATCTGGCAGCTGCTGCATGTCCCTTTTTTCCAGAGGCATCGTTTTAAAGTCAAATGCTTATTTTCTTTCAGCAGTTTGTTTTCAGCACAGTTTGCTTAAGGATTTAGAAGATATTCCCAGTCTCCTGGCACAGTTTCTTCACTGAGTGACCCTGAAATGGTTTTAAGATAGTGCAAGTCATTAAAAAGACACAACAGAACTGACTCCATTTAGGCATTATTTAAACATAACAACTATAAATCTCAGGGTGAAAGATAGCTCCTCTACCCAGTGAACAGCAGTGGGTGTGTGCATCATTCTCCATGATTCCTTAGGTGAACTGGGCATTAGATGAACTTGGATTCATTGGGTGAACTGGGCATTAGATGAACTTGGATTCATTAGGTGAACTGGCATGCACCAGAGACATAGCGTCCCTCTTTTTCTAGCAGGAGCTAGTGTTTGTTATCAGCTTTGCAAACTGATGATCGTAGGGGCCCCTACAAAACGCTGACTCATGTGGGGCATCAGTGCCCATGTAGGTGTTTCAAAGCAAATAACCTTTTTCTGTGTATATCCAGCGTTTTAGTCTGTTCTCTCACTGCTAATAAAGACATACCTGAGACTGGGTAATTTATAAAGGAAAGAAGTTTAGTGGACTCACAGTTTCACATGGCTGGGGAGGCTTCACAATCATGGCAGAAGGCAAATGGGGAGCAAAGTCATGTCTTACATGGCAGCAGGCAAGAGAGCTTGTGCAGGGGAACTCTTATTTACAAAACCATCAGATAGCATGAGATTTATTCACTACCATAAGAACAGTATGGGGGAAACCTCCCCCCCCTCCCCGATTCCATCATCTTCACCTGGCCCTATGCTTGACATGTGGGGATTATTACAATTCAAGGTGAGTTTTGGGTGGAAACGTGGCCAAGCCATTCTACCCCTGGCCCTTCCCAAATCTCACGTCCTCACATTGCAAAACCAATCATGCCTTCCCAACAGTCCCCCAAAGTTTTAACTCATTTCAGCATTATCTTGAAAGTCTACAGTCAAAAGTCTCCCCCGAGACAAGGCAAGTCTCTTCTGCCTATAAGTCTGTAAAATCACAAGCAAGTTAGGTACTTCCTAATACAGTGGGGATATGGGTATTGGGTAAATACAGCCATTCCAAATAGGATAAATTGGCCAAAACGAAGGGGCTACAGGCCCCATGCAAGTCCAAAATCCAGCAGGGCTGTCAAATCTTAAGGGTCCAAAATGATCTCCTTTGACTCCATGTCTCACATCCAGGTCATGCTGATGCAAGAGGTAGGTTCCCATGGTCTTGGGCAGCTCCACCCCTGTGGCTTTGCAGGGTACAGCCTCCCTCTCAGCTGTTTTCATGGGCTGCCATTGAGTGTCTGTGGCTTTTGCAGGCACACGGTGTAAGCTATTGGTGGATCTATTATTCTGGGTTCTGGAGGACAGTGGCCTTCTTCTCACAGCTCCACTAGGCAGTGCCCCAGTGGGAACTCTGTTTGGGGGATCCAACCCCACATTTCCCTTCTTGACTGCCCTAGCAGAGGTTCTCCATGAGGGCCCCGCCCCTGCAGATTTCTTTCTGGACATCCAGGAGTTGCCACATCTCCTCTGAAATCTAGGCAGAGGTTACCAAACCTCAATTGTTGACTTCTGTGCACCCACAGGCTCAACACCGTGTGGAAACCACCAATGCTTGGGGCTTGCACCCTCTGAAGCAATGGCCTGTGCTCTACATTGGCCCTTTTTAGCCATGGCTGGGATGCAGAGCACCAACTCCCAAGACTGCACAAAGCAGCAAGGCCCTGGGCCTGGCACACAAAACCATTTTTAATTCCTAGGCCTCCAGACCTGTGATGGGAGGGGCTGCTGTGAAGACCTCTGACATGCCCTGGAGGCATTTTCTCCATTGTTTTGGTGATTAACATTTTACTTCTCGTTACTTATGCAGCCAGGTTGAATTGTTCCTCAGAAAATGGGTTTTTCTTTTCTATCACATCATCAGGCTGCAAATTTTCTAAACTTTTATGCTCTGCTTCCCTTTTAGACATAAGTTCCGATTCCAAACCACTTCTCTGTGAATACATAAAACTGAATGCTTTTAAGAGCACCCAAGTCAAATCTTGATCGCTGTGCTGCTTAGAAAATTTCTTCTGCCAGATGCCTTAAATCGTCTCTCTCAAGTTCAAGGTTCCACAGATCTCTAGGGCAGGGGCAAAATGCTGTCAGTCTCTTTGTAAAACATAGCAAAAGTCACCTTTATTCCAGTTCCCAACAAATTCCTTATTTCCATCTGAGACCACCTCAGCCTGGACCTTATTGTCCATATCACTATCAGCATTTTGTTCAAAGCCATTCAACAAGTCTCTAGGAAGTTCCAAACTTTCTCACATTTTCCTGTCTTCTTCTGTGCCCTCCAAACTGTTCCAACCTCTGCCTGTTACCCAGTTCCAAATTCACTTCCACATTATCAGGTATCTTTACAGCAGTGCCCCACGACCCAGTACCAATTTACTGTGTTAGTTCATTCTCACACTACCATACCCAAGACTGAGTAATTTATAAAGGAAAGAGGTTTAATGGATTCAGAGTTCCACATGGATGAGGAGGCCTCACAATCGTGGTGGAAGGCAAAGGAGAAGCAAAGACACATCTTATATGGTGGCAGGCAAGAGAGCTTGTGCAGGGGAACTCCCACTTATAAAACGATCAGATCTTGTAAGACTTATTCACTATCAGGAGAACAATATGGGGGAAACTGCCCCCATGATTTAGTTATCTCCACCTGGCCCTACACTTGACATGTGGGGATTATCACAATTCAAGGCGAGATTTGGGTGGGGACACAGAGCAAAACCATATCATCTAGCAAGACAAAGTCTTGATTAAATGCACAGTTATTTGAGCAACCCAGTTATTTCAGTTTATATGAACAACTGACTCATATAAATGACAGACTATCACGTATGTGTTAGTAGAAACTTAAACACATCCAAGACAGTAACATACACATCCAAGACAGTAACATAAAGAGCTGATCAGTACTTTCCAGCAGTAAAGAATCAATCTTATATATTATATTATGTAAGTGCCTTGGATAGTGCCTGGAGCATATCTGGTAGTAATAAATGGCACTGTCCAAGTGACTCTTAGTTTATTTTTTAAAGAAATGTGTTTTTTTTCCATTGGTGTTCTACTTTAAAGTTTAAAAGTAGGTTGATATAATTTTCTTTCATATTGAAATTTGTAAGCTGGGCATGGTGGCTCATGCCTGTAATCCTAACACTTTGGGAGGCTGAGGCAAGAGGACAGCTTGAGCCCAGGAGTTCAAGACCAGCCTAGGTAATATAGTGAGATCTTGTCTCAAAAAATAATTAAAAAAACATTAGCCAGGTGTGGCAGTGCATACCTGTGGTCCCAGCTACTCGGGGGGCTGAGGTGGGAGAATCATTTGAGCCTGGGAGGTTGAGGCTGCAGTGAGCCAGGATCACACTGTTGCACTCCAGCCTGGGCAACAGAGCAAGACCCTGTCTCAAAAAAAATAAATAAGCAAAAAATAGAAGAAAGAAAAAATTTATGGAACACACACACATGCACACACACACATATAGAGAGTGCGTGAGAGTGGGAGCAAGAGAGAGAGAGAAACCACCAATTGCAGGTGAATGGGCCTCTTTATTTATTACCATTAAGAAGTAAAAGAAAGGGTGAGTACCTCAAGGTGTTTCTTTCAATAACCTTGGAATCTGCATGAGAATTTCAAGCCACATTGAGAAGCTTAAATATAGCGGAATTTGTGAGTTGATAGTTTTAACCTCAAAACGAAGATCCACCACAAAAAAATTTCTGTTTTTATTTCCCAACACTACTCCCCAACCTTATTCTAGCTTATTCCTGGCCCACTGCTTCTGTTTCAGACCTGATTGCTGTCACTGAAATTATATATTAATGGTAAACTCTACCAGGACAAATCTTTCAAAGGCTTTGGTTAAATCACCCCAGTCGTTTCTTCACATTTTACTTGTTTTCTTACAATTCCTCTGTGTGTTCCATACAGTGAGACTCACTACCAAACATTTACTTATCTGAAAGGTATTCATACTGTTGCCTCATGGATTTTATAATTAGAAGTGTTTACAAACAGTTCTATGTAAACTCAAATTATACAGAATTATTACTCCCCTCAATGCAAAAGAAGAGATATTAAATTATTATTAGTTCATACGTACAAGTAGAATACAGCACCACTTTGATCAATTATGGTCATAGTATTTCTATAGTTTATGAAGAAGCCAAATACAGAAGTTTTATCTGTATGTCTGATATTCCCTCCACTTTCTTTTTATCAGTTTGTGAAAAAAAGGGTACAATTCTTTAATTATCTAATTAAAATACTTCATGCTCACCTGACCTCATTGGCAGGAGGAAAGACTGGACATCTTTCTCCTGGGAGAGCTTACCCCAAGGTTCTCCAGGGCCATGTCCACTGGTCACTAGCCAGCTGCATCTTGTCAGGAGAGAGCAGGACTGCTTAAGGTGTCTAATCTTGCCAACTAGAGGCTGCTGGGGCTCAAGTAGCAAAGTGATGTCACCATGGAAACCAAGCCCTTCCAGGGCAGGCCTTACTACTACTTGTGGTTACCGTGAATAGGGAAACTGTCTTCTTACAATGGAACCTTATCCTGATTGCCCTATTTTTATAAAACACACATAGACTAAACTCCTTTTCATGTCATACTCCCCAAGGAAATTATCTCTGTGGATACTAAATAATTAAGAGGCCCAAATAAACTAGAAACTGTTGTCTCTGTTTAGCTTTCAAAATGAGCCAACTGCAAAAACTCTTCACTCTGTTGTAGTTGATAGGCCATTAGGAACTGGAAAACAAGCAAAACCCAAAACACTAAGTAGTTCACTGTCTCTGGTTTGTATTATGTCCACTTTCCCGGATCCCTGCATGATTGAATGGAATGGAATTGATGTAGTCAGCATTGATGGAGAGAGTTTTCTGCCTGGGGATAAGAAGCAGTCAAGTCGTGGGGAGGCAGAAGCATGGAAGCAACCTGGACAGTGGGAACAAATGCACCAGGGAATTAAATATTTATTCCTATATTTAGAGGAAAAGAACCCTAGGCATGGGACCAAAACTTCGACAGTGCTGTTTTTCCTTCTTTGAATTTGCTCTAAGGGTGTGAGTGTCTTTCAGACAGATGGCTGAAATGATTGCTACCATCACTTGCATATTGCACAATGAATTTAGTTTCATGGATTTGGTTTTATCTAAAGAAACTTTTATATTATTTTTACATACCACTGGCCTACTGATTTACAAACTTGTATCCTATTACCCTGGAACAAAGACCCAGTAATTGTCCTGGTTATAGAATGAGACATCATCTGGGAGAATATAAGGGATATCCTCAGCCAAAAACAAGATTATAGTATTGGAAAAAATGCTCCTGGAGATGGTGAGGATGCACACATTATAATATGACAGCCCTTCAGTAATGATGCCAGGCTTCTCTCTCCTATGCAGCAGTTTCCAAAACAATGCTGCCTGAAAACACATCTCCAAAAGAGAGTCTGTAGGCTAGCTTTTTGGGTTTTAACCTTAACTTCCCATTTAAGCTCACAGAAAAAAAAATATGACATTAAATCTCCCTGCCTTTATGGGTACTTACTGTTGCCTGAATGATGGAAAGCTCTTTCGAAAAGATGGTTTTCTGCACTTTTGCTTTTCTTCACCAATGGGTCTCAGAGATTGGCTTCTCTTACGTATCTATTTGTAGATTCAAGGAACCAGTTGACTGTTGCCTGGGATACTGAGATTTTAAAGATTCCATCCTGGCTCGCAACAGGCTAAAAATTAGAAGGGATAAGAAAAATATACACAAAATAGATTTGCCTAAGTTGCATGAGAAATACAGAATCGTGCAATAAAATAATGAAGAGATTCTATTTAGTTGGGAAAAACAGGCAAGCATTAATGAAAAAGTAGAGTTCAGCAACAACTTTGAAGAAAGAGTAAAATTTTAATAGGCAGAGAGGGGAGCCAATGACCAAAGTGAAAGGGTTGGGAAAGTAGGGATACGATGGGGGAACAATCTGTAGTCTGGATTAATTGAAGGAGACTAGTGTTAGAGAGGGGCAAAGAAAAGTGATGCCCTAAAATAATCAGGGCACTTTTTGTGGAAGGCTTTGAACACCAGTGTGAGGCATCTGAATCCTCTTTGGTAGGCGACTGGGAGCCATTGATGGTGTTTTTGATAGCACTTTGGAGAGGTTGGTCTTACATGTGTTGAATAGAAATGGCAAAATAGTTATGAGAGACATTACGGAGACACACTAAACGCTTGGAGATGGAGGGTGAGGGAACAAGAGTGAAGAGTCACTTTTCAGATGCAGACAGACCTGCATTTTCTATGTAACAAAGACCCAGTAATGTAGCAACTGGCCGCTTGAACTGTGGATGGTCTAAATTGAGATGTACTGTAATTGTAAAATATACTCTGGATTTCTAAGGTTTTTATATTGAAGAATGTAAATATCACATTGCTTACATGTTGAAATGCTAATATTTAGTTCATACAGCATTACATAAAATATATTTAAAATTAACTTAACCTGTTTCTTTAAAAATGTTTAGTGTGGACACTAGAAAATTTAAAATTATGTATGTGGCTCACATTGTATTTCTATTTGGATGGCGGTCGTTTAGATTTCGGACAAATGGAACAACGGTCGGCCACTTACAGACAAAGAAAAAGAAGAACATGAGGTAGGGAGAGGGATCATCAACTTAGTGTTTCATATTTTAGCTTGGAGTGAAACATTCAAGTGGAACGTCAATAAAGCAGCTGAAAATATAAGTCTGGGATTAGGAGGGAATTGAGTGGGAGAAGCAGTTAGAAAGCCAGTTGCTAAATCTTCTAGAACTACTGATAATTACTCAAAAATACTATATCATTATGATTCTCTGACAAATAATTTCTTTGGGCATGCTCCTTAAAATTCCATATGGTATATATGGACCTCCTTGACCTTCCATGTGGGCCTTCTCCTTACAAAATTCTCTCTAGTTTCCAGTGCCCATAGATATGGATGACTTACAAGGTGCCAAAGACTTGTAATGGAGTGAGAGATGATGGTGTGGGGTGCAGGCTGCTGCCACAATTGTGAACAAACTGGTCCCTAGGGGTTGGTGACGTGAGTGAATATTGACACTCAGAACAACCACAACTGTTTTGCAGTGCTCAGGAGGGAACAACAGAAGCAGTCTTTGCTCTTCACGATTTTATAATCTGATTTGTGGACATAAAACACCATCAGACAGTGGGATTTTTCTTTTTCGATCCCAGTGTCTAGAACTGTATGACCAGCAATTTAAACGCTCCATTCATTTTTGGTCCAATTCTAATGTCATTTTTTTTTCCATTAAATGTCTTGTACTCTTCCAACTGGATATACTCTTTTTTTCATTTGGGCCCTTATAGCATTTTGTATCTCTCTCTCTCTCTTTTTCATTGTCTGCCTTGTGTTGAATTATTTCATTACATACCTCTCCTCTCCCCTAGACTATATGGCCCTTGGATATGGAGGCCACATATTATCTTGATCTTTCCTGATAATTTGTCTTTAATTCATTCAGCCAGTGCTATGCTGAATGAACAAAAATTAAAATAGCTACCATTTGTTCAGCATTTACTATATGTGAGGTTTTGTAAGTGTTTAATTGACTTCTCACCAACCATAAAAGTTACATTTTATTATTTTCAAATTTATAGTGAAGAAAACTGAGGTACAAAGAATTTAAGAAACTAGTCCAGCGCTGTCCAGCTGGTCGGTGGTAGAGCCAAAATTAGAACTCCTGTAGCCTGACTGCTGAGCCTTCACTGTGAGACAGTGTATTGTTGTGCTTAGGAAAATGGTTTTTGAGTAAGATGGACCCAGCTTCAAGCCTTAATACCACTACCTATACCTGTAGGACTTTGGGAAAGTTCCTGTCTAAGCTTCTTTAACCCTTTTCCTGTTTTCCTTGAGACGACTTGCCGGTGGCTGCAGCGTTTACTCCAAGATAACTTTGCCACAAAATATCTCGCTTTTATTATTATTTTCACATCGCTCTACTATATCAACTTTGGAAACAAGAGACACCATTCTATTGATAGCATTCTGTTTTTAGTAGTGGTATTTTCGTTTACAAAAATGTAATAATTCTCCATCGCTGAAAATGTCAAATCCTAGAAAACGTAGCATTCCTACAACGAGCAGTTGTTGGCCAATGATTCATTTGATGAATTTGATTTTTCTGAAACGGATGATTCTGATGTTAGTTCTGTTTAGAAGTAACCCCAAGAACAGTTTTTATATTTTATTTTCACATTGAAAATCAGTCGGATTGGCTTTAGCCTCAAAGAATGTGTTTATGTAAAATTAAATGAGTGCTGGTAGCGAGCTGCATTTTTTTTTCTAAATGGAAAAAGCATTAAACTTTGGTTTTCTCGTCTCTAAAACAGGGGAAACAATTTCACCTAAGTCTTAGGTTTACTAAGAGAAGCACCAATTATCTCATGTACAGCATTTAATACTATGCCCAAGTTAAGGATCAAACTCAAAAAATTTTAGCTGAGTAAAATAAATAACAATGCAAGATTAAAATGTCAATCCATTAATCTGATTAAGAAAATTTCTGTTACTGACTTAGAAATAATGAGAAACCTTTAGTTTTCCAGTTATTCTAGGTTCCTCATTCATTCAAAAATAGCTTGGTATAAAATGGTTCCAGACAAGTAATTCTGATGCTTCTCATGAGACTTCTCAAAGCTTGAGGTATTTATTCTTTATAAAAGATGCTCTGTTCTAAGCCAATGTGTATGTATTAATTAGATGGTGGAGACTTCAAAATAAGAGGAGGTATTTCTTTTTTTTCCTGCCAAGAACATGCTAAGGAAACCTAACGTATATACACATACACACCACAAATGAACTGAGAGTGACTGACGCGGGGGGCATAAAGGAAAGCATTGCCAGGACATTCTCACTGTTTATTTTCCAGGCCATGTTCCTATTAGCTAAGTGATGCCCACAACACAGGCAATACAGCCTTCCCAAGCACAAACAGTTTTTCCAACAAAGAACTCCAATCACAGAGAGGAGTCTGACTCAATACTTGCCAGACGCCTGAGTAAGGGCTGTTCCCTAAGCTTGGCAGTGTTTTCAAACACACTCAAGGGCCAGATGGCTATTGGTCTGATTCACAGGAATGTGGTATAGTTACCAATAATGTGTCCAATTTTTAATTCCCACGCAGATAGTTCATCTTGAGGGGAGATTAAACATAGCTAGATAAGATGGCAGTGAACCAGAACTTCAAAGCTATGTGTTATTGAGAGGTTGCAGTTTGAACTAGTTGTAGAGAAGTTTCTTCTGTAGCCTTTAGAATTACAGATTTGTAGCATGTGATAGCCAGAGAGAATGTTGGAGGCCATCTCACGTAGCATTCTCCTTTTATAGAGAGAACAGAACCCAAGAGGTTATGTGATTCAAGATGGAAATCTGGGGTAGAAGCCGGAAATCTCAACTCCTCCCCAGTTCTGAACATTTTTCAGTAATTATGATAACATGTTCAGCAGTTGTTTCAGTAGCCTTATAACATAATCATTAACAAATTCTAGAGAATAAAGGAGTTAAGCTTCAATATTATTCTAGTCATGTTTCACAGCCCTGTTATTCTTTGTTGCCATAACTGGTTTTGTCTGTCCCCTCCTCTACTCTGTGACGTCCCCAGGAGAATGAGTGTCTTTTGTTTTTCTCTTTATCCTCATGAACTAAATAAATGTTTCTTGAATGAATAAATGAATAGATATAGACCTGTCTGTGAAATTCCCTTTACAGGGCACTTCACACATAGTAAAACTCAGGTAAACTCATACTTACTTACTAGGATGATAATGAAAGTAAGTCCATGGAACAAAACACACACTTCCTATTCACTGGCAATAAAAGAGAATTTATATTGCGAATGAACAGTTAATAACTAAATGAAACTACCAAGTAGAAGACGTGTTAAATAAATGGAGACGCTAAAATGGAGCACAATGACAAATGCATGTGGTGCTGAAGAAGGTGCTTTCAGGACGATAAAAAGATCCAATTTCTAACCTCTGTAGGCACCATCATGGAGCAACACAACAGCTGTTATTATTTTAGTCTTGCATTGTTATTTACTCAGAGCAAATCTTCAAACAAGTAAATAAAAGAAATATTATGCTAAAATCAAATTAGTAAAAGAGGTAGGGATATTATATGCTAATTTCAAGTATATTGCAAGAGATCATATTAATAGATGGAAGAATTAGTACTGAGACAGACTGCTTTTATCCATAGCCAGGAAAGGCTTCAAAGAAAAGATGGAGTTTTAGGTGAAATCCATTAAACTGAAAACAGCAAACTGATGGATTGCTCAACCTTACATCGAAAGGCAGTGATAAGTAAATATAAAATTTGGGGTTCTTAATTTTGAACCCAGAGCTCAGTTCACTGAGTATTGTACATTGAAGCTACAGTTTAGCACATTAAAAAAGCAATATATTGATAAGGATTCTTCTTACTACATGTGACCGAAACACAACTAGTTTAGGCAAAAGGAGAAAAGCATTAGCCAGAGATAATTCTGGATATTTAGAGAGACACTGTTTGATTAAGAGAACTCCTTTCTCTCCAATGCCTGGCTCTGGCAACTAAAGACTATTGTTTCTACTTATGCTCTTTTAGAAAGTTTGTTTTGAAAGTCAACGTTGGACAATTTCTTTGTTGTTCTTGGCTGTATCTTTCCTTCCTCTGAAGTGCTGGATGCCTCAGCTTCCATGTATGAAACAAGAATTTTAGAAAATGAAAATACATCTGGTAATATTTCAGAAATATTATCTTATTATGTTGATTTGTGGCAGACTTGGGTTTCTGCTGACATTTGCAAGCCCAAATGGAATAGGAACACTCTGCTAGCAGTAATTAATATTACTTATAAGATATGAATATTTTCAGTGACTTCAACATAAATTAATAGTGCATTTAAACTACTAAATCTTTATCCTCTTCCACCTGATTCCAGTGGAGGTTGAATTTATCTGTATTTTCCCTTCAGGCATACGAAGCAATTGCCAACTTTAAGAGTTTTTAGGTAGTGGGCAATTTCAACAATTTCCTAGCAGATTTTTGCAGGTCTACAGTGTAGGGTAGAAACTTCTGGGTTGAAATATACATGTCAATAATCCCTTGACTGACCCCCTACTTTCTACTATGATGTCCACTGTAAAGGCACACACTGTCTCCCTATGAACCACTGTTCCCCTCACTACACACAAACTCAAAATAGCTTTAAACCTAAGCTGCACCTTATCTATTGCCAGTTTCTGGGATAATTTTCTATTTTCTAAGACAAATGGAGCTGAAGTGATGTTGACATCTATTTTGCCACCTGAAACTTAACTAACCCATCATCATCCCTTTCTTATTCCTTTGCTTGCCTTCTGATTGGGGTCTTTATAGTCCTATCTGAGTACTGTCTCCACGTCCCAACCCTTATTTTCTCCTTCCTCATTAGTACCTCTTTTTCAACATTCGTTTGGATACTGAAACTTCCAGAAAACAACAGGACAAGATATCAGCATTTGGGTGGGGAGGTGGCAAACAGTTTTACTTTGTATTACTGGAGATAGAGTACCAATATATAAAAATCCTGTGGGTGGGAGCAAAAAGAAGAACAGCCCGAATACTCCAATGGTTCACCAAATCAGATAGTCAAATAGCAGGAATAGGATTAATGATTTCACTGAAATCCAGCAGAGCCATAATAGCAGAATATCTCTAAACCCTGGAAATCAAGTTAGATGCTAATATATCATTATACCCTCCAATTGTAGTAAGCTGTGTTAGAGCTAAGCCATAACCCCTGTGTGTTGGCAAACATTGGGACTAGATAGATCTTTTCTCTTTCCACGAGGAGTAAACTGAAAAATAATAACAGACTTCAACAACAGCTGGGATGTTGCTCAACATGTAAAATTATGTTGGAATACAAGAGATATTACATAATTGTTAAAATTCAGAGGAATGACAGTCTCTTCAAATGATGAATTCCTGGTGTCAGAAAAAAGTTTAGAAAAAGTTAGTGTCCACAGTAACATATGTGACGATATGGCATCTATAAAATAGGAATGAAAAGCTATAAAAAGCGAAAAAGTTACAGAGAAAAGATGACCAGATGAGCTCAAAAGCCACTATTTCAAGGTGAAGCTGAAGCTGAATGCAATGAAAAAAGATTACACAGCAATTAAAAATACAAAACAGAATTAAAATCAACATCAGAAACAGCAGAAGGTTAATATAAAATCAGTAACAGAGAGTAGCAATATGAAAGCAAATTTAATGACTTCTTCCATAATGCAGAGGCAAAAATTAATTAGAGTTTTAAATATCATGAAAAAGAATATTTACAGAGGCCATGCAGTGGAGAAAAATGTTTAAAGTGTAAAGATTTATGAAGGATAAACAATTGTCACAGAAGAGATACTAAAAGAAATCACTGAAGAAAATACTTCTCAGCATACAGATTAAAGGCTCACTGTGTTTGAGGAAAAGTTGACAAATTACCAAGCCACCACTACAAGGACTTCTAAAAGGAGCTCTAAATCTTGAAACAAATCCTGGAAACACATCAAACAGAACCTCTTTAAAGCAAAAATCACACAGGACCTATAAAACAAAAATACAAGTTAAAAAAAAAACAAAAAAAATCAGTGTACACAGGCAACAAAGAACATGATGAAAGCAATGGTACCTGCAAATAATCTCACTAAGAAACAAAAGGGGAGATATTACAACTGACCCCATTGAAATACAAAAGATCATTCAAGGCTACCATGAACACCTTTATGCACATAAACTAGAATATCTAGAAGAGATGGATAAATTCTTGGAAAAATACAACCTTCCTAGCTTAATTCAGGAAGAATGAGATACCACGAACAGACCAATAACAAGCAGTGAGATTGAAATGGTAATTTAAAAATTACCAACACAAAAAAGTCCAGGACCAGATGGATTCACAGCAGAATTCTACCAGACATTCAAAGAAGAATTGGTACCAATCCTTTTGACACTATTCCACAAGATAGAGAAAGAAGAAACCCTCCCTAATTCATTCTATGAAGCCACCCTAATACCCAAACCAGGAAAGGACACAACCAAAAAATAAAACTACAGACCGATATCCTTGATGAATGTAGATGCTAAAATCCTTAACAAAATACTAGCTAACCAAACCCAACAAGATAATATCAAAAAGATCATCCACCATGATCGAGTGGATTTCATACCAGGAATGCAGGGATGGTTTAACATATGCAAGTCAATAAATGTGATATACCACATAAACAGAATCAAAAGCAAAAATCACATTATCATCTCAATAGATGCAGAAAAAGCATTTGACAAAATCCAGTGTTGCTTGATGATTAAAACTCTCAGCAAAATCGGCATACAAGGGACATATCTTAAGGTAATAAAAACCATCTATTAAAAACCACAGCCAACATAATACTGCATGGAGAAAAGTTGAAAGCATTCCCTCTGAGAGCTGAACGAGACAAGGATGCCCACTCTCACCACTCCTCTTCAACATAGTACTGGAACTCCTAGCCAGAGCAATCAGACAAGAGAAAGAAATAAAGGGCATCCAAATTGGTAAAGAGGAAGTCAAACTATCACTGTTTGCTGACAATATGATTGTTTACCTTGAAAACTCTAAGGACTCCTCTAGAAAGCTCCTAGAACTGATAAAAGAATTCAGCAAAGTTTCCAGATACAAGATCAATGTACACAAATCACTAGCTCCTCTATACACCAACAGCAACCAAGCAGAGACCAAATCAAGAACTCAACCCGTTTTACAATAGTTGTAAAAAAAGTACTTAGGACTATACCTAACAAAGGAGTCAAAAGACCTCTGCAAGGAAAACTACAAAACACTACTGAAAGAAACCATAGATGACACAAACAAATGGAAACACATCTCATGCTCATGGATGGGTAGAATCAATATTGTGAAAATGACCATACTGCTAAAGCAGTCTACAAATTCAATGCAGTCCCTGTCAGAATGCCATCATCATTCTTCACAGAATTAGAAAAAAACAATTCTAAAATTCATATGGAACCAAAAAAGAGCTCACATAGCCAAAGCAAGACTAAGCAAAAAGAACAAATCTGGAGGCATCACACTACCTGATTTCAAACTATACCATAAGGCCATAATCATCAAAACAGCATGGTACTGGTATAAAAATAGGCACATAGACCAATGGAACAGAATAGAGAACCCAGAAATAAATCCAGTGCTTACAGCCAACTGATCTTCGACAAAGCAAACAAAAGCATAAAGTGGGGAAAGGGAACCCTTTTCAACAAATGGTTCTGGGATAGTTGACTAGCCACACATAGGAGAATGAAACTGGATCCTCATCTCTCACCTTATACAAAAATCAACTCAAGATAGATTAAGGACTTAAACCGAAGACCTGAAACTACAAAAATTCTACAAGATAACATTGGAAAAACCCTTGTAGACATTGGCTTCGGCAAGGATTTCATGACCAAGAACCCAAAAGCAAATGCAATAAAAACCAAGATAAATAGCCAGGGCCTAATTAAACTAAAGAGCTTTTGCACAGCAAAAGGAACAGTCAGAATAACCCAGGAATAACAGGAATAACCCACAGAGTGGGAGAAAATCTTCACAATCTATACATCTGACAAAAGACTAATATCCAGAATCTACAACGAACTCAAATTAGTAAGAAAAAAAAACAAACAATCCCATCAAAAAGTGGGCTAAGAACATGAATAGACAATTCTCAAAAGAAGATATACATATGGCCAACAAGCATATGAAAATAATGCTCAACATCACTAACGATGAGAGAAATGCAAATCAAAACCACAATGTGATACCACCTTACTTCTGCGAGAATGGTCATAATCAAAAAATCAAAAAACAGTAGATGCTGGCATGGATGTGGTGAATAGGGAACACTTCTACACTGCTGGTGGGAATGTAAACTAGTACAGCCACTATGGAAAACGGTGTGGAGATTCCTTAAAGAACTAAAAGTGGAATTACCATTTCATCCAGCAATCTTACTACTGGGTATCTGTCCAGAGGAAAAGAAGTCATTATTTGAAAAAGATATTTGCACACGCATGTTTATAGCAGCACAGTTCACAATTGCAAAATCGTGGAACCAACCCAAATGCCCATCAATCAGCGAGTGGATAAATAAACTGTTGTGTGTGTATATATATATATATATATAATATATACTATGGAATACTATGCAGCGATAAAAGTGAATGAATTAACAGCATTTGCAGTGACCTGGAGGAGATTGGAGACTATTATTCTACGTGATATAACTCAGGAATGGAAAACCAAACGTTGTATGTTCTCACTGATATGTGGGAGCTAAGCTATAAAGGTGCAAAGGCATAAGAATGATACAATGAACTTTGGGGATTTGGAGGGAAGAATGGGAGGGGGCGAGGGTTAAAAGACAATAAATATGGTGCAGTGTATACTCCTTGGGTAATGGGTGCACCAATATCTCACAAATAACCCCTAAAGAACTTACTCATGTAACCAAATACCACCTGTACCCAAATAACTTATGAAAAAAAATGCAAATAAAATCGGCAATGAATACTGAAATTAGTTAAACACAAAAGTATAAATGAATGGCAGAAATATGGTTATAAGACTGAATAAAAATATAAAAAATATTTTTAAATTTAAATTTAAAAAATAGAATTGGGGTACAAATGTAGTTTTGTATACTGATATGTAGTGGTGAAGTCTGGGCTGTTAATGTACTCATCATCCAAGTGGTATATATTGTACCCTTAGTTAGTATTTCATTCCTCACCCCCACTCCCATTCTTCCACCTTTAAAAATTATTCTTAAAAAAGAAAATATAAACTGTTAATAAACAATGTTTAAAGCAAAGACTCTAGCTCTGTATTATTTTTTTTTTAAATTATTATTAATATTATTACTATTATTATTATTTTTTAAGACAGAGTTTTGCTCTTGTTTCCCAGGCTGGAGTGCAATGGTGCGACCTCGGCTCACCACAACCTCTGCCTCCCAGGTTCAAGCGCTTCTCCTGCCTCAGCCTCCTGAGTAGCTGGGACTACAGGCATGTGCCACCACACCTGGCTAATTTTGTATTTTTAGTAGAGACGGGGTTTCCCCATGTTGGTCAGGTTGGTCTTGAACTCCCAACCTCAGGTGATCCGCCCGCCTCGGCCTCCCAAACTTGTATTATTCTTTAAAATTGTTTTTGGAAACAACGTTTAAGAATCGCTGTGGATAGTTAAGAGAATGGATATATGACTCATTCAAGACAATGGAGTATCAAAGCTAGTAGAAGACAAGTTAAATGACAGATCCTCATCTTCTCTTAGTTCTATGGGCTTCAGCCATCTCAAAAACCTTCCTAGAGCTTTTATATCTTAATATGCCTCAGAAAACTCTTCTTTCTTCATCACTTCACTTTTGTACCAGCGAAAAATGGCATCAGGTTCAGATGAGTCCTCAGTGACAGGTGAGGTATTGCTTATATGTACATAGCTATCAGTAACTTTGATAACATCTCCCAGGGGAGTGATAGTGGGAGGCTGACTGATAATTGAGCATGACTTCCAAGTTAGTGAGGCACCAACCTATAAGCTGCGTGCTGCACTTGGTCTTGACGTGGCAAAAGCAGCATGGGCATTATTGAGAATCAGATAACTCAGCACAACAAACAGCAAAAAAATGTGTTTACTATGATGAAGGTGACATTTAACCAACCTATTTGGCGTCTTATTCATTAGTAAACTCTGCTATAGCCAATTGCTTTGACAGAATTTCCCAGTAGTTGTTACTGCAGCATATATGGGGAGAGGGAGATGAATATGGGGATTGATTTGGAATTCTGTCTGTTCAATATTCAGAGTATTATCCAATTTGAGAAATAAGGGATGGCACACCCAGTCTTGCTAACTAGGCTGGGCCTTTAACTGGTCTTTCTAAAAAGCAGAGGCTGAGTTAAGGATTAAAAGTCTTTTTCATTGGAGAAACACAAGACAAGCGCAGTGAGATTGAGGAAAAAGTGGAGTGAGGCAAGGGAAGAGGCAAGGAGAAGCAGTGGAGACCCCTTCTTGAAGAGTCAGAGGAGATATGCGAGGTCACATGGTGGAAGTGTTCGCTTGGCACTCAAATATTGTCTCAGAGGCCAGGGAGGAAGAGCTAAATTCTGGAGTAATTCATGAGAGGGAGAAAGGAGGGGGGAATGTATTGGCCCACCTCCTTCCCATTTCCTGGTTTCCATTGGCCGAGTTCACCTGTGGTTCCCGCATTCATCCTCCTTTGCTACTTAGGAAGTTTAGATACCGTACCGGCAGCGTGTCATTTCATCTTAGTCTAGAAGTAGAGATGCCATTTGGTATGGATAAGCTTTTGGAGTCAGGCAGCATCTTTGGAAGGAAGGAGACAGTCAAGGGAAACTGAAGAGTGACTACAAGGTTTTCGTCTCATAGAGGCGGTTAAGGTTAGTGTCATTTGGGTACTTTGTACTGAGGTTTCTGTAATTGATTTTGAAGACAACCTTATAGTTATTTATGAACATATAATCAGAGTGCTTTAGGATGGTGATGATGATGGCGTGTTAGGGATGAACTATAATTATGAGAACCTCAGGGACGAGGAATAGAGAATTGCTGCTCTGGCTTCTTATCCTTATCAACATTATCACCATTATCAGAACTAGACCTATCACTCAAACTGGAGGACCAAGAAGCTCTGAAGACGTGTACCCAGGTCAGAAATTTTTTGAGTCCAGTCAAGAATAAGATAAACGATTTCATTGCAGTAGTACAGTGCCCACAAGCCTAGTTTCTTTCACATCTTCCTTGCTGGAGGTGAGATGCTATAGATGAAAGGGTTTCTAGGTCAATTCTATTCCTGCCAATAACCATAAGGCTTTTGGGTTGCATTCTTGTGTTGGCTGGCAATATGTTCCCAACAGGACTACCCTATCTGGATTTTTGATATAATGCAGTAATAAATAATAAAATATAAATTTCTAAGCATATATCAAATACAATTTTTTTCTCTGGGCCATAGAACTTCAACTCCTAGTCGGTAATGTAGGTTTTTTATTTCTGGCACCAGGAGATTTTCCTTTTCTGCTTCTCTGCTGAGCTATGTAGAATTAGCCTTCTTTCCCCTGCAGACATGGCAATTCTAATTTCTGGGAGTCGGGTGTGTAGTGGTGGTGAGCTTTTCTTCATCTGCTTATTCTGTGGTCTTCATTCAGAAGTCTCTCAAGGCATTCTGTCCTAGCATTTGAAATACAAACTTTACCTTGAATTAAATTCCCACCATATATGCGGGTCTGTTCCTGAAATCTTAACTCTGTGCCAATGATACGTTTGCCTATTCTTGTGCCATTGCTGCATCATTTAAATTACAATAGTTTGAAGAAAATTTTTATATCATGTACAGTAAGTCACCACTTGTTGCTTTTCACATTTCTAAAAGTTGTCCTATATGTTCTTGTTCATGAACTTTAGAATTGGCTGCCAAGTCCAATAATCAGTTTAGACTAATAGGGAAGAAGTTACATTTTTACAATATTAAATCTTTCCATATTGAGATATACTATGTCTCTCTGTTAATTTGAGTTTTTCTTGTCCTCTGGAGGAGTTTTACAGCTTCTCTAAGGCTTTTCACATTTGAGTTCGCCTTATTCTCATTTCATGGGCTTTGTTGCTGCAGTGAACTGGATTTTTTAAAAATTAAATTTGCTAATCTATTATTGTTGTTATAGAAAAATCTGTTGATTTGTTGTTGTTGTTGATCTTATTTAGCCATCTTATCCTAATAGTTTTCCAACTGATTTATCTGGTTTACCTAGGTAAAAAGATTATTTTTAAAAATAGCTGTTTTACTGCTTTTATTCTGATCATTTTAACTTTTGTTCATGTATTTTTCTTTGAACCTGCAATGTAATGTTAACTAATAATGGCAATAATGGACAGCCTTGTCTTGTTATTTAGTTAAGTTACTTTTAATATTTCATGATTAAGTGTAAAGTTTTCTTGTAGGTTTCTTAAAGATGGCTTTTATTAGATTTAGGAATTTTTTTTCAATTGTTAGCTTGTTGAAGGTTTTCATTAGGTAAGTACATGGAATTTCATTAAGTTATTTTTTTTGGCATCTATTGACAAGAAGCTTTGTTTATTTTTCATCTTTTTATTTAACAGATTTTCTAAGTTGAACAATCCTTACATTCCTACACTAAATGTTATTTGGTTGTAATGTATTTTTATTTCCTTTTTGAATTTGATTTGTTGAGTCTTAATTAGGAATTTCATTTCTCTATAATGACATGGTCTTTTTAAAAAGTGCTTTAGGGCCGGACACGGTGGCTCTTGCCTGTAATCCCAGCACTTTGGGAGGCCGAGGCGAGTGGATTACCTGAGGTCAGGAGTTCGAGACCAGCCTGACCAATATGGTGAAACCCCGTCTCTACTAAAAATACAAAAATGAACCAGGCGCAGTGGCGGGCACCTGTAATCCCAGCTATTCGGGAGGCTGAGACAGGAGAATCGCTTGAACCCGGTAGGCAGAGGTTGCAGTGAGCCGAGATCGCACCACTAGTACATCAGCCTGGGCGACAGAGCGAGAATCTGTCTGAAGAAAAAAAAATGCTTTGGTATCAGAGTTATAGTAGCTTTGAAAGTTTTCACTAAATAAGATAAAAGTAAAGGAAATAAAGTCCATTTAGATAATACAAATAATAAAAATTTTAAAAATATGAAATATGAAAGTATAAGATACCAGACACTATGGTTGAATTAGCCAATATAAACTTGACATAATAAAAGCAAAGGATTGTATCAGAGGAAAAATGTACAGACTATTTGAAAAGAATAAGCACACTATATATCAAAAGTTTTGTGCTGTGGTGAAATAGTCTCAGATAAAAATTTATAGCTGTATATATTTTTACTATTTAAAAAGAACAAATGACAACAAACAAGGCATTCAGTTTAAAAGTTGGAAATATTATAGCAAAATAAACATGGAAAAAGCAGAAGTATACTGAATATAAATTTAGAAGTTAATAAATTATAATACAGAAAAATTCACAGCATTGGTAAATAAATTCAGGAGTTCATTCTTTTAAAAAAGTATAAAATAGGTAGAAAAACCTTTGCTAAGTTGGATTAAGAAAAATAGAGAAAAACAGTAATTCTATAAATGGTTGATTTTCAAAATTACAAGTAAAAGGTATGTACAGCGTTCTTTATGCCCATAAACCTGAAAATCTCAGTGAAATAATTTTTTTGGAGAAATTATAAATAACCAAAATGAAATGGAGGTGAAATTGATAAGCTGAAGAAGCAAAAACTTTAAAAATTATCAAAGTATTAATTACAAAAAAATTGGTGGGGCTAGATATTCTTACCAATTTGAATTATTTCAAGCATTGAAGACATAGTATATCAACTGTTAAATAGTGTAGAAAAAGATAAAAAGCTTTCCATTCATTTGTAGTTTGTATTTTTATTGTTTTCAACTTTTAGATACAGAGGGTACATGTGTAGGTTTGTTTCATAGGTATATTGCACCCTGGTAGTGAGCAGAGTATCCAATAGGTAGTTTTTGACCCTTGCTTCCTCCCTCCCCTGTCTAGTAGTATGCAGCGTTCCCATATTTATGTCCATGGGTGCTCAATGTTCAGCTCCCACTTATAAGTGAGAATATGCGGCATTTAGTTTTCTGTGCCAATGTTAATTTGCTTAGGATAATGGCCTCCAGCTACATCCATGTTGCTGCAGAGGACACAAGTTCATTCTTTGTATGGCTGCATAGTACTCCCTGGTGCCTATGTACCACATTTTCTTTATCCAATCCACCATTGATAGGCACCTAGGTTGATGCCATGTCTTTGCTATTGTGAAGTGTGGAACTACTACTATAAGTGCATGTCTGTTTTTGGTATAATTATCTATTTTCCTTTGGGTATATACCTAGTAATGGGATTGCTGGGTTAAATGGTAGCTCTGTTTTAAGTTCTTTGAGACATCTCCAAACTGCTTTCCACAGTGGCTGAACTAATTTACATTCCTACTAATGGCATATAAGTGTTCCCTTTTCTCCACAGCCTCACCATCATCTGTTGTTTTTGACTTTATAATAACTCCAGTTTATTTTTAAATTTAGGGAAATTCTGACAACAAATCCAGTCAAATATAACATAGACAGGAAAAACAGAACAAATTCTATACATGCAGTTGTCAAATACTAAATTCAGCAGTAAATTAAGAGACTAATGTATCAAGACCAAATGAGTTTTATTTTGGAGATATAAGGATGTTTCAACTAAAAAAGCTAGAAATAAGGCATATTATCTTAATAAAGGAAGAACATGAAATATTTCCAGTTTCTGATAAAAACCAATCTCTCAGTAAACTAGAAGTGTAAGATGTTTTTAACAAGATAATGAATATCATTCTATGTTTCCAATTCTACATTATGTACTTAATAATGAAATAACGGAAACATGTCCTCCATAATTAGTAGTGCACTAAGCATGCCCACTATGACTACTTTTATTTACTGTTGCCCTGGAATTTCTAGGTATGGGTACAGAAAATGTAGACGTTATTAGTTTTAGATAGTATTATTCCCATGGACACAACACAAAAAATCCATTAAAAAACCATTAGCTATAATAAGAAACTTTAATTAAGTGACGGATTTAAAAGTAGAGGAATAAAAGCTTTTCTATTAAGTAGTAACTATCAGCTAGGAAAAAGAATAATGAAATAAGGATACCATTCAGAATGCAATAAAAGTACAAATAAATATTTGATATAACAGTCATTCAGGGTATCCTATTTCATGGATTTACCCTAACACAACAGGACACCTGAGAGAGATGAACCATATTTTTATATGGGGAGTGTGACTACCATAAACATATCATTTTTTCCAGGCTAATGTATATGTTTAATGAAATTCTAATAAAACCTCCTTTAAAAAACCTTTCAGCAATATGATTCTGGTGTCATTCTGACCTTCTAAATGAACAAAGCTATGGGGATGAATTTATTTATTTTTTTGGGGGGGATGGAGTCTTGCTCTGTCACCAGGCCGGAGTGCAGGGGCGTGATCTCGGCTCGCTGCAACCTCCGCCTCCCAGGTTAAAGCGATTCTCCTGCCTCGGCCTCCTGAGTAGCTGGGACTACAGGCGTGCACCACCATGCCCAGTATTTTTTGTATTTTTAGTAGAGACGGGGTTTCACCATGTTGGCCAGGATGGCCTTGATCTCTTGACCTCGTCATCCACCCAACCCGGCCTCCCAAAGTGCTGGGATTACAGGCATGAGGCACCATGATCAGCCGGATAATAAAATTGTGAAGAGAGAGAGCAAGGAGAAAATATTTGCTGAACCAATCACCGAACATTATTATAAAGCCATAGTAATTAAAAATAGGATGCCACAGGAGCTGAGAGTAACGGGATCTAATAACAGTAAATAAACAAACACATATATATGTACACACACACATATAATAAAGGTGGCTTCACAGAGGAAGAGTTACTCAATCAATTATATTAAGGGAATAACATTGTGTACAATAAATGGTAGCCGAAGAGAGAGAAACATGAAACAAAGAGGTGTGGAGCCAATGATCAGTATGTTACCAAAGAGATGAACATGTCCCAGGAAGCCTGGGCTGGGAAGATGGGGACAGAGTCTGGGATGTCAGCACAGAAGGAGCTTTGCATATGTCATAAGTGTAGGCACAGGAGTTGCTCCGTAGTCAGGGAGAGTAGGTGGTAGAAT
This sequence comes from Homo sapiens, assembly GCF_000001405.40. NCBI lineage: Eukaryota > Metazoa > Chordata > Mammalia > Primates > Hominidae > Homo > Homo sapiens. The sequence goes on from NC_000014.9 coordinate 62,157,188, forward strand.
TCAGAGCCCCAGACAAGGGCTTGAAAATAATAAGTGATAGAGAAACTAGTCGTTTGAATTATATATTCTCACTTATAAGTGGGAGCTAAGCTATGAGGATGCAGAGGCATAAGAATAATCTAATGGGCTTTGGGGACTAGGTGGCAGGGAAGCGGGTGGAGGGGCAAGGGATAAAAGACTACATACTGGGGACAGTGTACACTGCTCGGGTGATGGGTGCACCAAAATCTCAGAAATCACCACTAAAGAACATATCCATGTAACAAAAAACCACCTGTACACCCAAAACTATTGAAATAAAAATAAAAATTAAAAACTCAATACAACAATTAAAAAATGAACAAAAACCAATACAGTTAAAAAAAAAAAGAAAAAAGCAAAAGAAACTAGTCATTTAGAGCAGTAGCCGAGGCACACAAAGATTGGTGTTAGGTGTTAGAGCCTATTGTTTCTTCATTGCTCATTGATACATTCATCAGTATAGTCTCAAGGACCCCTGGTTGAAATCTCTGCTCTTCTATTTACTAATCATAAAATGGAAAACTTATTTAGTCACCCTGAGCCTCAGTTTCCTTATGTATAAAATGAGAATGATAGTACTTGCTTCATAGAATTATAAGGATTAAATTGAATATATATATATAATGCAGATGATTAAGTAACATTTATGTAGAACTTAATATTTGCCAGGCATTTTCTAATATATACATACATATCGTGAACTATTATTAAGCTTCTTCCGTGGGGTACATGTGGGTGGAGAGACACTGAAGTAGAAATGCCTTGTAGATAAATGGAAAGATTCTAAACATCCCCAAGGGTGCTGTATTTTGCTGAGTAAAATGCCAGATCTTAGATCTTGTAAATCTTGTCACATTTGAGACCCCAGCCACCATGGTTTCTGGGACCAACTTAATGACTGATTCTACACTCTCTCGGTTTTGTGGTAACTAGCTCTGATTTGTGCGTGAGAAACACACACACACACACACACACACACACACACACACAAACAACACAGCCGATGAGGAATAGGTGAGCACTGGAGATTATTCCTCTCATCATCAGTGCAGATGTCCACAGAAATTCCCTGAGGGTCTTTAAATTCGAGCTTTTGGTCACTGAATTCAGGCAGGCATTTATAAGAGATTTTTAGGCTTTTCCATTATTTTTCCTGTGATTTGTCTTTTAAAATAAGCTTTTATAGTAGACGCCTATGTTATTTTTCCTCCATCAGATGAAAATGATTATCTTTGTGAATTGTACTCTCCACTTGATTATCCCCTTCCCACTTTCCTGGGTGTAGCAGAACATCCTCTGAGGTCACTTAAGGGAATACATCTTTTACTAATGGCTCGTTGTACATGAGGGAACTGGATTGCCTGTCTGTTTGTTTAGTTTTACATTCTGGAACAGTTTTCTTGACAGAAAATAGTCATTTTTTTATGTATGAATCAGATATCAGGGCTATTTACCAAGTGAATCCATTTTTCATATCCCAGAAGAAAGAAAATGTATTTTAAAATAAGGTTATTGTAACTTTTGCTTGTATGTATAATTGATGTAGTTTTGGGTAACACATATCTATAATGCACACTAACAAAAAAGGGAAAAAATGAGGATGTGACATATAAACTACACTTTAAGTACAGCAGTGCATGTGATCACATTGTTAACAGAAATTGTGTCAATATTAACAACTGCTCAGCTCAGTGGTGGGCAGCCCAGCCCAAATCTGGTATAACTGTCTGTTTAGTTTATCAGTCTTGGCTATCAAGTCTCCTGACGTAACAAAACCACCCATGACAGCTGACCACATTGAATATCCAGATAAGGACTCGGGGAAAATTGAGCTGACTACTTTGATCATACCAGAACAGTTAAGATTAATCTCACTGGGAAATGCATGTAATCAATTTCTCATTTGTTCCTATAAATTAAAATGAACATAGTTTGTTTTCCCAGGGTCAAGATGATGGCATACATGCAAATTTGTATCCAGTTCTTTTCACTTAACATTACAACAAAAATTCTCCTGTCATTACTGGCTTTTGAAAAACATCCTTTGGTGTAAATATTTATTCAATTAGAGGGAAAATAATGTTATATTTTTGTTGGAAATTTAAATGATTTTAATTTTTTGGTATTACAGATAGTACTTTTATCAATATCATACATAAAGCCTTTTCAGTTTTCTCATGATAGGTTTATAAAAGTGGAATTTTAAAGTCAAATACATTTATAAGACTCTGGATAGATACTCTCAACTTATTCTTCAAAATGGTTACATTGTAGAATCTGAAAATGCTTACGTCACCACACTCGAGAAACACAATTACTGTCTCTCTCTATGAAAGATGGCATAATTAGTTGGCATTATTAAAGCATCATTGCAGTATGTTGATATGTGCATATGTGTGGCAGGAGTGTGTCTGTCTGTCTGTTCTTCCTGTCTGCTATTTATTCTGAATCTACAGTGGGAGTCTGGTGTACCCAACTTTTAAGTGTGACTGGCTTCGATTTATTTTGTGTCTTTTTTGTTTTCCTTCTTTACCACACAGCCTTCTTCATATTGTCCCTCTCATTAAGAATGACTGGGTTGTTCAGGGGATTGGCAACATTTTCTTTTCCATCTGAAAGTCAGGAAAGTGCATAATAATCACGTCCTAAGAGCAATACGGATAAAACCATTGCAGGCAGTGCACAATGTGTGGCAATAGCCAGGGTTCTCTGGTGAACTCTTTTAATATGTGTTCTAAGTTGATAGGACATTTCTTTAGGAAAACTTTTTTTAGTGGCTGAATCCTATGCTGTACTGGGCTTTACCTATCAATCTACACATTTTCAGTTGTTAGTGTCAGAAACACAACCCAAATAGGGAAAATATTGGCTCAAGGGACATAGAAGTTCTAGAATTATAGCTACTTTAAATGAAATGAATGGAGGCTTGGACCATCCCTTGGGTGCCAGTTTTCCTCTCTGCCAGCCTCCCTGGTTCTGCTCCTGCCTCTACTGTCTGCCCTCTTGCAATGGGGTTCCAACTGCACATTTTCTGTCTGTCTAGTGGGAAAAGAAAGATTCCTAATCTCTGATAGCTCAAACTGAGGGTTGGGAATTGTGTCCTTATTAGGTCTGATTGGCTTTCCTTGGGTCATAAACCCAACCCAGAACCGATTCCTAAACACAGATGAGCAAAACGAACTGACTGGCTTAGCTTTGGGTGTTGTGTCCTACCCTTGGACTTGGACTGTAAGTGCAGTGGAAGGGATCCCAGACAAAAATCAGGGGTTGTTGCAGAAGTGCATACTTGGAAACCATGTGTATTATAACTCTTATCGTTCTGCATTCTAAAGGCAAGTTTCCCCCAATAAACTATAAACCCCAGGATCACAGAGACAATGTTTGTTTCGTTCTTCAATGCCAAGCTACAAGCCTTGCTCTTAGTAAGCACTCAATACGTATTTGTTGAATAAATGAATAGGAGCAGCTGATTAGCATGTCTCAATTTAATATCCTGGTATTTTTGGTAACTATGAAATTGTGGCAGTGGTAGATGCTGTGATACTTAAAAATAGTCTTTACAAATTATTAAAATTTTAAAAATTTGTAAAAAGGCCTCCCTCCTGTTGCCATGTAAAAAGTTGGTAACTTCATGGTAACTTGATCTGTGTTGCAGTTTATAATTGCAGCCTTCACTCCCTTAGCAGTGTTTGTACTCAGGAAGCTCATCGTCAGTGACTTCTATCTTCTTCTCAGCTCTAGTAGTATACAACATCTAATCATGGTCAATTAATACTTGATGGCTTCCTTCAGGACTCTAGATGCTGAAATTACTGCTCAGAGCTGAGAGTGGCTTTCCCAACATGCAACATCCATAGACAAAGCAAATGTTAAGATCCCCGACAGGCTATATTGCAAGAATGGGAAATTGAACAATTCCATGGCCGGTAAAAAGAAGACTGGCAACCTTTATAATACAAAAGGGAATATGGAATGTGACTAAGTGTGGTGTTAAACATTAAAATGACACCATCAAGAAGGACAGAAAGCACCAATGATAAGAATAAAGGGGAACAAAAATTTGGGCAAAATTTGGAACAAAATAAAGGGGAACAAAATTTTTTTTTCTTCCCCCTCTCCTCTAGTGTTTGAGGCCTGATGTGATCCAGTCAATTCCTTTATCCACCTGGGTTGTCTTATTGACCTCTTTGATGTTTTCCCTGCTGGCACTGAGGATGTTGCTGTAGTGCTGGAAAGGGCTTACTTTCGTTAACCAGTTCCCTCCCAGTTAGAACGGCTGTCCTACCTACACGTTAAGTTCATGTCCCAGGAATTGCCGAGCACTAAACTTTCATTTGTATGCTGACTGATCAATATGTCTGACGTGAATATAAGAGAGAATGAAAATCTCCATTCCAGGTATTCAGTGGAATACAATGGTGGACAAGTTTTCAAAAAATTGGGGAGGAAAGATTTCCTTTGGACTTGGAAGGGGAGTAGAGGTCTATGCAGCCCAGAAAAGAGCAGGCAGGTATACAGTGCTTAGACGGTTGTGGGAGGCAGGACAGCAGCTTTTGGGAGCTTTGGCTATATAAAATATTTCCATTCCCTGAAACAGCTAGATCTGAAGAGGGTAAACCAAGCTGAAACAGGGCTCTTCTTTCCTAAACCAGAGGAGGCCTCCCTGCCTGTTGCCACTACCTAAGGTCCTGGGACTGCTTTGCCACAGCTGTGTGAGTATGTGTGTGTATGTATGTGTATGTGTGCATGTGTGTGCGTGTGTGTGTGCATGTGTGCACATGTGTGTGTGCCCCCACTGATGACTGAGATTGAATTCTCCCCACTGTGGTATTATTTTGGGTGCAGGTGAGTGCTTAGAGCTGCAGTGGAGTGGTTTGTCTTTATAAACTCTTTGTTATATTACTGTGTTTATTTCTGTTAGAAAAACACAATTCAATAATAACATGATGTTTATGGTGGAAAACCTAAAAAATATAGGGTAGAAAAAAGAAGAATATAGAAATGACTTTTTTTTTTTTTGAGATGGAGTTTCGCTCTTGTTGCCCAGGCTGGAGTACAAGGGCGCGATCTCAGCTCACTGCAACCTCCGCCTCCTGGGTTCAAGTGATTCTCCTGCCTCAGCCTCCCGAGTAGCTGGGATTACAGGCATGCACCACCACACCCGGCTAATTTTGTATTTTTAGTAGAGATAGGGTTTCTCCATGTTGGTCAGGCTGGTCTTGAACTCCCAACCTCAGGTGATCAGCCCGCCTCAGCCTCCCAAAGTGGCAGAAGTACAGGCGTGAGCCACCGCGCCCGGCCTAGAAATGACTTTTAATCCACCACTCAATCACTATCTGTATTTTGATATATATATTTCCCCTCCTCTTTCTCTTCTTTTTCTCTTTCCCTTCCTAAAGCAAAATGATAGTGGACATACTGGCCTTTTTTTTTTTTTTTTTTTTTGTAAAACCTGGCTTTTACACACACACACTCACACATGCACACACACACAATCACTTTATATATTTGTGGTGACAACTTTCTAAGTCATTAAATATTCTTCTACAATACTATTTTTGGTGATTATAAAATGTTACACAATCCATTCAACAAGTTCTCCATTGTTGAACATGATTATTAGTTCAGATTTTTGCCGTTACAAATATCTCTCTGATAAGAAATGTATAAATCTGTTTGTGCATCCATTAATTAATTTTGAATACATCCATCATTTCACAAACTTTAGAATTTACAGGTCTGTAATGTCTCATGCTTTCTAGTGGTTTGTTGATTCCAGTTTGGGAATAAATTTCATTGAATACATTCCTGAAAGGGGGCATTGCCAGCTCAAAAGGGACCCAAAATGGTAAAGTTTTCCACATTACTCCAGAGAACCACTTTCCAACGTGCAATTGTGTGATTCTAGGATTCTGTGGTCAGGTTCTCTTTCTGGGTGACTTGCTGCAGCACAAGCCATTCTACTCTAGATGGCGATGTTTCATTAGTTTAAAAGCCTGCTCTGCCGTGGAACAGATGCATAACAATCGTTTTCCCAATTACCTGTGGATCTACTAAAACTTAGAAGAGAGACAACAATGGGGATACAGTAGTCACATAACTTTCGTCTAAAAGGCATTATTTATTCAAGGCCAAGAATCAACGAGTCCTACCCTGGCGTTCGCCCTTTGTGACATTAATCTTAGGAAAGTGGTAACTATTTACAAGGGTGCAGGATGTTGCAGATCTTGAAGCTTGAAAAGATGAAAATAAACCCCCATAGATGAAGTTCTTGTCTTGTCCCTTACCCTTGCACACTTACTCTCAATTTCTCAGGTCAACCTGGCAGGGGGATACCCTCACTTTCCCTCCTCATCCCATGACTCTCCAGTGGATTTTCTATCCCTGGGTTCTTTCTGATTTGTGGGCATGGGAATATTCACTGTTCTGAGGACAGGTCTGGTGGTGTGTCCTGCAAACCTCTCACTCACCTCTCTTCCTGTACCCAGTCTCTCTCCTGCATAAACGGAACAGGATTTGAATCTGAACACAAAAGCTTCTGGATGAGTGGCCACCCTTCAGGCAGCCCAAAGCCTCCTTATAGCACTGAAGAAACACTTTTGAGAGACATAGGTAGGAATCTTGTCACTCTTTTGGGCTGATCACTATGAGAAAATTCTACAGAGACTTTGTTCACCTGGCAAACTACTGTGCATCTTTTAAGACTCAATTCAACTCACATGTCTCATCTTCTGCAGAGCACCTCTAAGTCCAGAGACAGTAGGTTTTTCCTTTGTGCTCTCAAACACATTCATTCATTCTTTTTTCAAAATTATTTATTGAGTGCTAACTATAGTTGGGGTATACTACAAGCAAGACAGACAGGGCTGCTGCTTTTTCATAGTTCAGAACCAAATGAAATGCCATTTAATTACCAAAAATATTTTTGACAAGAATCATGAAGAACAAGTACAGGTGTTTTAAATCCTTGTGGAATTTAAATACCTACAGAATTTAAAACAACGCAGGTTGGGAAGCCAAGAATGACCAGAAGTTAATGAGGTGACGGCAGAAGGGCAAGAGAGTCGGGCAGGAAGGAAAGCCATGCACACAGGGCCCCAGGAGGGAGGAATTGAGTACATGTGAGAAACAGGGTGGGCCCAGGACAGTCAGTGCCTAATGGAGAGAGGCATGAGATGAGGCTAGAGATAATCTCCCACAGCCTATAGGCTGTACTGTGGACTTTGCATTTATCTAAGAGCATTTGGGAAACTATGCAGAGGTTTAAAATAAGAACGTGATGGGATCCAATTTGAGTTAGATAAGCTCACTCTGGCAGATATGTGGAGAACAGTTCAGTGTACAGATGCTGGGAGACTAGTTGGGAAGCTATGCCACCTTCCAGGCATAAGGTTTTAGTGCTGGTGGAGATAAAAGGGATGGATTTGAGACATAAGTAGGAGGTAGAGGAGCCATGAGGTAGTAACTAGTTATATGAAGAGTGAAGGAGAGGGAATAATCAAGGATGGCACCCAAGTCTGTGGCCTCAGTAAGTAATTGAGTTTATTAAGACCATGGGCAACTGGAAGAGAAGCAGATATGGGTACAATTTCATGATGTCAGTTTTGGACAAGTAGCATGGAAAAGCCTGAGAAATATCCAAGTAGTATTGTCAAATATATAGATTTGGGGTCTGGAAGAAAGTCAGGTGGGAAAGTTGTCCTTAAAGTGTGATCCCTAGAGCAGCAGTGTCACCTGGGAACTTATTAGAAATGCACGTTTCTGATTCACTGGAATCAGAAGTGGGAGCACAGCCCAGCAATCTGAGTGTTAACAAGTTCCCCAGATGATTCTGATTCATGCTAAAGTTTGAGAACTACTAGCATATATCTCCAACATTTAGAAGCTGTGTAGAGGAGGATGCATAATCAAAGAATCCCAAGCAATGATGAGAGGTGTAGGAGGAAAGCTGAGGAAGTATAGAGTCACAGAAACCTAACGAGAGAGAGGTCAACTGTGTGGAGGGCTGCTGTGAGGTCAAATAAAATGAAGACTGACATGGGTCCACTGGCTTAACAGTTGGTGGTCATAGCTTCAGCAATTATGGGGGAACCGTGGGGCGAGCAGCCTGTTGAGTGTGCGTTAAGGAAGGAGAGGAAGATGGAGAAATGGGGTGCTACATTTCTCTTTGATAAACCTGTCTTAGAACAGGAAATGAAAGGTGGGTGGTAATTTGACAGAAAATGTGAAGTTGGACATTTTTTATAAAGAATGTATGCTTTCTAAGCAAATGTATAGAAAAGTGCACAAATCACAATTATGAGGCTCAACTTAGACAAGTTGGTGACCAAACTCAATCACAAAAATGGAGAGTGACAGGAGATGGTGTCCTTTGCCTGGAGCACAGCCCTCCTCTGCGTACAGCTACACCATTCCAAGCCTGCTGTCTACAGAATGTTGGAGAACACGGACAGGTGCATTAGATGACTCTTCTGCCTGTAGGATCCACTCAGCACCTGGTAATGCTGGCTGGTATTCACCTGAGCCCTTCACCTGAAACGTATCTATCTTTCCCCCGAGGAAGCATGTGAGACTCAGGATGGGAACCCTACATTTACCTCCAGGGTTAGATCCTAATCAGTTAAATTAATCATGGTAATATCATCTTCCTTGCCAACGATTGGCTCAGTGCCCAGGCCTTAGCCAATCAGGGCAATTTTCACTGGTACAGGCGTGGACAAGCAAAGTAAGTTGAACCAATTAGAATGAAGGATAATGCTTTTACTCCGTGATTTGGGTGAAAGACATTCACTACACCAGAGGAGACAAAGGAAGCACGTTGCTGTTATTGCTGTTCATGGCCTTCTTCCAACAGTAAGGGAAGCTAGTTTGAAGATAAACTGTACAAAGGAAAGTAAAACAAGAGAAGTGCAGCGAAATGGTGCCGGAGCCGTGATGCAGCTACAACCTAGAGTTCTCACAATCTCTTAATTTCCTGCTGTCGGCGATAAATGTGATCATTTTGGCCGATTTGGTTCAGTTTTTCTGTTCCGTGAAGCTGAAAGCATCCTGACACAGGTAGGTATCACTGTTTTCTCGAGTACATAGATGAGTAAAGTAAGACTTAATAGAGGTGAAGTCACTCACCAGCTGTACATTTGAACCCAGAACTTCTGATTTCTAAGCCCACAATCTTATCTGTTAGCCTTATGCCTCCAGCTAAGGCTGTGTGCCCTCTCTCTCATTCCTTAGAAAGATTTATTTCTCAGAAGGCTGCTTGCATCTCCATACAAGTAAACTTCTACTGGTCTGTGTTTATCAGGGACACAGCAGAAAACAGATGGCGTACTTGGGTAGGGTAATTAAAGAACACTTAATAAGGAGTCTTCTACAAAACTGTGGGCAGAGTTAAGGGAAACCAAAAAAGGCCAATGAAACTCTCCAGGGTTCACAATAGACAAGGTTCATTCCTACTCTTAAATCCAAAAGAGCAAAACAAGAGTGAGGAAGTGGGGGACAATTCAGGGAAACTGCAGAGAGCTATACCTCTGAACCTGGGAGAGGGTCACTTTTTAAAGTCAAGGTTTTCAGTGGAGCATTGCAGTCATGGCCCAACCTGTGAGAAGACAGTAAGGGAGCCTGGGCCATATGTATTTTGATCGCTTTATTCTCTCACCCTTCAGTCTCCTGTTGGTCTCCCTTGAGAAGCCAGTGGGCAAAGGGCTTGGATGATGGAGTCCATAGAGAAGGGAACAGAGCAGGAAGAAGAGTGGAGAATAGATATGGAAGATATCCAGCACAAAGGACCTCTCATTTCCACCAGTTTCCCTGACTTGCTCAATGTTGCAGATTGGTTAACCTGGGAAGTGGACTCTGAAAATGAGATTAGCTTGCAGAATATTTTATATGAAATGTCTTTGCTGTCAACCCCCATGAAAGGAAGGGAAGGAAGTAGGATTGGGCAGAGAGGATGAGATGCAACACGGTCCTCAAAAAGCTCTCAGCCAATCTCATGGGAAGCTCTTGGCCTGGGGTGGCCTTTCAGGGTTCTCCGGAGTTGGGGTGTAGGAATTTTATAGGCCTCAGTTGATCAATCATTGGATGTAGACTGTTTGCGTATTCAGGTATCATTGTCAACTCAGACTCTGTCAACAGTCCTTAACATGTTTCAATTTCCCTTTTTCAACTCCACGGTTTCCTAATCAATTGTATAGGTCTCTTTAAAAAGAGACTGGAGGAATCATTCCCAGCATGCTTGCCATGGTATTGCTGGGTTCTTCCTCCTGGAAACCTGACTTCTTTTTCCATCCATGGGTTCTGATTCTGAAACCTAGCTTAGGTCTAGAAGCTGAGAAAGGGATTGTGACTTTGCATTGAGATGGCAGCTTTCAGACTCCTGATTAACCACCTTGGATTTCTTTTGATTGTATAGCTTAAGTGCCCTTATTGCTTGCCCATCTACTTTGCCTCTAGCAAAGCTGTTTTCTATTAACCATCTCTATGGGTCATGCTCCCTTTTGCTGACACTCATTCCAATGCTTTCATCCATCCAGTCTCCTGGTTAAGTCCTGATACATGGCCTTGCTTGTTTCAAGGACCTAAATTTCCCACTGTCAGTAGTGAGCTCATTTCTACATCTGCCTTGGCCTATGTAGGAGAGCCACCACAAACAACTTTAGTAATGCTGTTGCCCCTCTCACTAGACACTCATTACTGTTTTAGTAAATGGCAGATCCTCCAGCCCACTTGTGAAATCTGGTGAATTTTCTGGCCTTTCATAGTATATTTTGACATATTCGTTTCTTGAGTCTTTCAATCCCTTCTTCCATTGTCTGGTAGTAATTCTTGGATTTCTCATTTAGTATGAGTCAGCCTAGCAGTATGTTTTCATCATTTCCAAGGGTCCTTGCCGGAGCATTAAAGGCTGTATTATAAGAAACTACTCTTATATCAAACTGTTATTCAAATTTGTTTTACCCACCTTGATCTGGGACACCCAGATTCCTACTTACATCTTTCTGGGTAGAAGTGTACCATACAGTTACTTTAGGATTAAAGTACCTCTCCTTTTAGCATGTTCCAAACCGAGTTATGTTGTGACTTAACCATATTTATTTGTCAAGTGACCAGGAAGGAAAGTGAGGGCAAATCCTGAGGGGGCATGTGTTCTTTTGTGTGGGTGCGATCTGTGAATGATCCTCAAGCAAAAAGAGTGCTAGCCCTTAACTGGGAAAATTGGGCCAATTCTGCAGGCTTAGAGAGTTTACGGAAGTCTGATGGTTCAAGACTTGAATCCATTAACTTAGATGTCCCCATACCGTATGTCAGCTTCCTATTCTTTTCAAATCAGGACCCTGACTGTGGCACAGCTGATCTTCCTTGGTTGGGAGTTTAATCTTCTATAAAACCTGACTGTTCCTTGGTGGGATTCACAACTTTTCCTGCCCTACTGCTGAGGAGACAAGAACCTCTTTATTTGTTACCATGGAAGTACTCACTCTTTTTATATTTAGCTTTTAATTGCCAATGTATCCATCTCAACTTTTTGTTATTTTTTTTAGAGCTTCAGCAGGTGGCAGTAGCTACCCTATTTCACTGTCCTCATGGTTGCTCTTTCTGCATTTTCCCTCAAAATCCAACCAATGCATTCCCTTCCACTGGAAAAGTGTCAACAATTATCCTATTATCTTGTGCCAGGAGATATGTGTGCTGCCTCTAGCATCAGACATGGGGTAGATGGCACATTGCCAGCAGGTGGGCAGGCAATCCGCATGAAAATTCTTATCTTAACGTTTGTTTTATCACTCCTAAGGACAATGGCTGCGGATTGGGTTCCCTGGGAAGCCAACTTTAAGACAGAGAAAGGCATGCAGGAGCTTATTAGAGGATGTTTTTGGTAATGCTCTTAGGGTCAATTCTTGAGGATAGTAAGGAAGCAGGAGGGGAAGTTGCATCCCAATACAGAGCCAATAGAGATCTCTACTGATGCCATAGACTGCTCTGAAGTTGACATGCCCCTTGTCCTAAGTTGTAGTGAGGAGATTGGGCCTTTATGTCTCTGAGTTTATCAGTCTTTGGGTATGGGATGCCCTGGAAGGTGGTCTGATGTTAGGTGAAACACTTTTTTTTTGTTTTTAAGCTAATTCAAATCTCCAGAGAGGGTTGATAGCAGCACTCCCAGCAGCTCAGGAAGCAAGTCTTTCATTCTTGAAAGAGGATCTGGAGATCTGGATGGCCCAGTAGAGCATACTCCACGTCCAAATACATCTAAATTTTTAGGGTGAGCAAGCTTAAGTTGGGATGAAAATGAATGACCTGGGAATGTGAGCAACATAAGTGCAGTGGTTTTTGTCTGTTTTGTGCATTGCTCTTGTCCTAGCACCTAGAACAGTGCCTGACATATAGCATTGGCTCCAGAAATGTTTGTTGAACAAATGCTCGTCACTCTCAGATTCATAGATTCTGACATGGTATGTAGTGTCTTCCTACCTCTTTGGTCAGAACTATTTCTTTTGCACACATGTTTCTATTGCCATAGTCTGTGATTCAAGTTCAATTCTCTGTATATTGAGGTTAGTGAATTAATATTTACCAACTGATGTTAAAATGGAAAACAATGTAATGTTTTTCCTGTTTTTTGAGACTTACATGGATGATTGTGTCATCATAGTGTTATTCCTGACTCAATTTTTTTCTTGAAAATTACTGTGTGTCATATAATTCATTTGTATGCATTTGGCTGAGAGTTTTTTTTTTTTAGAGATGATGATGCAGCCACAATGGGAAAAAAAAATTTAACTTTTGTCTTGGCCTTAAAATATCTGACCTCTTCAGAAATGTTTTGGGCAAGCCAAATACTAACACTCATCTAAAGAGAAGATGAATATGCAAATTGACATAGAACATTGTCAAACTAACAAGAAAATGTAGTAAAAAGTGAAAATCCCTCAGGAAGCAACATTTAAAAAAATCCTTTTACATTTATTATACTTTAAGTTCTGGGATACGTGTGCAGAATGTGCAGATTTGTTACATAGGTATACATGTGCCATGGTGGTTTACTGCACCCATCAACCCGTCATCTAGATTTTAAGCCCTGCATGCATATAGGTATTTGTCCTAATGCTCTCCTTCCCCTTGCCCCCCACCGCCCTGACAGGCCCCCCGTGTGTGATGTTCCCCTCCCTCTGTCTATGTGTTCTCATTGTTCAACTCCCACTCAAGAGTGACACCAGAATTGCAGTCAATTTGTTCCATTAAAAAATCCTACCTATTTATAATCTGGCAAAAAAAATCCTTTTACAAATATGTCATGTAGTGAAAATGACACCTACCTATTCTCCTATTTTTCTTGTTTATACTATGAATAGCTACTGTAGATAGAAGTATACATATGTATGTGAATCTACATTGTATAAAAATAGTTTATGGACTATGAGTTATTGTTATGACAATTTACAGATTTTTAGATTTAAATTCTTTTGGAAAATCACCAGATAATTTCATATTACTCATCTTGTACACTCACATGCACATCCTGTAGAGCTAAATGTCTTAATGGATAGCAAAATTCATAAATATCACAGTATAACTATAGAATACACCTTCCAATAATTTAATAATAGAGTAGCATCTGATATTTATGAAGTGCTGCTTATGTGCCAGACATGGTGCTGAATATCTGTGTCATCATCCTACATGACGCTCACAGGCATCCCATCCTGACTCCAAAACCCATATTCCCAGCTTCTACCTGTGTTCCCTTCCAATGATGCATTTGCTTGTCTTGAGAGCTGTTTTTCACTGCCTCATGTATTAGTCTGTTTTTCTGCTGCTGCTGTGATCTTTATTTCCAAGACTGGGAAGAAAGAGAGGTTTAATTGGACTTACAGTTCCACATGGCTGGGGATGCCTCAGTCATGGTGGGAGGCAAGAGAAAATGAGGAAGAAGCAAAAGTGGAAGCCCCTGATAAACCCATCAGATCTGGTGAGACTTATTAACTGCCATGAGAATAGCAGAGGAGAATAGCAGAGGAAGGACCGGCCCCCATGATTCAATTACCTCCCCCTGGGTCCCTCCCATAACACGTGGGAATTCTGGGAGATACAATTCAAATTGAGATTTGGGTGGGGACACAGCCAAACCATATCACCTCAGCTCACTGAATTCACTGACAGCCACCACTAATAAGATCATGAAAAGAGCCTTCCGAGTCCAATGCTGTGATTCTTTCACATTAGGTACATTAATTTGGGTCATTGTATGAAATTGTGGTCTACCAAGATTCAGCCAAAGAAGCAATAGAAAACATTGAGGGTGATTGCAGGATTTGTAGTTAACTGAATAGCTCTGTCAGCCTATGCTTTTAGATCTCTGTGCATGGTGTTCCTTATGCGCTAACATGGCCTACTATGTCCCACTCCATTGCTGACCTTACAAAAATCTTCTCACTTTCCAAGTTTCAGTTCCAACATTTCTTCCTGTTTGAGTGACACCTTTTGAATTACCAGACTGAGTGAAGCACTCGCCTATGCTCTCAGTTTTCATTCTCTCCTTCCTCCTCCACTCCTTCTCTCTCTATAGTGTGTGTATACATATCACTATGATAGAATTTATAGGAATTATTTGTAGACATAATAGATTATGATACTTAAGGGTATTATCTGGGTCTTTTAATTATTGACTTCCTGGGACTTTGCACCGTATCTTGCAAAATTGTTAGTGAATGAGTAAATGCAAGAATAGACAGAAATTTGGAGACTACTAGGACTGAAAAAGACAGGTGGGCAAAAATAGCCATCTCAGTATAAAAATGTAGGGCATGTGTCTTGGTTATCAGTGCACACAGACTGGATGTACCATAAAAAATACTTTTCTCTCCATCCCAGGAAGGACTCTTGCTCATGCTGGTAGCCTTTTGATACTTGCTACTCTGGATTGGAACAGAAATCCCTTTTCTTAGTAGTCATGTGCACCATGTACAAAATATCAGTTAGTTTCACTCTTTTGTCAGTTAATTCTCCAGTTGCTTTACTGAATTAATGTCACTGTGAACTTATAAATGCCACCTCATTGTAGAATTTGCCGTTTACTGCCAACGAAGGAACAGAAAATTTCTTGCTTGCTTTCTAGTGCCCCTTTAAATACCTTTAGTACATTCTTCCTCTTTTAAATTCTATCAGGTCTTTAAAAGCCATATGTACCTTCTCTTTCTTCTACTATTAAACACATGCCGACCAAGAGAAGGAGCAACTTATTCTAACCTTCCCAGTCCATAATTATGTGTGGATTTCAAAGGAAAATCTGCACAAATCCCTTTTCTAATCTCTTACGTGATTAGATTATTCCTGCTTCACAATATTTTGTTAATAAATAAGGGGCAACAATTGGGAGAAGAGGAAGAACAGGAAGATGGGAAGAATTTTTGAAAAGTGGAAGCGTCTTAACGGGGTCACATTCCCCTCACAATCAATATGGTGTCACAGTTGGATTTCTACCAGGAAATGAGGATATAGGGACTGTGTGCTAATCAATGAGATGGAGAGAAAAGTGTGAAGCTCTTGCTTTTTGTTCCACTGAAGTGTTTTTTCCTTGGCGTCTCTCCTCTGTGTTCTCTGAAAGAAACAATACTGGATCTGAGATTAAGTCTCCCTTTGTCTTCACCTCTAGCAAGCGCACTGTGACATTTGGCAGCTCAGCTCTGATATGCAGGTACCGAAGGGCAGCTTCTGAGGGATTCTTCTGTGATGTGCAGGACAATCTTTCAGGTGATTAACTAGACTCAATAAATGGGTCAGCAAAGAAATGCTAGCCTAAGATTTCCTCAGTTCTGTCACAGGTCAAGAGTCTTCACCAACCACGTTTGAACAACTCATTAGTGGATGCTTTCAACCTCACACTCTCCAATTGGAAGCTCTTGCTCGGTCTAAATTGATACTGAGTTTTCCCTTTCCCTGCATTATTTTAAATGAACATAAAGTAGGATGACCTGTCTTCTTAACCATACCAGCTCCCCTTTATGATAAAAATAATAACTCAGAATCTGGCATTTCCCCCATTTCCAGTAACTGACTTTGGTAGAAACATTGCTATAGTCATAGAAAGTAAATTTCAATAAGGGGTTTACTATAAAAATATGTAAGGATTCAGGGTGAATGTGATAAAGTGGTAGGTGATACTGAGAACTGTTATATGGGAAAGTTTAATATAATTTGGGAATAAAACGTTGTTCTTATTGATCATGTTTCTTCAAGTGAGCTGAGAAGGGGTTTATTCTTAAATTTTATGTAGAAAGCAATGTCTGGACAAATTGTCAAGCTATTCATATTGAGACTGAAGCTATGCAGTTAATGTTTTTTGGCCCTACTTTTTTTTTTTATTTTGATGTCACTCTGATCAATTTCCATGAGCTTGCTGGATCAGAAATCCACTGTTTTCTACAGGGACATTAAGATTTATCAGTCTGATCACCTTAAAATTGAATTTGGGTAAAAAAATATAGCTAAAAAAGACAAGGTTAACATACTGCATACAGACACGGGAATAAACTTGTTTCAGTATTTTTCTTTTTTTTCAATTTTATTTTATTTTATTTTTTTCTTTTATTTTATTATACTTTAAGTTTTAGGGTACATGTGCACAATGTGCAGGTTAGTTACATATGTATACATGTGCCATGCTGGTGTGCTGCACCCATTAACTCGTCATTTAGCATTAGGTGTATCTCCTAATGCTATCCCTCCCCCCTCCCCCAACCCCACAACAGTCCCCAGAGTGTGATGTTCCCTTTCCTGTGTCCATGTGTTCTCATTGTTCAATTCCCACCTATGAGTGACAACATGCAGTGTTTGGTTTTTTGTCCTTGTGATAGTTTACTGAGAATGATGATTTCCAGTTTCATCCATGTCCCTACAAAGGACATGAACTCATCATTTTTTATGGCTGCATAGTATTCCATGGTGTATATGTGCCACATTTTCTTAATCCACTCTATCATTGTTGGACATTTGGGTTGGTTCCAAGTCTGTGCTATTGTGAATAGTGCCGCAATAAACATACGTGTGCATGTGTCTTTATAGCAGCATGATTTATAGTCCTTTGGGTATATACCCAGTAATGGGATGGCTGGGTCAAATGGTATTTCTAGTTCTAGATCCCTGAGGAATCGCCACACTGACTTCCACAATGGTTGAACTAGTTTACAGTCCCACCAACAGTGTCAAAGTGTTCCTATTTCTCCACATCCTCTTCAGCACCTGTTGTTTCCTGACTTTTTAATGATTGCCATTCTAACTGGTGTGAGATGGTATCTCATTGTGGTTTTGATTTGCATTTCTCTGATGGCCAGTGATGGTGAGCATTTGTTCATGTGTTTTTTGGCTGCATAAATGTCTTTTGAGAAGTGTCTGTTCATGTCCTTTGCCCACTTTTTGATGGGGTTGTTTGTTTTTTCTTGTAAATTTGTTTGAGTTCATTGTAGATTCTGGATATTAGCCCTTTGTCAGATGAGTAGGTTGGGAAAATTTTCTCCCATTCTGTAGGTTGCCTGTTCACTCTGATGGTAGTTTCTTTTGCTGTGCAGAAGCTCTTTAGTTTAGTTAGATCCCATTTGTCAATTTTGGCTTTTGTTGCCATTGCTTTTGGTGTTTTAGACATGAAGTCCTTGCCCATGCCTATGTCCTGAATGGTATTGCCTAGGTTTTCTTCTAGGGTTTTTATGGCTTTAAGTCTAACATTTAAGTCTTTAATCCATCTTGAATTAATTTTTGTATAAGGTGTAAGGAAGGGTTCCAGTTTCAGCTTTCTACATATGGCTAGCCAGTTTTCCCAGCACCATTTATTAAATAGGGAATCCTTTCCCCATTGCTTGTTTTTCTCAGGTTTGTCAAAGATTGGATAGTTGTAGATATGTGGCATGATTTCTGAGGGCTCTGTTCTGTTCCATTGATCTATATCTCTGTTTTGGTACCAGTACCATGCTGTTTTGGTTACTGTAGCCTTGTAATATAGTTTGAAGTCAGGTAGCGTGATGCCTCCAGCTTTGTTCTTAAATTCTTTTAAAAATTGGGATTTTAGGCTGGGTGTGTGGCTCACAGCTGTAATCCCAGCACTTTGGGAGGATGAAGCAGGAGGATCACTTGAGGGCAGGAGTTTGAGACCCACTTGGTGAACATGGTGAAACCCCGTCTCTACTTAAAAAAAAAACAAAAATTAACCAGGTGCCGTGGCACGCACCTGTAGTCCCAGCTACTCAGGAGGCTGAGGCAGGATAATTGCTTGAGCCTGGGAGATGGAAGTTGCAGTGAACTGAGATTGTGCCACTGCATTCCAGCCTGGATGACACAGCAAGATCCTGTCAAAAAAAAAAGTTGGGATTTTATGAAGAGAACATCAGCTCTATTTCAATTGAGATTGAAAGAGACCTTGGGATGATCAATGTTTATTTTCCTTAACAGGACTAAGTACACTGACAAAACACATTATAAATAATAGCTACAATGATACGATCCTTTCTCATTAACATGAGAGAAACCCTTCACTAGAGGAAATATCGCCATCCTGGTTTTCTGAGTTTGCCCTCTCTTGTCATGATTGCGTGTGCCTGTCGCCCATTTTCTCCTGTTTGCCTTCTGGTTTGAGGTAGCTGACGATCAGCAGGTCCCCTGTTTGAATCAGGGCAGGCGTACCAACTCCAGAGCATGATCAGTTTTCCTGTCTGTAGTTGTTCATGGTTTAAACTCTAAATTCAGTTGTTACCAATTGTGTGTCAGTATTGGGATATAAAGCTGGGGATTTCAAAGCACTTCCTTTCTGATTCTCTAAAATGCTTACTATGGCTACTGCTTACAAAATTTCCATGCTGCAGAGGTGGACAGGCTTTATAAGTCTCCATTGTTTTTGGAGGAAGTGGGGATGACTTTTCTCCAGAGTACATCTAGAGCAGTTTCTCCCACTGCTGAATGTAGTTTGTTTTCCTCTATCAGTTTGCCTAACTAATATCAGCAGTTAAAATGACCCATTTGCTACTTCTTGGGTTTTGCTCTTTACCAGTTTGTGTATCTTATGTTTCTGATTCACAAATTCACATGAAACAGACCTCCTAAGAGGCATGTGGTAGGAAATAATATGGAGATGATTCTACAGACTGCTCCACACTGACAACTAGAGCAGGTTCCAGGAGTCACTTAACCATTAGTTACTATGAAGTCATTGAAACCTCAGAAAATTGAGTTTATTCTGATTATCTGATTATAGGTAGTTGGCAGTAAGGGGTATTATGGAAATACAAGAATATACAGGCATGCACAATTTGTTGAGTATTTATATGTATCAGATATTGCTCTGCTTTATATATTTTAAAATAATTATCTGCTTACTTCCATTGAAATGATAATGGAATATTCATTACAGTGCACCCTTATACTTTCAAAGTGTTCTCCTGTGTGAAGTAGATATTATTACCATTCTTTTATAAGCAAAAATACAGGCACAGAGAAGTCAAGTAATTCATCTAAGGTGCTACATAATTACTAAAAGATAAATCCAGAATTGGATCCTAGGCAGTCAAGTTCAAGTCATGTCTTAACGACCACACTTATCAGCTATCCCATTTAATTTGGGAAATCCAATTATGGAGGCATCAGCACCTTCCCCAATATCAGCAATTGAGGCAAAAACTTACATATGATACCTGATGGCATTTTTCTTTCTAACCAGTTCATATTATGTTTTGCACTGCTCCTTTTACATGCTCTTCCTCCTCTTTCAAGTCCTTAGAAAGGATTTAATGTATTTAGAAGAAATGACACAAACAAATGAAAAAACATTCCATGCTCTTGAATAAGAAATCTCAATATCATTAAAATGGCCTTACTGCCCAAAGCAATTTACAGATTCAATGCTATTCCCATTAAACTACCATTGACATTCTTCACAGAACTAGAGAAAACTATTTTAAAATTTATATGGTACCAAAAAGGAGCCCATATAGTCAATGCAATCCTAAGCAAAAAGAACAAAGCTGGAGGCATCATGCTACCCAACTTCAAACTATACTGCAGGGCTACAGTAACCAAAACAGCATGGTACTGGTACAAAAACAGACACATTGACCAATGAAACAGAATAGAGAACCCAGAAATAAGGCCACACACCTACAACCATCTGATCTTCAACAAACCTGACAGAAAAAAGTAATGGGGAAAGGATTCCCTATTCAATAAATAGTGCTGGGAGAACTGGCTGGCCATATGCAAAAAGTTGAAGCTGGACCCCTTCCTTATATCATATACAAAAGTTAACTTAAGATGGGTTAAAGACTTAAAACTATGAAAACCCTGGAAGGCGACCTAGACAATACCCTTCAGGGCATAGGCACAAATAAAGATTTTATGACAAAAGATGCCAAGAGCAAATGCTACAAAAGCAAAAGTTGACAAATGGAATCTAATTAAACTAAAGAGCTGCTGCACAGCAAAAGAAACTATCAACAGAGTAAACAACCTACAGAATGGGAGAAAAATTTTGCAAACTATACACCTGATAAAGGTCTAATATCCAGCATCTATAAGGAACTTAAATTTACAGGAAAAAACAACCCCATTAATAAGTGGGCAAAGGACACTTTGAAGAACAGACATTTCTCAAGACATACATGCAGCCAACAATCACCTGAAAAAAAAAACTCAACATCACTGATCATTAGAGAAATGCAAATCAAAACTACAATGAAATATAATTTTACAACAGTCAGGATGACTACTAAAAAGCCAAAAAAATAACAAATGCTGGTGAGGTTGTGGAGAAAAATACTTTTACACTTTTGGAGGGAGTGTAAATTGGTTCAACCATTGTGGAAGACAGGGTGGCAATTCCTCAAAGACCTAAAGATAGAAATACCATTTGACCCAGAAATCCCATTACTGGATATATACCCAAAGGAATATAAATCATTCGATTATAAAGACACATGTATGTGTATGTTTATTGCAGCATGATTCACAATAGGAAAGACATGGAATTAACCTAAATGCCCATCAATGATAGACTGGATAAAGAAAACATGGGACATATACACCATGGAATACTCTGCAGCCATAAAATGAGATCATGTTCTTTCCAGGAACATAGATGGAGCTGGAGGCCATCGTATTAGTCCATTCTCTTGCTGCTATAAAGAACTGCCCAAGACTGGGTAATTTATAAAGGAAGAGGTTTAATTGACTTACAGTTCCACATGGCTAGGGAGACCTCCCATGTGGGGAGGAAACTTACGATCATAGCAGAAGGGGAAGCAAACATGTTCTTCACATTGCAGTAGGAAGGAGAATGAGAGCTAAGCAAAGAAGGAAGCCCTTTATAAAACCATCAGATCTTGTGAGAATTTACTATCATGAGAATAGCATGGGGGAACCACCCACATGATTCAGTTACCTCCCACCGAGTCCCTCCCATGACACATGGGGATTATGGGAACTATAAGATGAGACTTGGGTGAGGACACAGCCAAACCGTATCAGCCATTATCCTTAGCAATCTAACACAGGAACAGGAAACCAAATACTGCATGTTCTCACTTATAAGTGGGAGCTAAATGATGAGAACACATGGACACAAAGAGGGGACGAACACACACTGGGGCCTGTCAGAGCATGAAGGGTGAGAGGAGGGAGAGGATCAGAAAAAATAATGGAGAGTATGCTTAATACCTGGGTGATGAAATAATCTGTACAACAAACCCCCATGACACATGGTTGCCTATGTTGACAAACCTGCACATCCTGCATATGTACCCCTGAATTTAAAAGTTAAAGGACTATAATGAGAAAAAAATCAATGTCCCTGTCCTAATCTGATACCACTGGGTCCCTGGATATGACAGAAACAAAGACAAAAGGCTAGGGATCATGAGGAAAGGGTGAAGATAACCCCTACTTCATAGATTTCTCTAGGACCAGCTCCTGTGTACCACATTCATCGATTTCTAATGAAAATGAAAGAAAAATTACTAGAACGTGCATCTTCCTTGGGTAGCTAATAATCATTTTGACACATCACAAGGTAAACTCTTTTTTTGGAAGATGCAAAGATATTTTAGACAATATCTCTGCCCTCAACTTCTCATTGCCCTGCTCTCTGTCCTCTCATGACATAGATTTAAATTCAGCACGGGCAGGAGTCTCATCTCAATCATCTTTTTATCTCCTTCCCTAGATTAGGGTGCAGAAGGTTCACAATAAATGCTTGTGAAATACATGCTTGATGGCCCCGTGGTTCAGCTCTGGTATGAGTAAGTTGGAGTCTGGGTTCCTGGAGATGTCCCAAAGCACCAAATGCCTCAAGCCCAGCTGCTGTCATCTTGTTAGCAAGGATGAATATGCAACAGCAGGTGGCAGCAAACCTTTGCATTTGCTCTTCTCTTGGTAGCAATAAGTGTCTCAGCCAAATTGTGTTATGGCTCACAGGTGTCCTGCTTTTTCCACTTGGTGCCTTTTGGATCTAGTTTGCTGAGAAATGCAGCTCCACGAACAATATCCTCAGCACCTCTTTCAGAATAAACTAGATTTCAGTAGAAGGAGTTCAATTTGAATTAAAGTGAGCCAACCTGCCTTGCCAGCTGTTGCCCTTGCAGACTCTGTGTGCCAGTAACGGCAGCCACCTGGGGAGATGCCCTTCCTGGGAAAGCGCTGCTGCTGCAGTTGTGCCCTTTGCCTCAGCAGTCCATTAAAAACTGTTTTGCAGAGAAGGCGACTGGGAGGTATGACAGGTTGATTATACATTGAGGTGGACTAGGATAGCCTATCTTATGTCTGATAGGCCAACACATTTAGCAATAGTGTCCCCTTACACTCTCAAAGTGTTCTTGCTTGGGTGGAGGCTAAGTTGTATGGTCATGAGTGGCTCATGTTTCCATCTGGGTCCTCAGCTGTGTAAGAAGGGAATTGAAAGGAATCTGAAGCAATTGCCTTGATGAGTATCTGAGATTTGAGAGGTGAGAGGTAGAAGGAGGAAGTGGGATTCATGGAGGAGAACTTTGGGGCTTGGGTAAACTCTTTTTCTTCCCTTGTCTTCTGAAGCTGGATGGCTTTGTGGCCAAGTTGCAAAGGAAGTGGTACATTTATCCAGTCCTCCAACAGGCTCCACAGACTTTCTTGTCCTTCTGAAGACATCCTAGGTATCATACTTCACATCTACAGGAATGTGCTTTCTAATGGGCAGCATTTGGCCACTAGGTAGCTTTTAGGCAAGGGCCCTGCTGAACCTAATTAGAACACACAGAAAATTCCCATGGTAAATTGACATTAGACAGTGAAGGTGGGCAGCAGTGTGTGTGTGGGTGGGGGTGGTCGGGGGCAGGGTCATAGGGATGAGGATCTAGTTTTGGCAGGAACTTGAGCTAGCTTCAGGACCCCAACAAAACCCAGTTGTACGTGGTGGGTGATGCTCTAAGAGGTGGTGTAGCATAGTGGGTAATATGGTCCACTTCGAAGGTAGAAAAGAGTAAGCTGGCTTCAGACTCTGCCATTTCTTCATTGCATGAACATGGGTAAACACTCAATTCCTCAGGGTCCTCATTTCTAAAATGGGTCTAGTAACGCCCACACTCACAGTACATACTCTACACATGGTAAATCATGAATAAATTGTTATAGATGATTTCATAGGAAAACTGAAATAATCTGTGGTTATTTTTCTGCATATGTAAAATTAAGGGTCTTTATACTTACTTATTTTAGTTTTTGATGAAGACACATTACAGTTATTTTCATAATTAATGTTAAAGAGAAATAGTTCTAAACCTAGGAATTAAAACTTGGACATTGGCCTTGGCTCTGGCATTAACTAATTATATCACCTTTTACAGGTTGCTTAACTTCTGCAGGCTTTACTCCTTTATGCAGGTGAGAAGTATAGGGCCTGATGCTTGCTTCTGTGCCTTTGACACTAACAGCCTTAGATTTCCCAAGATTTGCCTTTACACAGTGTAATGCAGTGCTCTATCCCCTACATTGGCTGGCTGGTTGAGTCTATTAGAGGCTGAGGTTTGAAAGGCTGGGGTCATAGGCTTGATTCCACAATGGCCTAGTTAGTTGTGTTTCAAGGTTGTTTCAAGTCATCTCTCTGACCTCAGCCATATGTTCTGTGAGCACAAAGAAGGACACTTTCACAAATATGGGGTATTCAACCATGCCATCATGACTACTACAAGGGGACAAAAAGATGAAGGGGTCACCTACGCTGAAGGTCAATCAAATTGCCCAGGTGTGAAAAGAACAGTATCATCTTCCAGGGATCCTTTACCATGGTGGTCACCTCCTGCTAATTACTGCCTGTTTTATAACAATTTGCTAAAATAAGTCATATGGAAATTTGATTAAATTTTAGGATCTTAAATTGCCTTAAAATAATTCTTTCATTAATGGCAAGGTACTTGTTGGAAGAAACAAAACACATCAGAAACAAGATTTATGACCACTTAAGAAATCTGTTAAAATTTTTTTTTTTAATGGACTCCAGCTCTTGGTGCTATTTGCATGCTATTGGAATGCAGAGATGGTGAATCAGAGCCTAAATCCGGGCTCCGAGCAGATCGAGGTGGGAGAGCTTTTAACTAGAATTAGAACCTTCTCTTCTAAGAGACTTTCTGCAGGCAGGAAGTCATTTGCCCAGGGTATTGGTTCTCCTGCTGTGGTGTTGGTGAGAGTCCTTTAGGGCTCTGCAAGAGGGACCTTAACTTGTGTAGTTAATGAGCCAAAGGCCTTCTGCCTGACAATGTTTTCTGAAGATCTATCTTCCTCTGAATGCAGCAGTTTTCCTCTCTTTAATAAGGATGATCTGATTTACAAAACAACAAAAAAACAGTAAATCAAGACCAAAAGGTAAGACACTCTGCCCTCAGGATTAATGAACCCAAAGGCTGGTGTCCATACAGATCCTTCTGATCCTAATATCCTACAGTAGAAGATAGAGCAGCCTCCATGTTTGGGACAATATTTTTATTATGTGTTAACATCAAATCTGTAGAAGCTCCAAGCTCTGAAAAGATTATACCCACTCCTTGTCATGTAATTTAAAATAATAGAAGAATTTTCTAAACCAAAAAGTTAAAAGTTAAACAAGATAAACAGTTATGACTTTCTGATTATTTTGATAATTTTTTTGTAATGCCACATATCAAATTACTTAAATAATTACTTTCATTATTGTCCTCTTCCCCTTTTGTGCCCCTGCATTGCTGGTACAGTGCTGGTGGTTGTTTTCACCTGTTCCTTGTGTGACAGCACTTCCCACCCCCAGAGAGGTATTTTTTCAAATGTGGTTCTGGGGGTCCCTTGAGTTAGATCATGTGCAGGGCATAGTAAATGAACATTCCAGGGGACCTCAGGTTCATTTCAGATCGAACTCATCAGAATCTCTGGAGTTGAAGTTAGCTGATTAATGAGCTCCCCAGGTGATGGATGTACAAAAATAAAGCTTATGAAGCACACTTAGAATGTTCTAGTGCAGATACTCTATGGCTCTTATAATCACTGAGGAGCATCTTCAAAAACAGGACCACTCATAGTTTCTGCTGATTCATATGTACTGGGAGAGACCTCTGGGATGTCTAGATGAGAAAAGCTCCATTGCAATTTTATTGAGAATCATACACTAGACCAGTAGAGTTCAACAAAAACATAATGTCAATCGCACCTATATTGTACAGTTTTCTGGTAAATACATTTAAAAAGTGAAGTGCAACAAGTAAAATTACTTTTTAAAATATTTTAACTTTAAACCAATATAACATCATTTCTCATATAATCAATATAAAATCATGGAGATGCATTACATTCTTTTTTCATATTAGGTCTTTGAAACTAGTGCGTAGTTTACAGTTGCAGCACATTTCAGGTTGAGGTAGCTGCGTTTCAAGTGCTCAGTAGCCACATGTGAGTGGTTACTGAATTGCATAGCGTATCCCTAGACAGTCTTTCACCTAATCTGGAAGTGCTGGAACTGGGGTGTTTCAAAAAAGCTATTTTATCTGTGATCTCAGTCACCTTTGATTCCTAAATATACTTACATAATTAAAAAAAACTTACAATCCTTTTCTTTTCCTTTTCCATTGCTCCCGTCTTAGTTTAGGCTGTGCTTACCCTACACCATCACTTCATTCTATGCAACCTGAGAACTTCCCCCTACCTCTACGTTGTCTTCAATTCATCTTGACTTATAAATTTTCCATTGTTCTTACAACATAATTTTCATCATAACACACTCTTCTGGACCTTAACATTTTTAGGCTATAAACACAGAATTGCAAGTTGGAAAGAAGTTTAACACTTGTTAATGTTAACTATTATTGATATAATCTACTTTTACAAAGTAGATTCACATATTGCATGTACTTTGTCCAATCACCCTCTGATGCAGTTACTATTATGCTCATTTTACAGATGATAGAAGGCTTATAATGACAACCCTAGGATAACAAAGGCAGTAAAGAACAGAGCTGGTCTTAAATTCAGGTGTTTGATGCCACATTCTAAGCTCCTCTGTTGCATTGCCTAATTCTGCATTCCACAACATAGAGCGGAAAACCTTTGATTGTTCATCCCTAACAGATCGGCTGTTGACAAACTTCTAGTAATGGAGGGTCACCACATTTAGAAGCGGCCAATTTCTTTGTTGAAAGCTGATTTTTAGAGAGCTATGTGTCATTCAAAGTTCCAACCTTGCAGCTGGATTCTCAACATCCTCCATAATCTGGCACTAATCTTCTTTATCAACATTCCCACTTCTCTCCAACCATAAGGTATATTCCACATTGTGATCCACATTCTGTCATTTCCCTGGCCATCCCATTCACATTGACTGTCTTCTTACTTCCTCTTAGTGCAGAATGGCATCCATCCTCCAAAGGCCAGCTGTGAGCCCTCCCTGTTTGCAGGAGAGCCTCCTTCTCTTGAATCTGGTACCATGCTACCATCTCCCTGTCACTGCTTACAGAAGGTCTTGGATTCATTTTATTTTTATTCCATTCTTGTAGTAGAGGACTAAATTCTTGCAAGTGTTGATGATAGAAATCCCCTTTGATAAGGTTTGGCTCTGTCACTCCACCCAAATCTCATCCTGAATTGTGGGAGGGACCTGGGGAGAGATAATTTGAACCACGGGGGCAGTTTCCCCATTACTGTTCTCATGGTAGTGAATAAGTCTCATGAGATCTAATGGTTGTATCAGGGGTTTCTGCTTTTGCATCTTCTTCATTTTTTCTTGCTGCTGCCATGTAAGAAGTGCCTTTCACCTCCCACGTGATTCTGAGGCCTCCCCAGCCATGTGAAACTGTAAATCCAATTGAAATTCTTTTTCTTCCCAGTCTCGGGTATGTCTTTATCAGCAGCATGAAAATGGACTAATAAACCCTTCAAGTACACCTAGAGACTGAGACCTTGGATAAAATCTTCACGAGCTAGTGATATCCCTTTACTGCCAGATATTCTCATGGTGTCTACATTTGTCCTTGAAAGCCTACTCAAAATTTCTTAAATCACTGTTCTGAAGATGAACAGTTGGTTTCCATGAGCCTGAAGGGAGTTGTGAATGGTGAAGGTGTCTGAGGAGACTGGGACCTGAGTTAGCTTTGGGTGTTACATAACTAACTGCACAGATCAGTCAATGTACACCATGACAAGTGTGTGACACAATGCAGCCTGCTGAATGGCTGTCACAGGGCCACCAAACTGGGTTTGGTGAGATCAGTGAGCTCCAGGAATGGTTCTCTGGAGGAAATTGTCCAGCGCAGCAGTTAGAAACGGTTTGCCCTGGCTCTTCAGGAAAAGTGCAGAAACCATGAGGTTTATGATACCTGAGCAGACAACTGGTTCACTCAACACACAGTGCCTCTGGAGATAGTCAAGGAGAGTGGGGATCACGAAAAGAGAAGTTCCAAAGTGGGGAAAATCCCCAAAACATTGAGAGGCCATTTTTTTGTAGCTATTTTATCTTCCACTGCATGTAATTACACTATATTAAACTAATAACCCTTTACTCTGCACTGACCATAAGAGGGCATTATGGGACATACCAAAAAAGAATGTTATGTACTTGCCCTCACCCCAGGAGACTTATGGAATAAATAGTTGCACACACAGAGAAATCTGAACACTGCTGGAGGGATGGCATGAGGAGGGAAGTGGACAGCCAGTGGTGTTTGGAACAGTTCAGAGTAAGGTGGTTGGTCAGGAATTTGTAGATGTGGAAACTGAATTTTAGATATATTCATGGAGGATTTATTTACCTTCTAAGTGACTCATTTGAGCTTTGAAGGAGAATCTTTAAGAGAAGGTGACAGGAATGGCAAGTTTAGTGGGCTTACTCTGAGGATAATGGAAGAAAAAGCATTAATGCTATGGCTTGAACGCCCTTTACTTGGCTTGTCTGCCTTATGGAGCAAGAGTAAAGGGGGACTGTAGACTCCTCCTGGGGTCTTTGTCTAAATCACAAATGCTGGAGCTCATTCTTCAAGGTGAAGAAATCTACCCTCTCTGGAAGTCTCCTTTAAGATAGAGTGTTATTACATCTCATGATACCATAGGGCACAATTCCATCTACTGGCATTCTACAATTGCTCTTCCTATTGATAGCCTTCATCCATTCCATTATTTTAAATCTTTACTTCAATCTACTGCTCAATTCTTAAGAGCTCCTGAAAGATGGCACCCTGTGGGTGATTGGGGTGCAGAATCTTGAATGGTGGGGGAAAGGCAAGGCATTGTTGGTGCCTTGTATCCACAAATCCCCTACCTCACAAACTCACAAACTTCAAGGTTTCTTAGGTTTCTAGGGAGCAGCACTTGTATCTCCAACTTGACAGATCATTGGTGGCCCTAGATAAACTTTGTGAACTAGAAACTACTCCTCGTGTATGACCTATTCTGAAAATCCTAAGCCAGAGGTCATCCCCTTTACCTTAGCCTATCAGATGCCCCTCTGGAAAAAACATGATTGCTCCTCTAAACTCCATTACACTTTATGAGGAATCACTGTTGTGAGCAAGACCACTTAGATTCTCATGGTGATACTTACCTTATTTCCTCTTAGTCCATGCTGGTCACACCTGGAAGGCAAGTTCTCCTCTAATTTTTTTTCTCCCTTGTAGTGCCTGGCACAAGTTCTTTGCATGCGGGGGGAGTTGCAGTGAAGTTGCAAGGGCCATGGTAAAGTGGTTAGGAGATGAGTTTTAATCTTGTCTCTGGTACCACACCTCAGGTAGAAATATACTATGTATCAATCTGTGCATTTGCATCTGTATCTCTCTACTAGTGAAATGAGTTGCTACTATTCATTTCAGCTGTGAAATTCTGTAACTCTGTGGCTACTTTCATACCGTTCAAATGCGATGTTATATGCTGGTAACATGAAAATAATGGATGAGCAGTTCAACTATATTAAAAATAAACGTGGTTAAGAGTGCTCACCTTAAGTGTAGGATTTGAAAGTGTAGGCTCTAAAGTCAGACTGGGTTCGGAACCTGGTATCATTACTGACTTGGTGTGTAGCTTCTCTATTTCTCAGTCTATTTAACCTTTCTCATCCAGAAAATAGTGATAATAATGCTGTTTATCTCATAGAGTTGTCGTGAGAATTAAGTGAGTTAATTTGGGTACAGTGTTTTTAACAGTCAGGCACATGGTGTGTCCAACAAATGTTGGCTATTAGAATTGTGATGGTTTCTCCTATAGTTCGAGATTTTAGTCTCTGCAAAGTAAAAGACTTAGAGGGGGGAAGCTGCCCCTTTCAGATGTGGTGTGGCATTTATTTCCAAGTGCACGTGTGAGTCTTCTGTCTTGGTAACTCTCCAGTGTGGTCATTAGTGTTTTCCAGTTGGTTAGTGTGTCTCTTCTCTTCCAATAGCAAGATAGGTGTTTCAAATTCCTAGGGCTTCTATCAGCACACATGAGGGGGCTTCTGTCCCTTGGTGAGCACTGGCTTGTTTATAAGCCTACAAACAGCACTGTGTGCTCAATATTCTGTCTGCACCTCTAGATTTACCTCCATTCTTCACCCTGATTTTTGCCCCCAGCAGGCTGACCTCTAAGGATCCCCTGGCTCCTGTGCCTTCTATATTCTGGTTGGAGTCAAAGGGAGTTGCAGGGAGGCAATCAGAGAGCAGGAGGAGAGAGATGCTATGGGATTATCTCCTCCACCCCAACACATTCCTTTTCTTCTGGGCTGCAGTCTGGCAGCGGCTGCATTCCTCTACTAAATGCCACAACTCCTTTCAAGTGGCTCCTGTCTGACAACTTCCTGCTGGGTTCCAGTGGCTGCTCTTTCTCTTGCCCCTTCAGATCTGAAGGACTCCTCTGTTTTCTAGTTCTAGGTACTGCCACTTACCTGTTCCCTTATCTCTTGCCACACCTCGGTAGTCCCTTTATTGAAAGTTCTTCAGCTATCCTCTTTGAGCACACTGTTTCCTAGCTGGTACATATTGACCTTGAGAAGGTTGATGCTTCCTCACCTACTTACTGTTGGGAAGAAAATGGAATATTTTAACTGCTCCTGCAATGTCAATACAGAATCGGCCCTTTCAAAGTCCAGTGCCATAGGATATGAAGAGCATTGCTAGAACAGCGGGACATGAATGTTCTACGTGGCTAAATACAATGATCTCCAGTATAAAAACCCAAATGGTCAAAGATGAACTCAAAGGATTGGAGTGAACACAGGTTTTATTATTACTCTTAGAACACTCTGGGTTATAAAAGAACTTACATTCTTTAACATAATTCTGTTGTTTTGATACTAACGTTTAGTGCCCATTGGATGGCAGTGCCAGGAATAAAATGTCTGAATTAAGCTAGTGGGGGTGATTGAGTTTATGGCCAGGAGCTACATTGGAGAGAGAGCCATGTCAGTAGCCTAACACTGGCAAGACAGTGACCCAAGTACTCTAGACTTGGATGTTTTTGATAGGTTCTTTGGAAAAACCTCTTCTAGGTCGTTAAGAAAGTTTGAAAGGCTTTAGTGGTTTAATTAGATAAAATGTAGCAGAAGGCAATATAACATAGGCACCCATAGAAAGGAGGGCAATGGTTTATAAGAGCTTGACTCTGGCTCACATCTGAGAGACAAGAAAACATAAATCCTTCAGTCAGATCCTTTTATGGGACCCACTTTCCTCATAGATTAGTTTATGTAAAAACTCCAGTAAAGAATAGCACAGAGACCTCTGTTTGTATGTTTGATGATTTTACTGTTAGGGTTTTATTACTTGGTTCATGTGCCCGAGGAAGTGAACGGGTCCATGAAGGATATATTTGTGAGGTTAAAGCCACATGTAGTTTATTTAACTTTTGCAGTTTTCCAATTTGGGTCTATATTTCAACCCCGAATTTTCTAATTTGGGGTCTACATTTCAATCAAAAAGATTAAATTTCTTTTCCTCTGTGTTTGTGGATCTCTCTGGGCGCCACCCTTAAAATTAGCATCATGGTTCCCATGGCAACTAACGTACCTGGAAGATGGCAAGAAAGGAAAAGGACTAAATAAAATAGAATGAAGCTGCATCTGAAAAACTGGAATTAATTATGAACTTGAACAAAGGGTTATACTGCAAGTGGTTGGGGAGATGAGTATTAAGCATATAAGGTCTTTGCTTTAAGACCTCTGTAATTCACTTACCATTTCATTACTTTGTTTATTCAGCAGCCCCCAAATCACTGCTAGTTTTCTTTTCCCTCTCACCTTCAATAGAGAACATCATTGGGGTCAGGACTGTGCATAGTTCAGGACGAGTTTACCTCTACAGGGTGCATTTTGTAAGATGTCCCCAAAGTCATATGGACCCTTGGTTATTGTCTTCGTCTGCACAGACTGCTGTAACAGCATTCCATTGACTGAGTGGCTTAAACAGCAGAAACTGATTTCTCTCAATTATGGAGGCTGGGAAATTAAGGAGCAAGGTGCTGGCTGATTTGTTTCCTGGTGAGGGCCCTCTTCCTGGCTTGTTGATGGCCGCCTTCTTGCTGTGTCTTCTCATGGTGGAGCAACAGATCTCCTGTCTCCTCTTATTTTTATAAGTATATGAATTCTATCACGCAGGATCTACCCTCATGACCTAATCTAATCCTAATTACTTTCCAAAGGTCCTGTCTCCAAATACCACCATAATGGGGATTAAGACTTCAACCTATGGAGGGACACAAATGTTCAGTCCATTGCATTCTGTTCCTAGACCTCTATAATTTATGTCCTTCTCATTTGCAAAATACATTTGTTCCATTCAAACAGCCCAAAAGTCTTAATTCATTCCAGCATTAATTCTAAAATCCAGAGTCTTATCTAAATATCATCTAAATCATATATGGAAGAGACTTGAGGTATGATTAATTCTGAGGCAAAATTCCTCTCCATCCTCTGAAATCAGACAAATTATGTGTTTTCAAAATGCAGTGGTTGGACAGGCATGAGATAGACATTTCCATTCCAAATGGGAGGAATACAGAGGAAGAAAGGGGTGACAGGTCTGAAGCAAGTCCTAAATCTAGCAAGGCAAACTCCATGAGGTTTTAAAGCTTTAGAATAAAATATTTGGTCCAGTTCTCTGCCCTTTAGACCCACTGGGGATGAAAATGGACTCTCTCCTTGAATGAATTTGAATCAGGCTCCTCTGAGTCTTCTTTCTGACTAAGCCCTGGCTTTGGGCCCTGGCCTTGGGCCACTTAGTTCAGTTTAACTAAGAACCCTGATGAGTCAGTCCAGTGCAAATCTCTCACCTTTGCTATCTTACCACTTTTCCCTGACTTCAGTAAGAGTCCTGTTAGGTAGCTTAGCCAGAATCCCCCCCATAGCCTTGATGTTTCCTCTTAGAAATCCACCGACATCCCCACCATCAAACCTGCTCCTTGGCTATAAATCCCTACTTGTTCTTGTTGTATACAGAATTGAGCCTGATCTCTCTCCCTGTCAAGCCCCCGATCTCTCTCTACTGTCAAGCCCCATAGCAGTGATCTCTTTTGAATAGAGTCTTTAACAAGTCATTAACAGGTGTCTAATTTTTTTTTCTTTAACAGTTATGGCTTCCACAACTCAGGATCAGATTCATTGGTGAGTCTAGATTATGAGCTAGTGCTCTGAATGGCGGTCCACTGATGCATGGTAGGGGCAGTTTCATTCTTATAATTAAAGGTACTTCCTGGGCTGAAAGTTCTTCCTGGCTCCTTATTTTGAGTGGGGTTCACTCCCTGACTTTTGGACTGAAAATTTTTGTCCTGGATCCTTGTGTGGCTTCTCTGTTCTATTTGATCCGACTTCTTTCATGGGAACTTCTCAGTTACCAAAACTTCCCTTCTTGAACTCGGTGTCAAATTTGGAACTTTGATAGCATCTTTGGGAAACATCTCCCCAAACTGGCTCCTCTAAGACCTTTCCCTTCCCATCACCTTCACTCCTCCTTTCTCCTTTTACCATGTTTTGTCTTCCCTTCAGCTCCTTTGTGTCCTTGGATAGTGTTCTTTCAAGCCCCTATATCCTCCACCCCTCTGCTTGCTTCTGCCAGGGCTTTCCCTTCCCAGTTCAGCTTCTCAGCTCCCTGTAGTCCCTGAAATTTTAGCCCCCTGACCCACTGTGGGACTCTCAAGGAACTCAGACCCCCAAAAGCAACTACCTGAGGCTGAAAAGAAAAAAAGCTAATTAGAAACAGATGGATAAGGCTTTGAATACACCCAGACAGCTTTGATGTCCCCTCAGTGTCTTGTCTAAAATGTAGTTTATTACCTCGATAAGATTACAGATCATAGCAAAAGGAAATCTTAAAAGTCTTCATAAATATTGGTAAAAGCACTCACCCTCATACTAAGCAGGTAACCTTAAGTTGTTTCATCTGTTACAAACACAATTTGGATAAAAGTATAAAATGGAGCAAAAAGTGAAAAACAACTCATGTAAACTGTTGAGTTTTTGTTTTTATGTCTGACTCAGGGCTAAAATTTTGAAATAAAACCACAGATCTCAATTTGCATCTTGTCTCTGTGTGTATATGTGTGTATATTATCATGTATATTTCCCTGCTTCTACATACTATTACCAAGTTTATAAAATCCCTTAAAGTAGTTCTGCTCTAATTGGCTTAGAAAGAAATAAGTGCTCATATGACTTGTCTTCCCAAACTCCCAGAAATGCAGCAACCAACTAAAATGTATTTCAAATTCACATGGGTTGGGTAAATATTTCCTAAAAAAGGGGCTAGTTTAATAGTATTGGTTTAATATAAACAGCTGTATATTCTGAGTTAGCATTAAATATAATATGAACATATATTATTATTTACTTGGGTTTACTAGTCATATGAGGTTAAAAATTACTTAGCAGGGAAATAACTGGAGATGATAGCCAGCCCTGTTCAATGTTATGTGTCTATCTAAAAATACATTTCCAAAAATCTTTTTGGTGACTCAAATCCTTTAGTTATGCTAAGTTAGATATTAAGAGTCTATATCGTTTCTAAACAAATGTACTTTCGAAACAAAAGTACTAAAACATACTTTGCTAAGTACAAGTTTACGTTTGTCTTCTTATTTACATATGATATACACAGAGAGAGACTAATTATATTTGAGCTTGTTAATAAACACGTTCTTTTTGCCACCTTGAGAATTTGTATTATGAAACAGCATATGCCTATAAAATGGTGAGGTGGTATATTCATAAAATTTGCTAGTCTTTCAGAGGACACTGTCGTGTGACAGGTAGTTTACAATCATCTACTCCTAGTTTCTCTATTTAAAAGTTTACTAATGGTTTAAAATTATAATCCAAATATGGGAATAAGGCTACTAAAATCATAAGAGAAACAACTCTGCATGCAAAATCTACAAGAAAAGTAGGATATATTTTTGATAAAACTATACAAGGTATAAAGGATGTATTTTTGTTAAGGAAAAAAGAGTAATTTTATTGTGAAGTAGAATGGCTGGTTATTCTAGAATGAGAGAGGGAAATGTGTGGAAAAAACCTCTAAACCAGAATGAATACAGAAAGTCGTAGAAGGTTCGCAGAGAAGTAATTTTATGTGTAGTTGAGCTAGCTAAGGGTAAATGCTTTTATTTTATAAATGGTTTTTAAAAAATGAACTCAATATCAAAAGTACACTGATATAAAACTAGAATTTTGGTGTCTTTCTGTCAAAAATGACAACATTCTCATGCAGTATTGACCTGCTGTTAATGAGAAATTGCAAAAAGGGTTTACCTTATCTTTCAAGTGATCTGCCTAGGAAACAAAGATTCTGTGTTTTATCAGAATATTTTCTTGTGATTTATGTTCACCTTTATCATGTCCTCGATTATTTAAGAGAACTGAGACGTTTCACTTCTAAAAGAGCTAAGTTTTTATATATTTTTGGCAATTGTGGGCTCTGAAATAAAATCCTAAATGAAATATTATTTTCAAACTGATCTTGAGGTTTTCCAGAGGCCCCCTGGAAAATCTCAAAAGATTTGTTCTTTCACTTTGTAGAAAAAGACATGTTAAAGATAATTTCATTAGTTGATACACCGAATTTCATGTAAAGCATTGTCATATAAGAAAAGATGATAATCTTTCCTAAATTATGTTTGTATGGGTAAATATTATTATAAATATTTCAGAAATTTTATGAAATTTCTAAACCTTTGTCAATGTCCTTACTTCCCATGATATGTCCTAATATGTTATTCGTTGTAATTTCACTTATTTTAAAATGTTATATACCACAGAAACAAATTCCCTTGTCAATGGTGCCATTTTAATAACCTGATTGGATTTTTAAAAAGCAGTTTTAGGTTTACAGCCACATGAAAGGAAGTACAGGTATCTCTCACATGCTCCCTACTCCCACACATGCATCTCCTGTCCCATTACCAACATCCCCCAGCAGAGTGGTGCATTTGTTACAGTTGAACCTACATTGACAAATCATAATCACCTAAAGTCCATCACATTAGGGTCCACTGTTGATGTGTGTTCTAAGGGTTTGGACAAAATGTATACTGACATATTCACCATTATAGTATTGTAGGGAGTAGTTTTACTGCTCTAAAAATTCTGTGTTCTCAGGAATAGAAAACCAAACACCACATGTTCTCACTCGTAAGTGGGAGTTGAACAATGAGAACACGTGGACACAGGAAAGGGAACATCACACACCAGGGCCTGTTGGCCGGGGAGCAGTGGGGGGAAGGGGAGGGAGAGCATTAGGACAAATACCTAATGCATATGGGGCTTAAAACCTTAGATGACAGGTTGATCAGTGAAGCAAACCACTATGGCACATGTATACCTATGTAACCTGCACATTCTGCACATGTATCCCAGAAGTTAAAATTAAAAAAAAAAAAACTGCATTGCTAACCTCCCCCCATAAAAAGTAAATCCTGTGTTCTGCCCATTTATCACTTCCTACCCCCTAACCCCTGGCAACTTTTGATTTTTTTACTGTCTCTATAGTTTTGCCTTTTCCAGAATATAATATGGTTGGAATTATACAGTATGCAGCCTTTTCAGAGTGGTTTCTTATGTTTAGTAATATGTGTTTAAATTTACTCCATGTTTTTTCATGATTT
Organism: Homo sapiens; assembly: GCF_000001405.40. NCBI lineage: Eukaryota > Metazoa > Chordata > Mammalia > Primates > Hominidae > Homo > Homo sapiens. The sequence goes on from NC_000014.9 coordinate 62,193,773, forward strand.
GATGTCTCATTTTCAGCACTGAGCAATATTCCATTTTCTGTGCATACCACAGTTTATGTATTCACCTATTGAAGCACATCTTGGTTGCTTCCAAGTTTTGTCAATTATGAACAAAGCTGCTATAAAAATCCATGTGCAGCTTTTTGTATGGATATAAGTTTTTATTTCCTTTGAGTAAGTGCCAGGGAGCACAATTGCTGGATCATACAGTAAAGGTATGTTTAGTCTTGTGAGAAATTGGTACACAGTCTTCCAAAGTAGCCTTACCATTTTCCATTCTCACCAGTAATGTATGAGAATTCCTGTTGCTCCATACCATCAATAGCCTTTGGTGTTGTCAGTGTTGTGAATTTTGGTCATTCCAATAGATGTATTGTGGTATATCTTTATTTTAATTTGTATTTCTCTGACATGTGATATGGAACATCTTTTCATATGCTTATTTGCCATCTGCATATCCTCTTTGATGGGGTGTCAAGATCTCTGTTCTATTTTTTAATTGTCTTTTTTTTACTGTTGAGTTTTGAGTCCTTTTTTATATTTTGGGTAACAGTTATTTTTTAATCAGATGTGTCTTTTGCAAATGTTTTCTCCTCATCTATGGCTTATTTTGTTCTACTGATGTATTTTGTAGAGAAGTTTTTAATTTTAATAAAGTCCAGCTTATCAATGATTTTTTTCATAGATCATGCCTTTCATGTTATATCTAAAAAGGCATTATGATACCCAAGGTCATCTAGGTTTTCCCCTGTGTTATCTTTGAATTTTATAGGTCTCCTGTTATATTTAGCTCCGTGATCCATTTTAAATTAATTATTATAAAGGGTATAATATCTGTGTCTAGATTCATATTTTTGTATGTAGATGTCCAGTTGCTTAGCACTACTTGTGGAAAAGACTATCTTTTCTGTACTGTATTACCCTTGCTCCTTTGTCAAAGATTAGTTGACTATGTTAATGTGGGTCTATTTCTGGGCTCTCTATTCTGTTCCACTGATACATTTTTCTATTATGTATCAGTCTGTTCTTTCACCAATAAATACCACACTGTCTTGATTACTATGGCTTTACAGTAAGTCTTGGAGTTGAGTATTGTCAGTCTTCCAACTTTATTGTTTTCTTTCAATATTGTGTTGGCTATTCTGGGTCTTTTGCCTCCCCCATATTATCTTTAGAATCAGTTTGTCAATATTGTATCCACAAAATAATTTTCTTGGATTTTGACTGGGATTGCATGGAATCTATAGATCATGTTGGAAAGTACTGACCTCTTGACAATATTAAGTTTTCCTACCCATAAACATGGAGTATCTCTTTTTATTTAGTTTGTTCTTGATTTCTTCAATCACTTCTGTAGTTTTCCTCATACAGATCTTGAACATATTTTGTTAGATTTATTCCTAAGTATTTATTCCTAAGTATTTTTGTGAGCTGCTACTGTAAATGGTATTGTGTTTTTATATGAAAGTGATTTTTTTTGTATACTAATCTTTTATCCTGCAACTTTGCTATAATTGCTTATTCCAGAATTCTTTTGGATTTTCTACATAGATGATTATGTCATCTGCAAACAAAGATAGGCTTATGGCTTCCTCCCCTATCAGTATTCCTTTTATTTTCTTGTCTTATTTCATTAGCGAAGACTTCCAATATGATGTTAAAAACTAGTGATGGGCGAGACCCTGTCTCAAAAAAAAAAAAAGTATTTGCCAAATAGACACAGTCCTCTCAAAAGGAGTTGGCAGAATAACACCCCTTCCTACCACATATCCTCAGAACCTGTGCATTTGTTAGGTTACGAAACATAAGGGAAATAAGATTGCTAATCAGCTGACCTTAAAACAAGGAGAGGATCCTGCCTTACTAGGTGGGCCCAATGTAATCACAAAGATCCCTCAATGTGGAAGAAGAAGGCAAAAAAGAGTCCGTGTCAAAGAGACTTTTAAGAGAGACTTGACTAGACACTGCTTGATTTGAAGATGGGAAGGAAAGGGTCAGAAGCCAAGGAGTGTGTGTGCCGTCTAGAAGCTGGAAAAGGCAAGAAAGTAGATTCTCCCCTAGAGCCTTCCGAAAGGAGTGCAGCCCTGCTGATGCCTTAATTTTAGTCTAGTGAGACCAGGTGGACTTTAGACCAATAGAACTGTCAGATGATAGTATGTTTTAAGCCGCTAAAATTGTGGCAATTTATTAAAGTAACAAAATAGAAAACCTAATATAGGTCTCATGTAGAAGTTTCCATCATTTTTATTTTCTACAATTCTGGCTTACATCTTATTGCTCCATCCTTCCTAATGATAGACTTCATCCCACACAGACCAGTGTTTTCAGAGACTGGCTTATTGATTCAGTAATGGGCTGGGGAAAACAGCACACAAAAGGACATACAATATCTAAGCCTCCGCCTGGGCCACACGACAAGATTCAGAATCGTCTTTGGTATAATGGGTACCCAACTTCATGTGAAAGCCCAAGTTCGGGTTAATGTGAGAGCATTAAGAATTCACTGGCCTAGGCCTGGGAACTAATGCAGTCCGATACGTTCAGCCTCAAAGGAGAAGAAATGACTTGAAGGACATAAGTTGTGAGTTTGCCAATTGTTTTTTTCATTTAAATAGCATCACACGGTAAAAGTAGTAGCTAAAATAATTTTAATGAAAATAATTTTGTGAAATAAAGGCCACTTGGGGAGTATTTGAGCAACACCCAAAAACAAACAAACAAACAAAAAACTAGTGATGAGAGGAGACATCCTTTCCTTGTTCCTGATTTTAGTAAGAACGCTTCCAGTTTGTAAACATTTAGTATGAGGTTAACTATAGCTTTTTTTGTAGATACTCTTCAAGTTGAGAAAATTCCCATCTATTCGTAGTTTACTGAGAGATTTTTTTTAATCATGAATGGTATTGGCATTTGTCAAATGCTTTTTTGCATCTATTGATGTGATCATGTGATTTTTATTTTTTAGCCTTTATATGTAATGTATTATCTTAATTGATTTTCAATGTTGAACCAGCCTTTCATACCTGAGATAAATTATGGTGTATAATTCTTCTTTCCTTAGTCTGGCTAGAGGCCTATCAATTATATTAATCTTTTTAATCTTAATGATCCTAGCTTTTGGCTTCATTGATTTTCTGTATTTCCAATTTTATTGATTTCTGCTGTAATTTTAATTATTTTCTTTTTTCTGTTTACTTTGAGTTTAATTTGCTGTTTCCAGTTTCCTAAGATAAAAACATAGATCATTGATTTTAAATCTTTCTTCTTTTCCAATACATGAAGAAAATGCTATAAATTTTCCTCTAAGTATTTCTTTCACTGCCTCTCACCACATTTGATGCTGTATTTTAATTTTCAATAAATTCAAAATGCTTAAAATTTTCTTTTAAGATTTCTTTTTTGACGCATGTGTTATTCAGAAATGTTCTTAGCCTCCACGTATTTTGGGATTTTCCAGTTCTTTCTGTTACAGCTTTCTAGTTTAATTTCATTTTGATCTAAGAACAGACATATAATATCTGTTCTCTTAAATCTGTTAAGGTGAGATTTGTGACCCAGAATGCGGTCTACCTTGGTGAATGTTTCATGTGAGCTTGAGAAGAAAGTATATTCTGCTGTTGTTGGATGAAGTAGTATCTAGGTGTCAATTATATACAGCTGATTGATGGTATTGTTGAGTTCAACTGTATCCTTCTTGCTTGCTGGATCTATCCATTTCTAATAGAGGAATCTCAAACTCTTCATCTATAATAGTGGATTCTTCTGTTTCTTTTTGCAGTTCTGTTAATTTTTTTGCCTTTTCTTTGTTCCTATTTTTATGTTCCACATTTTTTTTTTGCATTTTGTGGTTCTAACTGAGCAGTTTGTGTAATTCAATTTTATTTAGCTTGCTATATATATACACTTTACCTTTTATATATATTATATAATATATTATAATATATAATATATATAATATATAGTATAATATAATATATAGAATGTAATGTATATATAATATATAATATAATAAATATAATGTAATATATAATATATAATATAATATATATAATGTAATATATAATATATAATATAATATATATAATGTAATATATATATAAAATATATAATATAATATAATGTAATATATATATAATATATAATATAATATATATAATGTAATATATATAATATATAATATAATATATATATATTTTACCTTTTTTGAGTGGTTATATCGTTTGGAATATACATGTACAACTAATCCAAGTCCAGTTTCAAATAACACTGTACTACTTCAAGGGAAGTGATAGCTTATAATAACAAAATTCCAATTTCTCTCACTTGTCCCTTGTATCATTCCTGTCATTCATTTCACTTATATATGTATACATAGCATAGATATACATAAAAAATAAACATATATAATCAGATATATTGTGGCTATTATTACCTTGAACAAATTTATCCATTAGATTAATTAAGGATAAGGAAAATAAAAGTTTTTATTTTATCTTATTTCTTCTTCCACGTGCTTCCTTTATGTAGAGCTCAGTTTTTGACCTATATTACTTTCTTTAAAGAACTTCTTTTAACATTTCTTGCAAGGCAGATCCACTGGCAACAAGTTCTCTCAATTTTTGTTTGAGAAAATCTTTTTCTCCTTCACTTTTGAGGGATAATTTCACAGGATGTACAGAATTCTAGGTTGATTTTTTGTGTGTGTGTGTTTCAAAAATGCATTTATTTATTTTGTTTAGGCAATATAGTCACATGGCTCAAAATTCAAAACTAGAGAAAAGTCTTCCTCCCACATCTATCCCACTCAGTTTTCTCCAGGCAGAAAGGCAAGATACAGTTTCCTCTAGGCAGAAAGGCAAGATACAGTTTCCTCTGTGTATTGACAGAGATACCTTATGCATGTAGAAATAAGCCCTCACACATAGTTATCCTTTTTCCTCTCTTTTTTTGTAAATGGAAACACATATTTTACATCTTAATTACACCTTAATTTTTCTGCACATTGCTTATTTTTCTTTAATGGCTGTAAGATATTCCATTATACAGATGCACTGTAATATATTTAAAGAGTTGCTTTTTTGATAGATATTTAGGTTGTTTCTCATATTGTGTTGTTAAGTTATACTAAATAAAGTTTTTGCACATATTCCATTTCACACATGTGCAGGTATCTCTATATTCCAAGATGAGGAATTTCTAGGTCAAAGAGAAAATATATTAGTAATTTTCATAGGTATTGGCAAATTGCCCTCTGTTCTCCTAAACCCCATGAAGTGTGGGTTTTTAAACTTTTTCATAATGCCTACGATATCTTCAAAGTATAATCTGTTTTCTTTTTTTTAATTATACTTTAAGTTTTAGGGTATGTGTGCACAACGTGCAGGTTTGTTGCATATGTATACATGTGCCATATTGGTGTGCTGCACCCAATAACTCATCATTTAACATTAGGTATATCTCCTAATGCTATCCCTCCCCCCTCCCCCCACCCCACAACAGGCTCCAGTGTGTGATGTTCCTTTTCCTGTATCCATGTGTTCTCATTGTTCAATTCCCACCTATGAGTGACAACATGCAGTGTTTGGTTTTTTGTCTTTGCGATAGTTTGCTGAGAATGATGGTTTCCAGCTTCATCCATGTCCCTACAAAGGACATGAACTCATCCTTATTTATGGCTGCATAGTACTCCATGGTGTATATGTGCCACATTTTCTTAATCTAGTCTATCATTGTTGGACATTTGGGTTGGTTCCAAGTCTTTGCTACTGTGAATAGTGCCGCAATAAACATATGTGTGCATGTGTCTTTATAGCAGCATGATTTATAATCCTTTGGGTATATACCCAGTAATGGGATGGCTGGGTCAAATGGTATTTCTAGTTCTAGATCCCTGAGGAATCGCCACACTGACTTCCACAATGGTTGAACTAGTTTACAGTCCCACCAACAGTTTAAAAGTGTCCTATTTCTCCACATCCTCTCCAGCACCTGTTGTTTCCTGACTTTTTAATGATTGTCATTCTAACTGGTGTGAGATGGTATCTCATTGTGGTTACGATTTGCATTTCTCTGATGGCCAGTGATGATGAGCATTTTTTCATGTGTCTTTTGGCTGCATAAATGTCTTCTTTTGAGAAGTGTCTGTTCATATCCTTTGCCCACTTGTTGATGGGGTTGTTTGTGTTTTTCTTGTAAATTTGTTTGAGTTCATTGTAGATTCTGGATATTAGCCCTTTGTCAGATGAGTAGATTGCAAAAATTTTCTCCCATTCTGTAGGTTGCCTGTTCACTCTGATGGTAGTTTCTTTTGCTGTGCAGAAGCTCTTTAGTTTAATTAGATCCCATTTGTCAATTTTGGCTTCTGTTGCCATTGCTTTTGGTGTTTTAGACATGAAGTCATTGCCCATGTCTATGTCCTGAATGGTATTGCCTCGGTTTTCTTCTAGGGTTTTTATGGTTTTAGGTCTAACATTTAAATCTTTAATCCATCTTGAATTAATTTTAGTATAAGGTGTAAGGAAGCAATCCAGTTTCAGCTTTCTACATATGGCTAGCCAGTTTTCCATTTATTAAATGGAATAGCCAGCACCATTTATTAAATAGGGAATCCTTTCCCCATTTCTTGTTTTTGTCAGTTTTGTCAAGTTCAGATAGTTGTAGATATGCGGCATTATTTCTGAGGGCTCTGTTCTATTCCATTGGTCTGTATCTCTGTTTTGGTACCAGCACCATGCTGTTTTGGTTACTGTAGGCTTGTAGTAGAGTTTGAAGTCAGGTAGCATGATGCCTCCAGCTTTGTTCTTTTGGTTTAGGATTGCCTTGGCGATGCGGGCTTTTTTTTGGTTCCATATGAACTTTCAAGTAGTTTTTTCCAATTCTGTGAAGAAAGTCATTGGTAGCTTGATGGGGGTGGCATTGAATCTATAAATTACCTTGGGCGGTATGGCCATTTTCACGATATTGATTCTTCCTACCCATGAGCATGGAATGTTCTTCCATTTGTTTGTATCCTCTTTTATTTCATTGAGCAGTGGTTTGTAGTTCTCCTTGAAGAGGTCCTTCATGTCCCTTGTAGGTTGGATTCCTAGGTATTTTATTCTCTTTGAAGCAATTGTGAATGGGAGTTCACTCATGATTTGGCTCTCTTTTTGTCTGTTATTGGTGTGTAAGAATGCTTGTGATTTTTGCACATTGATTTTGTATACTGAGACTTTGCTGAAGTTGCCTATCAGCTTAAGGAGGTTTTGGGCTGAGACGATGGGGTTTTCTAGATATACAATCATGTCATCTGCAAAGAAGGACAATTTAACTTCCTCTTTTCCTAATTGAATACCCTTTATTTCCTTCTCCTGCCTGATTGCCCTGGCCAGAACCTCCAACAGTATGTTGAATAGGAGTGGTGAGAGAGGGCATCCCTGTCTTGTGCCAGTTTTCAAAGGGAATGCTTCCAGTTTTTGCCCATTCAGTATGATATTGGCTGTGGGTTTGTCATAGATAGCTCTTATTATTTTGAGATACGTTACATCAATACCTAATTTATTGAGAGTTTTTAGCATGAAGTGTTGTTGAATTTTGTCAAAGCCTTTTCTGCATCTTTTGAGATAATCATATGGTTTTTGTCTTTGGTTCTGTTTATATGCTGGATTACATTTATTGATTTGTGTATGTTGAACCAGCCTTGCATCCCAGGGATGAAGCCCACTTGATCATGGTGGATAAGCTTTTTGATGTTCTGCTCGATTCGGTTTGCCAGTATTTTATTGAGGATTTTTGCATCGATGTCCATCAGGGATATTGGTCTAAAATTCTCTTTTTTGTGTGTGTGTCTCTGCCAGGCTTTGGTATCAGGATGATGCTGGCCTCATAAAATGAGTTAGGGAGGATTCCCTCTTTTTCTATTGATTGGAATAGTTTCAGAAGGAATGGTATCAGCTCCCCCGTGTACCTCTGGTAGAATTTGGCTGTGAATCCATCGGGTCCTGGACTTTTTTTGGTTGGTAAGCTATTAATTATTGCCTCAATTTCAGAGCCTGTTACTGGTCTATTCAGAGATTCAACTTCTTCCTGGTTTAGTCTTGGGAGGGTGTATGTGTCGAGGAATTTATCCATTTCTTCTAGATTTTCTAGTTTATTTGTGTATTCTCTGATGGTTGTTTGTATTTCTGTGGGGGAGGTGATATCCCCTTTATCATTTTTTATTGCGTCTATTTGATTCTTCCCTCTTTTCTTCTTTATTAGTCTTGCTAGCGGTCTATCAATTTTGTTGATCTTTTCAAAAAACCAGCTCCTGGATTCATTAATTTTTGAAGGGTTTTTTGTGTCTCTATTTCCTTCAATTCTGCTCTGATCTTAGTTATTTCTTGCCTTCTGCTAGCTTTTGAATGTGTTTGCTCTTGCTTCTCTAGTTCTTTTAATTGTGATGTTAGGGTGTCAATTTTAGATCTTTCCTGCTTTCTCTTGTGGGCATTTAGTGCTGTAAATTTCCCTCTACACACTGCTTTGAATGTGTCCCAGAGATTCTGGTATGTTGTGTCTTTGTTCTCGTTGGTTTCAAAGAACATCTTTATTTCTGCCTTCATTTCGTTATGTACCCAGTAGTCATTCAGGAGCAGGTTGTTCAGTTTCCATGTAGTTGAGCAGTTTTGCGTGAGTTTGTTAATTCTGAGTTCTAGTTTGATTGCACTGTGGTATGAGAGACAGTTTGTTATAATTTTTGTTCTTTTACATTTGCTGAGGAGTGCTTTACTTCCAAGTATGTGGTCAGTTTTGGAATAGGTGTGGTGTGGTGCTGAAAAGAATGTATATTCTGTTGATTTGGGGTGGAGAGTTCTGTAGATGTCTATTAGGTCCGCTTGGTGCAGAGCTGAGTTCAGTTCCTGGATATCCTTGTTAACTTTCTGTGTCATTGATCTGTCTAATGTTGACAGTGGGGTGTTAAAGTCTACCACTATTATTGTGTGGGAGTCTAGGTTTCTTTTTAGATCTCTAAGGACTTGCTTTATGAATCTGGGTGTTCCTGTATTGGGTGCATATATATTTAGGATAGTTAGCTCTTCTTGTTGAATTGATCCCTTTACCATTATGTAATGGCCTTCTTTGTCTCTTTGGATGTTTGTTGGTTTAAAGTCTGTTTTATCAGAGACTAGGATTGCATCCCCTGCCTTTTTTTGTTTTCCATTTGCTTGGTAGATCTTCCTCCATCCCTTTATTTTGAGCCTATGTGTGTCTCTGCATGTGAGATGGGTTTCCTGAATATAGCACACTGATGGCTCTTGACTCTTTATCCAATTTGCCAGTTTGTGTCTTTTAATTGGAGCATTTAGCCCATTTACATTTAAGGTTAATATTATTATGTGTGAAGTTGATCCTGTCATTATGATGTTAGCTGGTTATTTTGCTCTTTAGTTGATGCAGTTTCTTCCTAGCCTTGATGGTCTTTACAATTTGGCATGATTTTGCAGTGGCTGGTACCGGTTTTTCCTTTCCATGTTCAGTGCTTCCTTCAGGAGCTCTTTTGGGGCAGGCCTGGTGGTGACAAAATCTCTCAACATTTGCTTGTCTGTAAAGGATTTTATTTCTCCTTCACTTATGAAGCTTAGTTTGGCTGGATATGAAATTCTGGGTCGAAAATTCTTTTCTTTAAGAATGTTGAATATTGGCCCCCACTGTCTTCTGGCTTGTAGAGTTTCTGCTGAGAGATCAGCTGTTAGTCTGATGGGCTTCCCTTTGTGGGTAACCCGACCTTTCTCTCTGGCTGCCCTTAACATTTTTTCCTTCATTTCAACTTTGGTGAATCTGACAATTATGTGTCTTGGAGTTGCTCTTCTGGAGGAGTATCTTTGTGGTATTCTCTGTATTTCCTGAATTTGAATATTGGCCTGCCTTGCTAGATTGGGGAAGTTCTCCTGGATAATATCCTGCAGAGTGTTTTCCAACTTGATTCCATTCTCCCTGTCACTTTCAGGTACACCAATCAGACGTAGATTTGGTCTTTTCACATAGTCCCATATTTCTTGGAGGCTTTGTTCATTTCTTTTTGTTCTTTTCTCTCTAAACTTCTCTTCTCGCTTCATTTCATTCATTTGATCTTCCATCACTGATACCCTTTCTTCCAGTTGACTGAATTGGCTACTGAGGCTTGTGTATTCATCACATAGTTCTCGTGCCATGGTTTTCAGCTCTATCAGGTCCTTTAAGGACTTCTCTGCATTGGTTATTCTAGTTAGCCATTCATCTAATTTTTTTTTCAAAGTTTTTAACTTCTTTGTCATGGGTTCAAACTTCCTCCTTTAGCTCGGAGTAGTTTGATCTTCTGAAGCCTTCTTATCTCGACTCATCAAAGTCATTCTCTGTCCAGCTTTGTTCCGTTGCTGGTGAGGAGCTGCGTTCCTTTGGAGGAGGAGAGGCACTCTGATTTTTAGAGTTTCCAGTTTTTCTGCTCTGTTTTTTTCCCATCTTTGTGGTTTTATCTACCTTTGGTCTTTGATGATAGTAACGTACAGATGGGGTTTTGGTGTGGATGTCCTTTCTGTTTGTTAGTTTTCCTTCTAACAGTCAGGACCCTCAGCTGCATGTCTGTTGGAGTTTGCTGGAGGTCCACTCCAGACCCTGTTTGCCTGGGTATCAGCAGTGGAGGCTGCAGAACAGTGGATATTGGTGAACAGCAAATGTTGCTGCCTGATTGTTCCTCTGGAAGTTTTGTCTCAGAGGAGTACCTGGCTGTGTGAGGTGTCAGTCTGCCCCTACTGGGGGGTGCCTCCAAGTTAGGCTACTCGGGGGTCAGGGACCCACTTGAGGAGGCAGTCTGTCCGTTCTCTGATAACAAGCTGCGTGCTGGGAGAACCACTACTCTCTTCAAACTGTCAGACAGGGACATTTAAGTCTGGAGAGGTTTCTGCTGCCTTTTGTTTGGCTATGCCCTGCCCCCAGAGGTGGAATCTACAGAGGCAGGCAGGCCTCCTTGAGCTGCGGTGGGCTCCACCCAGTTTGAGCTTCTGGGCCACTTTGTTTACCTACTCAAGCCTCGGCAATGGCGGGCACCCCTCCTCCAGCCTCGCTGCTGCCTTGCAGTTTGATCTCAGACTGCTGTGCTAGCAATGAGTGAGGCTCTGTGGGCGTAGGACCCTCTGAGCCATGTGCGGGATATAATCTCCTGGTGTGCCATTTGCTAAGACCATTGGAAAAGTGCAGTATTAGGGTGGGAGTGACCCGATTTTCCAGGTGCCATCTGTCATCCCTTTCTTTGACTAGGAAAGGGAATTCCCTGATCCCTTGAGCTTCCTGGGTGAGGCAATGCCTCACCCTGCTTCAGCTCACACTCTTTGCAGTGTACCCACTCTCCAGCACCCACTTTCTGACACTCCCCAGTGAGATGAACCTGGTACTTCAGTTGGAAATGCAGAAATCACCCGTCTTCTGCATTGCTCACGCTGGGAGCTGTAGACTAGAGCTGTTCCTATTTGGCCATCTTTGCTCCACCCAGTTGATTTTTTTTCTATCAACATTTTAAATCACTCTTTTTGCCTGCATGATTTCTGAGAAGTCAGATATAATTGTGATCATTGGTCCTCTGTAGGTAAGATGCTTTTTCTCTGTGGCTTCTTTTGGGATTGTTTTCTGTATCTTTGCTTTTCTATAGTTTGATAGGTATAGAGTTTTCTTGTTTTGTTTATGTTTTGTGTTTTTTTGGTCATTTATCCTGTTTGATTTACTCTGAGCTTCTCAAATCTGTGGTTTAGTGTCTGGCATTAACTTGGGGGAAATGTCCAGTCATTATGGTTTCAAGTATTTCTCCTGTTCCTTTCTTTCTTGTAGTTATCCCACAGTTCTTGGATATTCTGTTTTTTTCTTTCCTTTTTTTCTTCTTTCTCTTTGCTTTTCAGTTTTGGAGTTTTCTGTTGCTATATTCTCAATTTTAGAGATTCTTCCTTGAGCTGTGTCCAGTATACTAAGCCCATCTGTCTTAGTCTGGTTTTGCTATTATAACAGAATGCCACTGATATGGTTTGGCTGTGTCCTCACCCAAATCTCACCTTAAATTGTAGTTCCCATAATCCCCATGTGTCCTGGGAGGAAACTTGTGGGAGTAATTGAATCATGGGATCAGTTGCCCTATGCTGTTCTCATGACAGTGAGTGAGTTCTCACAAGATCTGATGATTTTATAAGGGACTTTACCCTACTTAGTTCTGGACTTCTCTCTCCTACTGCCATGTGAAGGACATGTTTATGTCCCCTTTGCCATTATTGTAAGTTTCCTGAGACCTCCCCAGCCATGCAGAAATGTGAGTCAAACTTTTTCATTTATAAATTAGCCAGTCTCGGGTAGTTCTTTATATTAATAGCAGTGTGAGAATGGACTAATAGAACCACAGATAGGGTAATTTATAATGAACAGAAATTTATTGGCTTATAGTTCTGGAGGCTGGAAAGTCCAAACCTGAGGGGCTGGCATCTAGCTAGAAACTTCTCACTGTGTTGTGCCATGGTAGAAGAGCAAAGATAGGGTGAGAAAGAGAGAAAGAGGGGGATAAAGTCTTTTTTTAAATAAGGAAACCTCCTGTCATAATAAATGCACTCACAATAATGGCATTAATCCATTCGTGAGGGCAGAACCCTCATTACCCAGACACCTCCCATCAGGGCCCACTTCCTAAAACCTCCACATTAGTGATCAAGTTCCAACACATAAAGTTTGGGGGATACATTTGAATCATAGCATGCCACCCATGGACCCCCAAATTTATGTGCCTCTCACATGCAAAATACATTTACTCCATCCCAGTAGCCTCAGAGTCTTACCTTAGTCTAGCATCAACTCAAAAGTCCAAGTCCAAAGCCTCATCTAAATCAGGTATGAGTGATACTTGAGACATGACTCATCATGAGGCAAATTTTCCTCCATCTGTGGCCCTGTGAAAGAAAAACAAGTTATCTACTTCCAAAATACAGCGGTAGGACAGCCATAAGATAAATGTTCCCATTCTAAAAGTGAGAAATAGGTTAAAAAAACGTGGGGAGGGGTAACTAGTCTCAAGTAAGTTCGAAACCCAACCAGGCAAACAAAACTAAATCCTGAGGCTTGGAAATAATCATCTTAGACTCCATGTCCCACCTTCCAGATACATGAGGGTAGGGCTTGGGCTACCAAGGCCTCAGGCAGCCCTGCCTCATGGCTTTGCTGAGTCCAGCCCATGTAGGAGCTCTCATGGATTGGAGTCTTTTGCCTGCACCTCTCCTAGGCTGTGCTATATGCTGGTAACTCTACAGTTCTGGGTTCTCTGTGGCAGCTCTGACTCCACAGTTCCACTGGGCATTACCCTACTTGGGGATCACGGTGGTAGCTCCACCTCTGTAACAAGTTTCTACCTGGGCCACCAGGCTGTCTGATACACTCTTTGAAGTCTAGGTGAATGCTGCCATGGCCCCACACCCTGTATATTCTGCAAGCCTAAAAAATTGGCACCACATGAATACCATCAAGGTTTACTGCTTGTGCTTTATGGAGCAGAGGTCTGAGTTGCACCCAGGCCTGCTTGAGCCCAACTGGAGCATCTGAAGAGTATTGTGCTGCAATGTGGGAGCAGAGACTTGAGGCATCCCGGGGAAGCAAGCCTGTGGAGGATGCCTCTGGCCTGTTGCTCAAAACCATTCTGCCTTCCAAAGCTCTGGACCTGTGATGGGAAGGGCAGCCTCAAATATTTCCAAATGTCTTTAGGGCCATTCTGCCATTATCTAGATGAATGCCACTTGGATTTTTTCTAGCCATACTGATCCCTTTATCAAGCATCACTTGTCTGGATCCTTGTAAGTTATGTTGTTCTTTATGTGACAAGGCTGCAAATCTTAAAAATCTGTTTGCTTTCCTTTTAATTATAAATTCCACCTTTAAATCATTTCTCTTCTCTTTTATTTTACTCTAGGCAGTTAAAAGAAGCCACAGAGCTCCTTCAAATTTTACATAGAGTTTCTTTTGCCAGATATCCTAGTTCAGTGATCTTAAACTCTGCCTTCCACAAAGCCCTGGGACATGAACATGATCCAGCCAAGTTCTTTGCCACCTTATAACTAGAATAGGCTTTACTCCAGTTTCCAAGAAGATATCCCTCATTGTTATCTGAGACCTCATCAGAATGGCCTTTACTGTTTATATATCTACCAACATTCTAATCATGACCACTTGAAAGTAATCTCTAGGAACTTAAATGTTTTCCCTACAGCTCTTCCTTTTTTCTGAACCCTCACCAGAATCACCTTTAATGCTCCTTTTATGAAAATATAGGCTTTTCCCAGCATTTCCTTGAAAAGTGTTCCAGCCTCTACTCATTACCCAGTTTCAAAGCCACTTCCACATTTTCATGTATTTGTTATAGCAACAACTCCAATTCTTGGTACCAATTTTTGGTATTAGTCCATTTTTGCTGCTATAACAGAATACCACAGACAAGGTAATTTATAATGAACAAAAACCTATTGGCTCATGGTTCTGGAGGCTGGGAAGCCCAAGACTGAGGGGCTGGCATCTTTCAAAGCCTGCTTTGTGTGTCATCCCATCGTAGAAGGGCAAAGAGAGGGTGAGAGAAAGTGAACAAGAGGGCCAAACTCATCTTTTTATAAGAACCCAGTCCTGTGATAATGAACCCACTTCCACAATAATGACATTAATCCATTCATGAGGGCAGAGCTCTTACCCCTCACTAGGCCCCATCTCCCACACCTCTACATTAGGGATCAAGTTTCTAACATATAAACTTTGGGGGGACACATTCAAACTATAGCACCATCAAAGGCATTCTTAATTTTTTTCTTTGATCTTTAGCATTTTAAAGTTGTTTTCCTATGATTTCTGTCTTCTTATTATACTGCCAATCTGTTTTTGCATGCTGTCCACTTTATCCTTTGGGCTTTTTAGCATATTAATGAGTTATTTCAAATTCCTGGTATGCTAGTTCCTACATCTCTGCCATGACTGATTCTGATGCTTGCTCTGTCTCTTCAACTTCGTTTTTTAGCTCTTAGTTTGTTTAGTAAACTTTTCTTTGTAGCCAGACACCATGTAATGGATAAAAGAAACTGCTGTAGATAGGCTAGGCCTTATTAATATGGTGGTAAGGTGTGGGAAGAGGAGAAGCATTCTGTGATCTTATGATTAGGTCTCAGTCTTTGGTGATCATTTGCTTCTAGACTGAATTTCATGAGTGCTTCTCAGACCATGCCTGCCTTAGGTGGGACAGAATGGCTAGAGCGGGCTGATTATTTCCCTTCCATGTGGTGTTTTTTTATTACTTTGTGCTGAAAACTTACTGGTCCTTTAAAGTTCTGTAGTCCATATATAAGGAACCTCTTTTTCTTTTCCATTAAGCAGTCTCTAACTCTCAACAATTTAGATTTTATACCTTTGTAAATAAAAATGAAACATTTATTTCTCTCTCTACCTGATCCCTCTATAATTCTGAATATTCTTTATGGTAATGTAGTTATTTGCATAAGTTTAATAAGAATATGTTATTCTTGTAACAGAACATAATTGGAAACATTTGTTATATTATCCAGGTTTTGACTGAAATGTCATATTTGAGTATGATGTACCTGGAATCAGTTATGATCAGACCGTTTAAATAAACTGAGGATGACTTAAGCACTTAAGCAATGAATGCTTATACAGCCCTCTTGGAAAAGCTGTTCTGATACTTGGATTATAAGGTCCTCAATCTTACAGTTGAGTAATTTCCTGGTTAGTCATTTCCTGGTTGGCCTAGGAAACATAGGATATTTTGGAGACCTCAAGAAAATATGAATTCACTCAAATCTAGTTACGGCAGGCACAGTCTAATGGCAAGTTCTTGGCTAGATTTCCCAGCCTTGAGAGGCTTTTTTGAAAGTCTAATCTGAGATTCCTTATTAAACATTCCAGCAAATCTGATTTAAAAATGGTCCTATGCAGTCAATCTCTATTATTGCTGCTCTTACGTAATCAGGCTAAATTTAATGAGATCAGACTTATTTTATGAAGAAAAGTAGTCTTATTTTGATTAACTTTAATCAAAATGGGGATGACTGTGGAAAGATATTTTATCTTTTAGTGGAAAACTATTATCCATCCTTGTGGGTATTCATTGCCTTTGGGCTATTTCTCACCTCTTGATGTACTTTTTTTTTTTTTCTATTTCTAACCTGGACAGGATCAATTCTTTTGGTTTGCTCCAATATCTGGCTGCAACTCTCTAATGCTTCCAATTTTTCTCCAACTTTTCTGACATGGCACCATTGAGAACTAAAACCTGATTGCCCTGATCCTTATTTGGACTATCTAAAGAAGCCCTGTGAGCTAAAACTGAACACTTTCATGCTCTTCTCCAAAAAAAAATCCATGACACTGATGTCTATGCCATCAGTAAAGTATTCAAACTGCCAACTAGGAAATCTGTGGGATGGCCTCTGCAATCTTCACTCTATTTTCTAAAGATACTTTAAGCCCAATGTGTATAAATCTTCTTGACTGGCTTCTCTACTACTAAGTCTTAACACAGAGTTCCACTGGTCCTTAATAAACAAAAGTGTCTGAATGAGAAATGGACTTAACATTGTTCAAAGAAAAGAAGACTATCTCTTTTTTCCTTGAATGAGAGGGAGGTCTGACAGAGTCTCTCCTTGATCAAACTTGAGACAGGCTCCTACTCTTTTTGATCTGGTCTTGACCTTGGGCTCTGTCCCTGGGCCTGTTAGTTGAGTTTCAGCAAGAATTCTGATGAGTCAGTTCAGTGAAAAGTCCTCATTCTTGATATCTTATCACTCTGGTCTGCCTTCAGCAAGAAACCTGTCAAGCAGTTTAGCCAGAATCCCCCATAGCCTTAATGTTTTCTCTTAGTAATCCACTGACCCCCACCCTAAACCTACTCCTTAGCTATACATTTTCACTTGTCCTTGTTGTTTTCAGAGTTGAACCTGATCTCTCTCCCCTACTGAAAAGCCCCCATTGCAGTAGTCCTTTTTGAATAAAGTCTTCCATATTGTCTCTAACAAATGTTATGAAAAAATTTTAACAGGGTAGAGGTCCCTTCTTCTGAACACACTGGGATGGAGATCCTGCCTTCAAAGCTATACCAGGTCAGCATTGCCTTTTCAGAGCTATGCCAGTTGGAGATCCTATTCCCAGAGCTCTGCCAGGTAGGGGTCATGACCCCAAGGCTTCTGGTAGCTGTGCCCCAATAGCTTTGTCACCCCAAACCGTGGGGCTGTCTGACATGTTGAAACTGAGGAGATGGTCCCACTACTTTGAAACTGTGGAGGCAGTCCTGATTATCTCTGAATTATCTTCAGTATAAATCTTATCTTATTTTCAAACACTGCACGTTTGTGGCCATAGTATTCCATAGTTCTGTCTTATAAAATTAAGGCATTTGACAGTCTTTCTTCATTCTGTCCTATCTCCTTCCCCTTCAGTTAAAACTGGCAGTGTTTCTGCTGAGTGGCTGATTAGGATAGTGGTTCACACATGCAGTAATCTGCTTATTAAATGATCACGAAGCCCACACTCTTAGAGTTCTTTTCCGAACATGTGTTCTCATTTTTTAAAATACAGATAGGCTGAGAATTTTCCAAGTCTTTAAGTTCTGGTTTCTTTTTGCTTAACAATTCCTTATCCCTCTACCCCCCTCTCCCCAAACAAATATTCGAAGATCAATTCCATCTTCAATTCATTTGGCTTCTTTCATTTAACAATAAGCTGTTAGGAGGAACTAAGCCACCACTTAAACACTTTGCTTAGAAATCTCCTCAGCTAATTATAAAATTTCATTATTCCCAAATTTCACCTTTCACAAAACATTAGAACATGAACAATTCAGCCAACTTCTTTGCTACTTTATAAAAAAGGATCACCATTCCTTCAGTTTCCAATAACATGTTGCTTATTTTTGTCTGAGAATGGCTTTGACTATCCATATTTCTACCAATATTTTATTCATGAGTATTTATATATTCTCAAAGAAAATAGAGACTTTTATTTCCAGCTGTGTTTTCTTTCCAAGCCTTCACAAGAACAGCCTTTAAAACTTCCTTCATGGCAATATTGACTTTTTCCAGCATGTACCTCCAAATTCATCCAGCCTCTACTCATTTCCCAGTTCCAAAACCGCTTGCACATTTTTAGGTGTTTGTTATAGCAGCACCCTACCTGTCAGTACCAATTTCTGTCTTAGTTTGGGCTGCTATAAAAATTACCATAGACTGACAAACATTTATTTCTCATGATTCTGAAGGCTGGAAGTCTGATGTCAGGGTGCCACATGGTCAGGTTCTTAGGGAGGGCCCTCTTCCTGGTTATATCCTGACTTGACCTTTCCTTAGTAAGTGCACATAGACAAAGGGGATCTTGTGTCTCCTTTTCATAAGGGTGTTAATTCCATCAAGGGAGCTCTACCTTATGATATCTAACAATATCGACCTCCCAATGGCCCTGCCTCCAAATACCACCACATGACGATTAGGGTTTCAACATAGGAATTTTGGGGAATGTATCTGATCCATAAGTTACCTTTCAAATATGAGCTCTAGACTCCTGCTGTTTGTATTCCATATCTGGCTTGTTACAATTTACTCATTTGTTTTGTCTCATACAGAAATAGCAAAAGTAGGATTTGTTCTCTTAAGAGCAAGGTTTGTGTATTTCCTACTGAGAAGTTTGCCAGCTTCCTCCTCGTTCAGTTTTATCCCCAAAATGGGTGAAAACCAGATAATAAAAACTGGCCACTCTTGAACAGGGTATTCAGAGTTCCCGAAGAAAAATGTTTTGCATCCCAACGAGCCTGTGATCACAGACAAATCTAGACCCAGGCTTTAGAATCAATCCACACAATAAGGAGAGCTGACTCAATGATTTTGCACTTACTATATGTCAACCTGCTCTTCCTTACTATGTCAATATCTACTAATTTGAGGTTTATCAACTCCCCTTTTCATTCAAGGGCATAGAAAATCTGCGAACTCAATCTCCATACCTTCTTTATTTTTTCTAGTAGAATTCCCAAACCTTCAGTAATTAAGAACAAGTAACATTTCTAAAACAATTTGGGGACTAACATAGGGTTCCTAGCTTTTTAATTTGCAAAATGAGGACATTAAAAAGAAAATCAACTATTTACTAATATTACATTTTATTAGAAGTTTTTATACCAAACAATTTGGAGGGACTAAGGTTAGACTAAATAATTTTCCCAATAATTGTTTCAAACCTTACCCAACAAATCACATTCCCCACCTCCACATTCACATACATCTAATTTTTTCACTTTGTTTCACAGTTTGGAGGGACTAAGGTTAGACTAAATAATTTTCCCAATAATTATTTCAAAACCTTACCCAACAAATCACACTCCCCACCTCCACATTCACATACATCTGATTTTTTCACTTTGTTCTGGGCCTGAGAAACTTCGTCATGAATCATCAGTGGGACAAATTACTCTGTTTGGGATACTCTACTCCATCATGCCCTCTTTACTGTTTACTGTCTTGCTAAAGATAGATAGCTCACTTTGTTTCAATCAGTTTTGAAAATGTCTCATTTGGGAGAAAACTCAAAACAAGCACTTAGTCTTACTTCCATAACCTCTAATTCCTAACACAGTGCATGGCACATAGAAGGTACTCAAAAAATTCTTGTTGAATGAGTGAAGGTCATAAACTTGTCCATTTTCTTTTCCCTAACTCTGCCTGTTTGGGCAAGTGGTGACTTAGTGGTTTAGTTTATCTGTGGTTATCCCCTGTGTCTGTTCCAATATGTGCAAAAACAGCTTAAGAAGTGAATTTCTGATTGGGTTGAGGGCCATGCTCTATGATGTGTTAATACATTCTTCTGTCAGATTTGAGCCTTGCTATTAGGTAATTTCCACACTTCACCATCACCTATGCTTGGCTAACATCCAGACTCGAGCTCCAATTCTGTCAGCTAATGTGGTCTTGTTTATTTATATTCTCTCTCAGATGACTCAAGTTTCAAAGTGAATAGTCCCTTATAGTAATAGATATGAGCAAATTGCATGACGTGGATAAAAACTGGGAAACTATCTTCTAGCCTACTGCGTATTCATGGAGGAGAAAGGTATAAATCATCACTTAATGTTGCTCTTATTTGAAAGTTTAATCAGCTTTTACAAATGATTTAGTATTTAGCATTTCAGTTATCTTTCCCCTTGGGTCAATGATAGTTAGTTGCTCTAAAATGTTTTTTTAGCATTTATTCCACCCTGTTCACATTTTTTGTTTTAACATCAAGGGAGCTTAACATATACAGTTGGTAGTGATGCCTTAGGGAAGAAAAAAAACATAGAATAAAATTTTGAAATTGAGAAAGAATTCTGGAAGAAACTAGATTGTAAAAGATCACCCTAATTACGTTATTACTAATTTGGACCAATACACCATCATAAAGATGAGAAAACAGACAGAAAAAGTTAACGACCCCTCTCTGCTAACTTTATAGAGCTAGTTGCGATGGTGAGGACTAGAATGCAAGTAAGACCAAATACTCCAGGTAAACAGCTTATTCCCTTTCTATTGTCTATCCACACTTGGCTTCTCTCCCTGCCCTTCTCACATACTCCTTCTGTTTTCTGATTGATAAGTTGAGGAAATAAGCCACACATGTCTGGGCTGGCATTCCTCTCACTTTTCTTCTCTATGACGTTTGCCTGCCTGCAGAGAGCAAGCAATCTGATGTGCTCCTCTGTGCTATAGACTTATCAGTGTACCCACAACACAAACACAGTCCTGCAGTTACACAAGTACTGCCTATGTCTGTGCAGGGCTAATTTTGGGGTTCATTGTCAGGAAGCCCAATTGTAGCCCACACCTAAGCCTTGTTCTTCAACAGCTCTATCAAAAATAAATCTAGCATTTTGATTTTCATCTTTTCAGCTTCTCAATCATTCTAGTTATTAAACACAGGCAAGGAATAAGAATAATGCTATTTATTAGATCCCTATAAGCCCTAAGATAAATCTGCTGTCTTATGGAAGAACAGTAATACTTAGCATGTTGGCTAAAAACAGATACCTCAGACATATTGCCCCAAATGCCAGCATCAGAGGATCAGCCAGAAACAGCAGTAGCCATTTTTTCCCCACCCATCTCTCTCTGAGCCACTTCACAGGTCACCAGCATGCTGAGAAGAGATGTCTGCTTTGAAAGCTCTGGGCTCACCTAATGTCCAACTATCAGTGAATGCTGTAGCATGCAGTCACATGGGGGCAGTTTGGGGTGCGTGCAGGAAAAAAAACACTCCTCCCTATCTTGCATGTACTGCTGGCTATCTCCAGCTGAGGACTTCTGAAGAACTTCATTTGCTGTGATTGTAACCCTTTCCCAGTGGACCATCTAGAGAAGATCTCTCACACACACACCCTCCCTTCCCCCTACACACACAGTTTGTCTACAGAGATACCGAAAACTCTGGCATTGTTAGCATGCTATTCAATTACTGATACCACATCATTCCCCATACCTTTCTGCTTAGAAATTCAGACAAATCAGAAAGTAGGCTTATTACACACAAGCCATTTCAGCAAATGAATAAGAGTTGGAAAAGGGTAGAGTATCATGACTGCCAGTTTCAAAAGGTCTTTTTAGAGCTATTTCTCAAGTTTGAAGGCTTCCCTAAACATCTTTCAAATTCCCTAACTCTGAAATAATAACCATTAAATGTTTAAAATAGCTTTGTTATTTTGTGTGATTAAAGATGCAACATATGTGTACTGGAAGAAAATCATAAAGTGCATCAGTATAAAACAAATAAAGGTAATTAGTAATCCCACCTTACAGATAGTCACTGATCACATACTGATGTATTTTTCTAGACATAAACATTCATTTTAAAGAGCTCATTCCACACAGGCTCTTTTATAACCTGTTTTTTTTTCTGTGACCCAATTTTAATGCTTATCCTGATGGACAACCTCAAGTGCATTTCTATGTATCAAGATACAGCTGGAAGTAGGCAGCCACAGAATTAGTGTTTCTTAAAAAGAGGCTCAGCCTCTGGTTTTTTGACAAAGCCCACTCAGTGTATGGTGACAGGGGAGCTAGGTCTCAGGATGAGAATCATTGAAGCAAATACTAGTTTGGACCAGATAGAAGAAGGAATGTTATTAGAGGAGCTGTCCTCTCAAAGATAATTAAATCTTTCCAGAAGTTAATCTGTCCCAGCAGCATAATACCTGAGATGGAAAACTTTACTTTCATTGTCACCGAACAGCTGTGAAATACAAGTGATAAGAAGGTGGAGAAAATGAGTGATAATTGGATTTTGAGGTTCTGTGTGGTAAATTTCAGTGACAGGGCTGGCATCACTCTGGAACTCCCTCATCAACAAATGCGATCTTTAAGGGCATGCACCAATCAGTTGCTTCCTGCAGCTTTCATCACAAGCATGGCTGTGGCACAAAGTGAAAACACTCAGCTCTGGCTGCTTCAGAACCCTGGCCAATGGCAGCTATGCTAGAGTTAGAAATACTGCTTTTGTCTGAATGTTTGTGTTTCCTCAAAATTCATATGTTGAAATCTAACCCCCAGGGCGGTAGGGTTATTTAGGTCATGAGGCTGGAAGCTTCATGAATGGGATTAGTGTCCTTATAAAAGAGGCCTGAGAGAACACCTTCCACCATGTGAAGACGCAGTGAAAACATGCCCTCTTTGAGGAAGCAGGCCCTCACCAAACATACGCTGCTGCCTTGATCTTGGACTTCCCAGCCTCAAGAACTGTGAAAAATGTCTGTCATTCACAAGTTACTCAGTCTAAGGTGTTTTGTTATAGCAGCCCAAATGGACTAAGAAAAATACCAGACACAACCCAAGGTGAGGGGAACTTTAATGAAAGTGTCCAAAGTGGTTTATTTCCCCTTAAACTACTGACTGATATAGTACAAGGAAGAATATACAATTATTTTTGTAAAAATGATAATACATTTTTCCTGATTCTTTGTAAGTGAATAGACAAAACAACTGGAGGCTTGGCTAAAATTAATTTTTAAAAAATTTTCAAAAGGTTGCTTCATATTATATCCAGAAATAAATGGAATCATTTTTAATTGATATTTTAACTATAACATATATATGGTAAAAATTGAAACTGTGGAAAGGTTATAAAATGAAAAGTAATTCCTCCTTTCTCACTGATGACAAGCCACATGCTTTATAGGTAAACATTATTGTTTCTCGTGAATACTTTAAAAAAAATTATACTGTCTTGCATTTTTTTTTAAACTTTAGTACCCCTTGAGATGGCTCCCTTTTACTCTAGTATCATTTTGTTGAATATTGCTTCAGATTTTTAAATGTACTTGTGGAGGGGGAACATTGGACACATCCGCACACCCCACCTTAACTATTATCTTTTAACATGCTCTGTTCTCTCTTGTCCTTGGGCAAATCCTAGAGTTTTCACCCTTTTTGTTGTAAGAATAGTATCCCATTGGTAACTAAGACATGATTTCAAGTATTAAAATTCCTACCAAATGCTGAAAGCTTGAGTCTCACATCCAATTCATAGCCTCTTTTCTCTCTTCCAATTGCGGGCCGTACTCACAACTGGGACCCACAGGCGAAGAGGATATAATCTAGTCTTCAATTTTTCTGTATTTCTTCTGCCTCCCATTTTAGTACTTACAGAGCAGAGGAAATCAGATGCAAGGGATAAAAATCTTTACTTATCTAGTCCTATAATTAAGGTCCTCTCTTGACTGATACCTGGCCCAAAGAAGCCCTCTGTTGCAGGTAGGTATCCAAGTGCTGGTTCTTTGAGACACTTGTCTGGGTTCTCACAGATCAGAACTCCCTTACATTGG
The DNA here is from genome assembly GCF_000001405.40 of Homo sapiens. Lineage (NCBI taxonomy): Eukaryota > Metazoa > Chordata > Mammalia > Primates > Hominidae > Homo > Homo sapiens. The sequence continues at coordinate 62,217,612 of NC_000014.9, forward strand.
TGATGCACATGCCAGCTGAGATTAACTGTGTATCTGTCCATTGTTCCTTGCCCTCTCTCAGCTCTTGTCCTGCAGTAACTATTTTTCAGTGTTTAGCCTTCTATCTGCTGAAGGTAGATGATGAGATGATGATCTCTCATCATCTCAGAATTGTGTTAGTGCTGTGGAAATATGTTTGGCATTTTTTTTTTTTTTGAGATGGAGTTTCACTCTTGTTGCCCAGGCTGGAGTGCAATGGCACAATCTCAGCTCACCACAACCTCTGCCTCCCAGGTTCAAGCGATTCTCCTGCCTCAGCCTCCTGAGTATCTGGGATTACAGGCATGCGCCACCATGCTGGGCTAATTTTTGTATTTTTAGTAGAGATGGGTTTCTCCGTGTTCGTCAGGCTGGTCTCGAACTCCTGACCTCAGGTGATCTGCCCACCTCAGCCTCCCAAAGTGCTGAGATTACAGGCGTGGGCCACTGTGCCCGGCTGGCAGCTCTTCTTTAGAATATATTTATTTTTACCTTCAATATTGAGTCATTGGCAAAATTCTTCAACAAAAAGAAGAGTCCTACTCAAGTATCAAGTTTCATAATTTTTGAAGGTCAAATACACCTGAGTTCCTATGTGAGCTCTACTATATATTCACTTGGGCAAGTTACTTCATTTTCTCTCCATGTCTCTTTTTTTTTTCTTCAGCTTTTATTTTAGGTTCAGTGGGTACATGTACACGTTTGTTACATGGGTAAATTGCATTATGCTGGGGTTTGGTGTACAAATGATTTCATGCCTCAAGCAGTGAGCATGGTGCCTGATAGGTAGTTTTTCAATCTTTCTCTTCCTCCCACCCTCCTCCCATCTCAAGTAGGCTCTGGTGTCTATTGTTTCCATCTTTGTGTCCATGTGTACTCAATGTTTAGCTCCCACTTATAAGTGAGAACATGTGCTATTTGGTTTTCTGTTCCCGTGTTAATTTGCTTAGGATAATGGCCTCCAGCTGCATCCATGTTTCTGCAAAGAACAGGATTCCATTTTTTAAATGGCTATATAGTATTTCATGTGTATATGTACCACATTTAAAAAATCCAGTCCACTATTGATGGGCATCTAGGTTGATTCCATGTCTCTGCTATTGTGGATAGTACAACAATGAACATGTGAGTGCATGTGTCTCTTTGGTAGAATGCTTAACATTCCTTTGAATGTATGCCTGGTAATGTGAAGCCTGGGTCGAACAGTAGTTGTAAATTCTTTGAGAAATATTCAAACTGCTTTTTTTGAACTAATTTACATTCCCAGCCAGCAGCGTATAAGCATTCTCTTTCCTAAACAACCTTGCCAGCACCTGTAATTTTCTCTTTTAGATAATTGCCATTCTGACTGGTGTGAAATGGTATCTCAGTGGGGTTTTGATTTGCATTTTTCTAATGATTAGTGATGTTGAGCATTTTTTCATGTGCTTGTTGGCTGCATGTATGTTGTCTTTTGAGAATTCTCTGTTTATGTCTTTTTTCCATTTTTTAATGGGGCTGTTTATTTTTTGCTTGTTGATTTGTTTAAGTACCTTATAGATTTTGGTGTTAGACTTTTGTCAGATGCATAGTTTGTAAATATTTTCTCCCATACTGTAGGTTATCTGTTTACACTGATAATAGTTATTTTGCTATGCTAAGCTCTTTAGTTTAGTTACACTCACCTATTTTGGTTTTGTTGTAATTGCTTTTGGAGACTTTATTGTGAAATCTTTGGCAAGGCCTATGTCCAAAATGGATTTCCTTGGTTTCCTTCTAGGGTTTTCATAGTTTTAGGTCTTATATTTAATTCTTTAATCCATTTGAGTTGATTTTTTATAAGATGAAAGGGTCCAGTTTTAATCTTCTGCATATGGCTAGCCAATTATTCCAGCACCATCTATTGAATCCGGGGAGTCCTTTCCCCATTGTTTGTTATCGTCAACTTTGTTGAAGATCAGATGGTTGTAGGTGTACGGCTTTATTTCTAGGTTCTTTAATCTGTTTCATTAGTCCATGTGTCTGTTTTTGTACCATTACAGTACTGTTTTGGTTACTGCAGGCTTGTAGTATAGTTTGAAGTCTGATAGTGTGATGCCTCTGGCTTTATTCTTTCTGCTTAAAATTGCTGTGGCTATTTGGGCTCTTTTTTGGTTCCATAAGAATTTAAAGTAATTTTTTTCTAGTTCTGTGAAGAATGCCATTTGTAGTTTGATAGGAATAGCATTGAATCTATAAATCATTTTGGGCAATACAGCCATTGTAACAATATCAATTCTTCCTATCTGTGAGCATGACATGTTTTTTCATTTTTGTCATCTCTGATTTTTTTAATGTTTTGAAATTCTCAAGTGGAGATCTTTCACCTCTTCAATTAGACTTATTCCTAGCCATTTTATTCTTATTGTAGCTATTGTGAATGGGATTACATTTTTGATTTGGCCCTCAGCTTGGGTGTTTTTGTAATTTTGAAATGCTACTGGTTTTTGTACCTTGATTTTGTATCGTGAAACTTTACTAAAGTTATTTATTGGAACTAGGAATCTTTGGGCAGAGACTATGGAGTTTTCTAGGTATAGAATCATAGCGTATATGAAGAGAAATAGTTTTAGTTCTTCTCCTTTTATTTGGATGCTTTTTCTTTCTTTCTCTTGCCTGATTACTTTGGCTAGGACTTCCAGTGCTATGTTGACTAGGAGTGATGAGAGTGGGCACCTTTGCCTTGTTTTGGTTCTCAAAGGGAATGCTTTTAGCTTTTGCCCATTGAGAATGATGTTGGGTGTGGGTTTGTAATAGGTGGCTCTTATTATTTTAAGTATATTCATTTGGTGCCTAGTTTGAGGTTTGTTTGTTTGTTTGTTTTTAACATGAAGGGATGTTGAATATTATCAAAGGCCTTTTCTGCATCTATTGAGATAATTATGTGGTTTTTGTTTTTAGTTCTGTTTATGTGATGAATCACATTTATTGACTTGCATGTGTTGAACCAATCCTGCATCCCAGGAGTAAAGCCTACTTGATTATGGTAGATTAGCTTTTTGATGTGTTGCTGGATTGGGGTTTCTGGTATTTTATTGAGGATTTGTGCATCTATCTTCATCAGGTATATTAGCCTGAAGTTTTCTTTTTTTTTCATGTCTCTCCCCAATGTTTTGGTATCAGAATGATACTGGCCTAAGAGAATGAGTAGGGGAGGAGTACCCTCTCTTTGCTTTTTTTGGAAAAAATTTCAGTAGAATTGGTGTCAGCTCTTCTTTGTACATGTGTTAGAATTTGACTTTGAATCTGCCTAATCCAGAGGTTTTCCTAGTTGGTAGTTTTTCTGTTCCTGATTCAAGAACTGGTTTTTAGACTGCTCAGGGTTTCAATTTCTTCCTGGTTCAATTTTTGAAGGTTGCATGTTTCTAGGAATTTATCCATTTCTTGTAGGTTTTCTAGTTTGCCTGCATAGAGGTGTACATAACAGTCTCTGAGAGTTTTTTGTGTTTCTATGGGGTTGTTGTTAATGTTTCTTTTGTCATTTCTCATTGTTTTTATCCGGGTCTTCTTTTTTCTTTATTAGCCTAGCTATTAGTCTATCCATCTTGTTCTTTCAAATAATCAACTTTTGGTTTAGTTCTTTTGTAGAGATTTTCACATCTCAACTTTGTTTTGTTAAGCTCTGATTTTGGTTATTTTCTTTTGCTAGCTTTGGGGTTGATTGCTCTTGTTTTTCTAGTTTCTTTAGGTGGTATGTTAGCTTATTAATTTGAGATCATTTTACCTTCTTAATGAAGGTGTTTAATGCTGTAAACTTTCCTCTTAATACTGTTTCAGTTGTGTCCCAGAGGTTTTGGTATGTTGTATCTTTGTTTTCATTAGTTTCAAAAATTTTTTGATTTCTGCCTTAATTTCATTCTTTAATGAAAAGTCATTCAGGAGAAAGTTGTTTAGTTTCATGTAATTGTCTAGTTTTGTGAGATCTTCTTGGTATTGATTGCTATTTTTATTGCACTGTGGTCCAAGAGTGTGGTTGGTATGATTCGCTTATTTTGAATTTGTCAAGAATAGCTTTATGGTCTAACATGTAGGTGATCCTGGAGTATGTGCTGTGTGCAGGTGAGAAAAATGTATATTCTGTTGTTTCGGGTAGGGAATTCTGTAGATGTCTGTTAGTTACATTTGTGAAGTGTCAAGTTTAGGTCCAGAATATCTTTATTAGTTTTCTACCTCAATGATCAGCCTAACATTGTCATTGGGGTGTCGGAATCTCCAAATATTATTGTGTGGTTATCTAAGTGTCTTTGTAGGTCTCTAAGAACTTGTTTTATGAATCTGGTGCTCTAATGTTGGGCACATATATATTTAGGAGAGTTAAGTCTTGTTGTTGAATTGAACCCTTTATGTAATGTCCCTTTTTGATTATTGTTGGCTTAACGTTTGTTTTGTCTGAAATAAGAACAGTAGCCCCTGCTCTTTTTTTTTCCATTTGCTTGATAGATCTTTCTCCATCCTTTTACTTTGACCCTATGAGTGTCATTGAATGTGAGATAGATCTCTTGAAGACAGCATAAAATTGGGTCTTGATTCTTTATCTAACTTGCCACTCTGTGCCTTTTAAGTGAAGCATTTAGTCCATTTATATTTAAGGCCAGTATTGATATGTGAAGATTTTATCCTGTATCATGTTGTTAGCTGGTTGTTATGTGGACTTGATTATACAGTTGCTTTACAGTGTCAGTGGGATATGCACTTATGCCTGTTTTTGTGGTGGCAGGTATCAGTCTTTTGTTTCTATATTTAGCATTCCCTTAAGGTCCTCATGTAAGGCAGGTCTGGTGGTAACACATTTCCTTAGCATTTGCTTGTTTAAAAAGGTTTTTATATTTCCTTTGCTTACCAAACTTAGTTTGGCTGGATATGAAATTCTTGATTGGCGTTTCTTTAAGGATGCTAAATGTAGGACCCCAGTCTCTTCTGGTTTATAAGGTTTCTGCTGAAAGGTCCACAGTTAGCCTGATGAGGTTCCATTTTTAGGTGACCTGATCCATCTCTCTTGCTGACTTTAAACTTTTTTCTTTCACATTGACCGTGGAAAATATAATGACTGTTTCTTGGGAATGGTCATCTTAAATAGTATCTCACAGGGATTCTCTGCATTTTCTGAATTTGAACATCAACCTCTCTAGTGAGTTGGGATATTTTTGTGGACATTATCCTTAAATGTGTTTTCCAACTTGCTTGGTCTCATTCCATGTCTTTCAGGAATGCTAGTGAGTTGTAATTTTGGTCTTTTTACATAATCCCATATTTCTCAGAGGTTTCATTCTTTTTAAAATTCTTTTTTCTTTATTTTTATCTGCATTGATTCAAAGGAGCAGCCTTTGAGCTCTGAGGTTCTTTCCTTGGCTTGGTCTATTCTGTTATTAATGTTTTCAATTGCATTATGAAATAGGGAATTCTTCATTTCCAGAAGTTCAGTGTGGTTCTTTCTTAAAATGGTTATGTCATCTTTCAACTCTTGGATCATTGTATAGCTTTCTTTAGATTGTATTTCAACCTTTTCCTATATCTGTTGAGCTCCCTTGCCATCCAGATTCTGAATTCTATGACTGTCATTTCAGCCATTTCAATCTGATTAAGAACTATTGTTGAAGAACTGGTGCAGTCAATTACAGATAAGAGGTAACTCTAGCTTTTAGCATTGCTAGAATTCTTGGGCTGGTTCTTTCTCATCAGTGTGGGCTAATGTTTCTTTGACTTTTGAACTTGCTGTATTTTGGATGGGGATTTTTGCTTTTACATTCTTTGATGTCCTTGATGGTTTGACTCTGGTATAAGTTGGGTTTAGTTGATTGGCTTCATTTCTAGATGCTTTCAGGGGGCCAAAGCTCAGCTCAGCATTCCTAGGTTGTGTGCTCCAGCCTTGAGGAGTTTGGACCAGGCCCATGGCTTTGTTCTCTGGCTTCTGAAGGTAGAACACCTGCTGTGCTGGAAGGGCTCAGGTATTCCCAGTCTGCTGGCAATGACCTTGTGACTGGGGCTGCAAGCAAAAGCACTCTAGTGGGGTGGCAGTGGGGTTAGGGGTTATGTGTGTATATGCACCTGTGGGGCAGCAGAGGAAGCTGTGGCTAGTGTGCACTGGCATGGGAAGGCTGTAGGTGGGTGTGTGTTGGTGGAAGTCTGTCTGCAAAAGTGTTCTAATGGGCATATGGAGGCTGCTAGTGAAAAAGCTATAGTGGTAGCTACAGTCAAGCATTTCACTGGGGCAGCTGAGGGTGCATTGCAAGTTGGTGAGGCCGGGCAGGGAGCCTGGGAGAAGCCGGCAGACAGGGGCATTTAGATCAGACTGGCCCTATCCCATGAGCAAGACAGCCCTACTCTCTTTAGGTGTGGCAGCTAACAAAGACCAAAGCCACCTACAAGAGTATGATGAGGCTTGGCAGATGAGCACCCATGTTTGTGCACCCCTGCAGCTGTTCCTGCACCAAACCTTCTGGGCTCCGTGCAGACTAGGGTTCTGTCTCTGCAACTCTCCAGGCAGTTTTCCCTGCCCTGTCTCCTGGCAGTTTCCCAATGTCTGGTTTGGTTGTGGGGTCTCCTGTGGCTAGGATCCTGGAGGTCTATGACAAGAGTTGGTCACTTCATGCCTGTTTCACTCACCCCTTCTTTAGGAGCTGCTCAGGACCAGGAATTAGTTCTGGTGCTCAGCAAGCCCATGCAGAAATCCCAGCTTCTTCTCAGGATCTGAGTCCTCCTCCTGTCCACTCTCAGTACCTTCTTTCCAAGATCTCTTTGAAGTGTGCTGGTTTACTTGATGGTCTGGTCTCTCTAAGTGTGAGAAGCTCTTCCTGGTTACATTGTGTTGGCCATCTTTTCTCATTTGTAAAACAGGACTAATGATAATTACCTCACAGGACTGTTGTGGGGATTACAATACAATGCCTGATACTTAATAAGAACTCAATACAACATGACTAACAGTGTGATCTTAATGGTTATAAAAGATGTAAGTGATAAGAACAATGGTATAAAAACCTTTGAGATGGGAGTGGCCAGTTGTGAAAGTGCTATCAAATTGATATACGAGAATATATTTGGAAAAAAGTAGAAATAAACAATGGTCTTGGATCCCAAAGTAACTTGGCTCCAGGGGCTTCTCCAGCTTCCTCTGCCAGCCAGTGGCTGATACCAAGAGGAAATGACAGATTTTTTTCCTCCTTGGGGTAAGGGAATATAGCATGTAGTTTTCTTTTTGATTGTTATTGTTACACAATGAAAACCTTGCAAGTTGAAATGGCCTTTCTTAGGCTGTGATAAAAATGGCTTCCTTATATCTTTGTATAAGGGAAACAATGTGATTGAATTTGATGGGAAAGAGAAGAAAATAGAGGGGTAGCGATAATTCAGACAGCAGTTAGTCTTTTTTGCTCATATTTACACAGTGCCTTAGGACAGTGTTTTAAGTGCTCAGCCTGAGATGATTTATTGCCAGCCCTAATCCCAAACATTCACCTTTCTTCTAAGAGCTCTCACTGTTTGGAAAGGGAACGAGTTTTTGCTACTTGCAGAAAAAGAGCAATTGAACAAACCAAAGGCAGTATTTTCCAACTCTTTAATTTACCCTCTGGAAGATGAAAATATTGTTAGAGTGGACACTGGAAGTCCTCATCTGCTATGTGCATGGAAGACTAGAGAATATTCTACAAGCAACAATTGCTAGAACAGAAAAAGGCTAAAAGAGATTATCTTCAACAAAGCTTTCCTTGATCCCGCCTTCCCCCACCCACTTCCTTCAGAGGTCTCTCTCTTGCTTCTGAGAGTCACGGCAATTCATTCCTCTCTCAAGCCACTTAATTTTAGTCTGTCTAGGTTATTTATTTGTTCCTTTGCTAGGCCTATAATGTAGGAAAGGTACTTGTCTTATATGTTCTCTTTTCGGAACCTGTGTGTTACAGGACATATCAGCACATGACAACAAAAAAGCTCACAGTTTTGTTTTTCTATGGAGCAAAACTTTGTTTTATTTCGCTGTGTCTATGAAAACAAAATTAAAGAACTTGGCAACCTAAATTATTTCTTGCAGGTTCCTATTAGAAAGGAAAGGAGTGTTTTCAGTAGTAAATTTCAGAACATTATACTTACATTACATTCTTGAGACCTGGGAGCCATTTTTGCTTCTGAAAGAAGTGACTGTGCTCAGAGGCAAGATTATATTATATTATAAAAGTCAGCAGGTTACTTTACTTCCTTGGCTGCAGATTGTTGGGATAACCTTGCCTATGTGTCCATAAAAATGTCTTCAAACTCGGGTGCCTTAATATCCCTACCTTTGTTCCTCGATGAATTCATTCAATATATGGTTTCTGAGGATTCACAATGTGCAATATCTTAATCCATTCTTATTCCTTCCTTCAGTGGACATGGTATACACTTCTAGTGATCTTTGATTGCACAAAGGCAGGTATGGATCCTATCTTTCTCTCAACCTCAGGTTTCCATGACTGATAAAGCACCATGGAGTAAACATGGCAGGTTCTGTGCCAGTGAGCCATGGTCTGGCAGCCACAGAAACCATTCATCAGCTGTTCAGTCCCATTACTACTTACTGAGTACAAAATCTTGAGAATGGTAAAACAAAGCTTAGTAAGACAAGTGCCCTTTCTATAGGGTGGGGGGTGATTGAGTCTCTAGCATCATGTGTGTGTTTGTGTGTACGTGTGTGTGAGTGTGATTGTGATTTATTGTTCATCTACCTCAACTTATTAGACTTTCAGCACCTTGGAAACCAGTCTGTGTCTTTAAAAACTTTTATTTTTTATATGACCAAACAGGAAAATTGACCTTCTTGGGGTATACACTTCTATGAATATTAATACAGGTATAGATTTGTTATTTGTGTAACTTCCACTGTAATCATGATATAGAACAATTCAACACTCCTCCCACTCCTATCCCCCGGCAACCACTGATCTGTTTTCTATCTGTAGTTATTTTACAGAATGTTACAGAAACAGAATCGTAAAGTACGTAACTTTTCGAAACTGGCTTCTTTAACCCAGGGTGATGACTTTAGGGTTTATCTATGTTGTTAACATGTATCAATAGTTCTTTCCTTTCTCTTGCTGAGTAGCTTTCTGTTGTATGGGACCTAACAGTGTATTTATCCATTCAACCATTGAAAGGCATTTGTTTTTCATCTTTTGGTGATTGTGAACAGAGATGCTATAAACATTTATATGCAGGTTTTAGTGTGAACATGTTTTTATTTTTCCAGGGTGAATACTGTGAGTGGACTGCTGAATCATATATAGGTGTATGTTTACCTTTATAAGAAATTACCAAGCTATTTTCTAGAGGGTCTGTACCATTTTGCATTTCCTCAGGCAAACGTATAATGGTTCCAATTGCTCTGTATCCTTATCAGCACCTAGTATTCTGTCAGTATTTTTCATTTTGGCCATTTTAATTAGTGTATAGTGATAGCTCATTATTGTTTTGTTTTCCCAGAATATCTAGTGATGTTGGACATCTTGTTATGGGCTTATTTGCCTTTTTTGAATAATCTTTGGTAAAGCCTTATGCCTGTTTTTAAATCAGGTGGTTTATTTTGTTATGGAGAGTTGAGAATTCTTTGCATATTAGGATACAGATCCTTCAAATGTGTGATTTGAAAAATTTCTTCCCAGTTGGTATTTTGTCTTTGAAGTCTCTGTCTGTCATTGGCAGAGCAAAATTTTTTTTATTTTGATGGAGTTCAATTAATGAATTTTTTCTTTTCTGGATTTTGCCTTTGGTGTCACGTCTAAAATCTCTTTTCCTAAGGTCAGATTATAAAGATTTTTTCCCTGGTTTTCTTCTAAAAGTTTTATAACTCTGTTTTATATTTAAATATGTAATCCATTCTAAATTTTTGTGTAATTTCATGAATTTTACATAACTTTACATATTTATTTTGTATAATTTTCTGTCCATTTTCCAATCTGTCCTTTCTTTGCTTTATTGTACGGCTAGGATCTTGGGTATAATGTTAAATAAAAGTTGTGATAGTAGACATTATTCCCTGATCTTAGGTGGAAAGTATTCAGTATTTCACCATTAAGGATAATGTTAGGGCTATGGGGTCAAGGTTTATTTTGTGTTTTTGCATGTGGATTATCAATTGTTTTGGAACAATTTTTCGAAAAGATTGTTATGTCTACTGAATTCCCTTTGCATCTATTAAAAATCATTTTTTTCTGGCCATATGTCTAGGGTTTTACTTCTAGACCCTATTCCATTGATCCATGTGTTCATCTTTTCACCAGTCTCACACTTTGTGATTACTGTAGCTTTATTTTGTAATCTTAAATTGGATAGCATGAGTCTTCCAAGTTTATTCTTTTTTATTCAAAATTGTGTTTCCCTTGCCTTTCCATAGATATTTTAGCATCAGCTTGGCTAATTCTATGTCATAAATCTTGCTGGGGATTTTATTGGAATTGCAGGAAATCTGAGATTGATACAGAAAGAGAGAATCGAGATCTTTACTATGCTGTTTTCTAATCCGCAAACATGGTATGCTTATCAATTTATTTAGGTGTCCTTTGAATTGTTTCATCAGCATTTTGTTGTTTTTAACATACAGTTTCTGTCCATGTTTTATTAGATTTAAACCAAAATATTACACATTTTCAGAGCTATTGTAAATTGTTTTAACTTTCTTTTTCCAATTGTTCATTACTATTATATTAATTTTCTATTGCTATTGTAACAAATTGCCACACACTTAATGGCTTTAAACAACACATATTTGTTATCTTACTCTTTATTCTGTAGGTCAGAAATCCAACTGGAGTTTCACTGGGCTAAAATTAAAATGGTTAGCAGGGCTGTTTCTTTCAGAAGGCTCTAGGGGAGAATCCTTGCCTATTTTAGATTCTAGAGGTTAATCACATTCCTTGGCTCACGGCACCCTTCTTCCATCTGCAAAATCAACAATGTCAGGTGAAGTTCTTTGACTTCCATCCATCCTTGCATCTCTCTCTGATTATAGGTAAGAATATTTTGCAATTTTAAGGAATTATGCAATTTTATTGGGCCCACCTGGATAATCCAGGATAATCTCTCTATTTCAAGGCCCATAACCTTAGTAATATCCACAAAGTCATTTTTGCCATGTAAAGTAATATATTAACAGGTTCTGGGAATCTTGCAGTATTGTCGTGGATATCTTTGGAAGGTCATTATTCTGCCTAGCACAGCTAATATATAGAAATATGGTTGATATCTTAGTGTTGGCCTTGTATCCTGTGATCTTGTTAAACACAGTTTTTTAGTTGCACGTTTTTACCCCCTAGATTTATGGGATCGTATACACGATTATGTCTTCAGTGTTTGAAGAATGTTTTATTTCTTCTTTTCATTTTGTATGACTCTCTTCCCTCTGTCCTTCTGCCCATTATCCCATCTGTCCTTTCCTTCCTTAATTGTACTGGTGAAAATTTTGAGTACAATGTTGAATAAAAGTTATGATAGTGGACATTATTGCCTGATCTTAGAAAACATTCAGTATTTCACCATTGAGAATGATGTTAGCTCTAGGTTTTTGCAGATGCCTTTTATGCCTTGTTTAAAGGTTCTTAATCATAAATGGATGTTGAATTTTGTCAAATGCTCTTTTTTTCTACACCAGTTGATAGAATCATTCTATGTTTATTTAGAATTTAATGTAATGGATTATATTAATTGAGTTTGTACATTGAACCAGCCTTGTATTTCTAGAATAAATACCACTTGATCCTGTATATTATTCCCTTTATATATTGCTAGAGTAAAATTACTTCTTTTTTTGAGAATTTTTACATGTATGTTTATGAGGGGTCTACTGTTTTCTTTCTGTAACATTGTCTTTGTCAGTTTCAGTAGCAGGAATAACTTGGCCTCATAATATTCATTGGAAAGTATTACTTTCTTTATATTATTTGGAAGAGTATATGCAGAATTTGTGTTAATTCTTTCTTAAATGTTTGGTAAATTCTTAAGTAAAATCATAGGGCATGGAGGTGACTGTTTTGGGGAGATTTTAAATTATAGATTCAATTTATTTAATAGTTGTAGAACTTTTCAGATTATGTTTAGCTTGAATAAGTTTTGGTAGTTTGTGGTTCTTGAGGAATTGTCAATTGCAAATTCTCTTATTGACCTTTTAATATCTCTGGGCTTTGTAATGATATCTCTTTTATTCCTGATATTGGTTGTGCCTTTTCTCTCACTCTTTAAAATCTGTTAGTCTTGCTAAAGGTTTATTAAGAAATAAAAGTCATCTGTATAGGAAAGGATGAAGTAAAAGTTTCTCTGCTGATGACATGATCACATATATAGACAACTCTGAAGACTTCACCAAAAATTATTAGAATGGGTAAACAAATTAAAGTTGCTGGTTACGAAAACATAATAGAAAGATGAGTAACATTTTATGTGCTAATAATGGATGATCCAAAAATTAATAATCCCATGGTGTCAAAAAATACTTAGCAGTAAATTTAACCAAGGAGATGAAAGATCTGTACACAGAAAACTATAAAAGCTTGATGAAGGAAATTGAAGAAACAAAAATAAAAGATATCTCATGATCATGGATTGGAAGATTAATATTTTTAAAATATCTGTACTACGCAAAGGAATCTACAGATTCAGTGTAATTTCTATCAAAATTTCATATCGTTTTTCACAGAATAGAAAGAAAAATCTTAAAATATGTGTGAAGCCAGAAAAGACTTCAAATAACCAAAGCAATCTTCAACAACAACAAAAAAAACAAAACAAAACTTGGAGGCATCACACTCCCTGATTTCAAAATACATATAAAATGACTTATAATCAAAACACCATGGAACTGACATAAAAACAGACATATAGACCAATGGAACAGGAAAGAAAGCCCAGAAATAAATCCAAGTATATAAGGGCAATTGGTTTTCAACAAAGATGCCATGATAAAGATGGCACAAATGTACCAAAGAACACACAATGGGGAAAGGACAATCTCTTCAATGAATGATGTTGGGAAAATTGGATATCCAAATTGATATGGTTTGGCTCTGTGTCCCCACCCAAATCTCATCTTGTAGCTCCCATGTTTCCCATGTGTTGTGGGAGGGACCTCGTGGGAGATGATTGAATCATGGGGGCAAGTCTTTCCTGTGCTGTTCTCATGATAGTGAATGGTTCTCATGAGATTTGATGGTTTTAAAAGGGGAGTTTCTCTGTGCAAGCTCTCTTTGCCTGTTGCCATCCATGTAAGATGTGACTTGCTCCTCCTTGTCTTCCACCATTATTGTGAGGCTTCCCCAGCCATGTGGAATTGTAAGTCATTAAACCTCTTCTTTTGTAAATTGCCCAGTCTTGGATATGTCTTTATTAGCAGTGTGAGAACAGACCAATACAGTAAATTGGTACTAGGAGAGTGGGGTGTTGCTGAAAAGACACCTGAAAATGTGGAAGTGACTTTGGATCTGGGTAACAGGCAGAGGTTGGAACAGTTTGGTGGGCTCAGAAGATGATAGGAAAATGTGGGAAAGTTTGGAACTTCCTAGAGACTTGTTGAGTGGCTTTGACAAAACTACTGACAGTGATATGAACCATAAGGTGTCAGGTAGAGATGAGGAACTTATTAGGAACTGGAGCAAAGGTGACTCTTGTTATGTTTTAGCAAGTAGACTGGTGGCATTTTGTCCCTGCCATAGAGATTTGTGGAATTTTGAACTTGAAAGAGATGATTTAGGGTATCTAATGGAAGAAATTTCTAAGCAGCAAAGCATTCAAGAGGTGGCTTGGGTGCTGTTAAAGGTATTTAGTTTCAAAAGGGAAACAGAGCATAAAAGTTTGGAAAATTTGCAGCCTGACAATGCAATAGAAAAGAAAATCTCATCTTCTGAGGAAAAATTCAAGCTGGCTGCAGAAATTTGCATAAGTAATGAGGAGCTGAATGTTAATCCCCAAGACAATGGGGAAAACGTCTCCAGAGCATGTCAGAGACCTTTGTGGCAGCTCCTCACATCACAGGCTTGAAGGCCTAGGAGGAAAAAATGGTTTCAGGGGCTGGGCCCAGGGTCTCCGTGCTGTGTGCAGCCCAGGGACTTGGTGACCTGCATCCCAGCTGCTCCAGCTGTGGCTGAAAGGGGCTAACATAGAGCTCTAGCCATGCTTCAGAGGAGGCAAGCCTCAAGGCTTGTCAGCTTCCATGTGGTATTGAGCCTGTGAGTGCACAGAAGTCAAGAATTGAGGTTTGGGAGCCTCTGCCTACATTTCAGAAGATGTATGGAAATTCCTGGATGCCCAGGCAGAAGTTTGCTGTAGGGGCAGGGTCCTCATGGAGAACCTCTGCTAGGGCGGTGTGGAAGGGAAATGTGGGTTGGAAGTTCCCACACAGAGTCCCTACTGTGGCACTGCCTAGTGGAGCTGTGAGAAGGGGGCCACCATCCTCCAGACACCAGAATGGTAGATACACTGACAGCTTGCACTGTGCACCTGAAAAGTTGTAGACACTCAATGCCAGCTCATGAAGGCAGCCGGGAGGGAGGCTGTACCCTAAAAGCCGCAGGGACAGAGCTGCCCAAGACCATGGAAACCCTCCTCTTGCATCAGTGTGACCTGGATGTGAGACATGGAATCAAAGGAGATCATTTTGGAGCTTTAAGATTTGACTGCCCCACTGGATTTTGGACTTGCTTGGGGCCTATAGCCCCTTTGTTTTGGCCAATTTCTCCCATTTGGAATGGCTGTATTTACTCAATGCCTGTAGCCCTATTGTATCTAGGAAGTAACTAACTTGGTTTGATTTTACGGGCTCATAGGTGGAAGGGACTTGACTTGTCTTGGATGAAACTTTGGACTGTGGACTTTTGAGTTAGTGCTGAAATAAGTTGAGACTTTGGGGGACTGATGGGGAGGCATGATTCATTTTGAAATATGAAGATATGAGATTTGGGAGGGACCAGGGGCAGAAAGATATGGTTTGGTTCTGTGTCCCCACCCAAATCTCATTTATAGCTCCCATAATTCCTACGTGTTGTGGGAGAGACCTGGTGGGAGATGATCGAATCATGAGGGCAAGTCTTTCCTGTGCTTTTCTCGTGTTAGTGAATGGGTCTCATGAGATCTGATGGTTTTAAAAATGAGAGTTTCTCTGCACAAGCTCTCTCTTTACCTGCTGCCAGCCATGTAAGATGTGACTTGCTCCTCCTTGCCTTCTGTCATGATTGTGAGGCTTCCCTAGCCCTGTGGAATTGTAAGTCCATTAAGCCTCTTTCTTTTGTAAATTGCCCAGTCTCAGGTATGTCTTTATCAGCAGTGTGAGAATGAAATAATACACATATGAAGAAGAATAAACTTGGATGCTTATTCCACATGCTACATACAAATCAACTCAAAATAGATAAGACTTAAATGTCAGAGCTGAAACTCTAAAGCTACTCAGGAAAACATACAGGAATTACTCTATGTTTAATGGTTTAGGGAAATGCCAGACTATTCCCCAAAGCAGTTGTACCATTTTACTTTCCCTCCAGCAGTGAGATTCTGATGTTGATATACCCTCATCAACATTTGTTATTATCTGACTTTTTAATTCTAGCCATTCTAGTGGTATCTCATTGTGGTTTTAATTTGTATTTTCCTGATAATTAATGATTTCAAGCATCTTTTCATGTGCTTATTGGCCACTTGTATATATTCCATAGAGAAATGTCTATTCAGATCCTTTACTCAGTTTTCATTGGTTTGTCTTATTATTTAGTTGTGATATTGCTTTATATACTTTAGACATAAGTTCCTTATCAGATATATAATATGAAAATATCTTCTCCCATTCTATGAGTTATCTTTTCACTTTCTTGATGCTGTCCTTCAAAGCACAAAATTTTTTAATTTTGATGAAGTTGTATTTGTTTTTCCTTTTGTTGCTCATGCTTTTGGTGTCATTATCTAAGAACCTTTTACTAAATTCAAGGTCTTATGGATTTATCCCTATGTCTTTTTTCTCAGAGTTTTATAGTTTTAGCTATTACATTTAGTTCTTTGGTTAATTTTCAGTTAATTTTTCTATATAGGGTTTGAGAAAAAGTTTCAACTTCATTATTTTGCACACATGCAAATACAAATGTCACAGAACCTTCATTTAGGAGTCTATTTTTTTCCCCATTGGATGGTCTTGGCAACCCTATAAAAATCATTTGACTATATATATATATATATATATATATATATACACACACACACACACACACACACACACACATATATATATGTGGTTTATTTCTGGACTCTCAATTCTGTTTCATTGGTCTATATGCCTCTGTTATTTCTGAGAATTTACTTGAGTACTTTTTCACACAGGCTATGGAAACATGCTCCTTTGGGTAAGCTTCTCTGGCCTCTCTGTTTTGCTGCCTTACTGCATACTAGGTCAGCATGCTCCACTGAGACAGAAGCTCTTTTGGGTGTAGCTTTCACAATGACTCCCTCTCTTATACTGTGGCTTTCCAAATTATAATTACTACCCTATTCAAACCCAATCTCAGGTCTCTTGCTTAACTGGTTTCAAGATAATTTCCTAAGTGAACATGCATTTTTACTTCATGGGGAATACCTTACCTCCAAATACAGGGTATGGTTTGCTCTTGTAGCCCTGTTAAATCAGTCACAAAACAGTCTGACATTGTTTCATTCTTTTATCATACAACTTGGTAAGAAACATCTTTTTTTGTCATCTGTAAATATTTGTATTTTAGTAAAACCATCCTTTTATAAAGGACATCCAGGAATAATGACTTAGATGGCTCTGGAGTGGTAATCTTCAAGTCCAAGATGGCACCTGTCAGTGGGGCTCAAGGTGAAGAGTCAGCTAACCCCACTAGTTCTCCTATTATTGAGAGAATATTTATATGGGTCATCTTGATTTGTCCTTCCCCATGTCAGTCTGCACTTTATACATGAGCATTATTGGCAGTCATTCCATGACTAGAAGTCAGCATTCTAGCAAGTTTGGGGCTGTTTGATGCTTAGCTAGCAGAAACAAAATTGCCCATAGTGGTCAGCTTACTTCAGCTCCTACCATTGCTTTCAGGCATTATATTGCAGCTTGCACTTTTTGTCATTTCAGTATGCTAAGCTAATTGATCAGCTTTCTCCCTCACATCTCTTAGTTTGGCTGCACACTGAGCAAGATTCCTTACATTTTCACTCTCTTCAATTTGCTGATGCAGAACTAATAGGTAGTCAATATTCCTGCCCAAATACTTAAAGAAACATGGTGTTAATAATAGGTTGTACATAATAGTTTCATCCTTAGTTGCAGTTTAGAAGTGAGGTGAAAATGTAACATACTATTACTAACCTTGTTCACAGCACCTTCTGCATCACTTTTAACGTTTGGTTGACTCAGCTTTGGAGCTCACTGGAAGTAAGCTTAGACATTGGGTCCCAGCCAATCAGTTACCGCAAGAAGCAACTGTCACTCAAAGCCTCTTTCTTTCTCTGGGAGTATTTTAGCATGAAATCTATTTATTGAGGAGCACGTCTCCCATAATATCTGGGTTATTTTTAGTGATTGTGATTCCTGATGGGAAAAGTTTGTGCACAAAGGATGAAGCAATCACATGCTTCCCTGTTGCCAGTCCCAGGGACCAGAAATTTATAAACACTAATTCTAGGGACTTGCCAGCTTAGCTTGCAGTTAAGTTGCCGGATTGACAATGTTTTCCTGTGAAAAACATGCCGTTAAGTATTTTAGCATCCCCCTCCTTATCCTCCCCCCACCCCGCCCCACCGGAAGATGTTGAATAGACCTTCAGGAGCAAACCCAGGGTTTATAATGGGCTTTGCAGACCTGGCATGATCTGCCATTCATAGTTTTTATTTCTATCAGTCTCCATCCTTGGAGGTCTCATCTCCTCTGGAAGCTAGGGCTTGCTGATGTTACCTCTCGCCCTACTCAACTCCCACATTCAAGGGCCCAGCATTGACAAATGACTGTTTTTTTTTTTCTTCTTCTCACTTCCTTACATGTCTAAGTCCTGGATATCCTCCAATGCCCAGCTCAAATCCCTCAAATCTCAGTTCTTCCATGAATCATGCCATGCTCTGCGCCATGGCACTGTGTGAATCTGAGAAAGGAGAAGTCCCACTATTGGAACTATTTTCAGTCCTCTACTTTCTTTTATCTTTACTTCAAACCAGTTGATATTATTTTCCTTAACCACATATAAGAAACTTGAAGCAGTCCGAACGATACTATAGTACTTCATCTATATTCCTACTATGATTTTCTTTTCTTCACAAAATAACTCCTTGAGAATGCTCATCTTTCAGTTCCTTGAAACAACTTGCTCCAGCAGCATTACTGCCTAACTAGTTAATATTCATTGTCTTATATGAATATTAGAAATGAAGACAGGGATTAGGCAAAATATCCCAAATTGGCTTAGAAATCATAATTCTTGGCCAGCGGTGGTTCATGCCTGTAATCCCAGCACTTTGGGAGGTCAAGGCGAGAAGATCACCTTAGGTCAGGAGTTCGAGACCAGCATGGCCAATGTGGTGAAACGCTGTCTGTACTAAAAATACAAAAATAAGCCAGGCATGGTGGCAGTCACCTATAATCCCAGCTACTCAGGAGGCTGAGGCAGGAGAATCACTTGAACCTGGGAGGCGGAGGTTGCGGTGAGCCGAAGTCATGCCATTGCACTCCAGCCTGGGTGACAAGAGCGAAACACTGTCTCAAAAACAAAAGCAAAAACAAAAAAACACAAAAAAAAAAACACTACTCAGTATTTTTCGAAGAACTAGATATACTTAGTAAAGTAAGTGTATGCTCAGCAAATATTTGGTTGAATGTGCCAACAAGCAGAAATTATTTCATATGGCATGGGTATTTACAGAACAAGTAACATTTTTACATTTAAGTCTCATAGCTGTGTTTTGTGGTCTTTCATCCCACGACCTGTCCTCAGACTATAGGATTGACTTTTTGACCACTTTAGAGCTGAATAAATTAGAAAATGGTATTCTGCAATTTTGGGGTTTTATTAGAAAGTTGTGCTTTTGTTAAATATTCGAAGCTTTCTGGAGGCAAAAGTCAGTTTCTAAGTAAATGAAATATTTTGTAATTCTTGGGGCATTTTTGGTAGTACATTTTCACTGAACAATTTGTAGTAATTAATATCAATAAACTAGGTAAGTAAAAATATTTACTAATCTTTGTGCTGTGTTTACATAAGAAACTGGTGAAATGTATAGGAGAGAAGAGCATCATTTATTTCTGTATAACTAGGTGTTAGACTCTTTAGCAGATTACTCCATTCTTCCATTTGGCATGTTGATGGATGGGATGTTGGTAGTTCTTTAAATTGGACTATCAAATATTTATGTTAAATGCTAAAGATTCCTGATACTGGTACTTTTCCTATTTAATGGAAAAGATTACAAGATTGACGTAGTGACTTCAAAATATTCTTAAAAACTTTTGGGTAGTAACATTATGAAGTTCCGTATTGTTCTTTCAGACACCAGGAAATACCTTCCTTTAATTTTAATAATGTTTAATTAACCCAAATAGATGTTGGCTGAATACGACAAATTTTATAATTTTAACCCAAATAGATTTTGGCTGACTTAACCCAAATAGATTTTGGTTGAATGACACAAATTTTATAATTTTGAATAGTTTTTTCAGCTTATATTTATACTTGAAATTCAGTATAAAAAACTTGGAGTAGTTCAAAGTCTGTGGCTTACCATCAGTCAGTAAAGCATAAAGGGTTGTAACAATTTTTCTAAAACAAAAAAGGGATACCTCTTCTTTCATTTGGTAATTCCAACCTTATGGAAAGTTGATGACTTAAAACCTAAATTGTCTTTCACTCAATAGCTAAGATTAATGAGCGAGTTCTACTGTCAGCAAAGTGTGTTTTGCCTCTTGCTGACTCTACAAACTGCATCTACTTTTGGATACCATGACAGCAACAACAGAAAAACAATTTCATCAGGCCTCTAAAACTGGGCAATATAGACATGCAAATATGTAGTTTGCAGATAATGATAATTTTGCTGAGCTGCGTGAGGGTCGTCAAATGCCTTTCCTTTTCAGGGCTTATTGTTCTGTAGGGAATCTAATAGAAAAAATAGGACCAAAGGGGTGAGGAGTGGTGGAGAGGAGAAAAATAGCTTTAGATTTGGTACCTTTTCTGGTGAGCACAGGGACAAAAAATAAGCTAGCTTTGCTTTTAGTAAATATCTCTTACTGTCTCCAATGAAATCAAACTGCTATCAGTGAGTTTTCCTAGAAGGAGACTAACAAAGTAGGTTAGATAAATAAAAGAGCCTAAATTTAGAGGTAGCCAAAATATATTTGAATTCCAGTTTGGCCATTAACCACTAGTGTGACCTTGGGTTGGATCTTTGCACATTTTGAGCTTTAGTTTCCTTATATATATGAAATGAGGATGAACTCCTCATCTTTCACCCCAAATTCGCTTGGAGCAAATTTGGATGCTGGCACTGCCATTCACCTCCTAGGCTAAGAGTCCTTTACCCTTTTTATTCCATAAATCCGATGTGTTCATCATGAATTCTTGGTTCACATTGCCGATGTCTTTGTTCCTTTGCAGTCATTGAGCGCTTAGACTTCTGCAATTGGCTTCTAGTCACTCTGCCTCTAGCAGCTCAGATGCTGCCTCCTCAAGGAAGACCCCTGTGACCTCCCCGTATTCTTTATCCTGTCTCCTCTGGCTTTGTCTGAAACTTGCAGGGGCATCTCTTGTAGCACACTCCATTCTCTTCATCAAGGTCTACGTTATAGTCACCTTTCAGCCTGGGTCTTAGGTGTCTGAGACATGCTGGGAGTCCAGTTAATATTTGTTGAATAAGTGAATGAATGAATGACATCAATTTGCTGGGTGATTGTAATCTATGGCAAAAAACCAGGAATTTAATAAATGGCATGTATTATCAATATGATTACTACTATTTTTATTCTCTGAAAAAGTTTTTAAATGCTTAGCATGCTTTCATAGGGCTTGACACTAATTATTATAGGTGATATATTAACCCAGATATCAGTGCCACCAATTAGTAAGTCAACCTCTAAATTGGGATCATCAAATTCGTTGTTTCCTGATTTAAGCAACAGTCCTTTTCAACTCAGATCATAATGGGGAAGCGGGGACCCAGAAGACACAAGTACAACCAGGGTGAGGAAAAAACATTCAGTTGGGGGTCTGGGTTCAGATAATTCTGAGACATAGCAGGTGAAAGATTTCACCAGCTCTCTGGTAAGCAAGGGCCCAGGCTAATTTCACAACCAGCCTTATATTGTACGGGTGAATTAATAACTTCATGGTTTAGAAAAATGTGTATGGTATATTCTGCAGGGTAAAATGAGTCATTTGCAATAAATTCTTCTGCTAATAAAAAGCCTAGCAAATGGGTACCCATGCCAGGATCATTAACTTTAATTTAAGGGATCAACTGACATGTGCAGCCAATATTCTGATGCTCAGAGAGGAAGAACTAACAGAGCATCATCCCTTACAATCTGCTGCCCAGACAGGATATAATCTTCCTTGAAGTGCTAATCATGTGACAGCCTGAGGATTGGACCCTCCTATGTCTTTGATAGATTCTATGTATAAACTGACAGAAAGGGTATGATGGTGATGTGAATTTGGAGATTTAAATGATCTAAAATGTGTACTTCCAATCTTTGTTGTTTCTTTTGAATAGTGTCAAGCATTTAACATTACTGTGCATAAATCCCCTCATCCAAGTTAGAAGAAATTTGAACAGCTCAGGAAAAATGGTTCTGGTATTCTGAGTTTACCAGAAACATCCTTTTAAGAGTTGCTAATTGGTACTGAAAATCTCTGTAAAACTGACTTGACTGCTTTCCTCCCTCGGATTGGCTGTTGTGCAGAGTGTCACCCTCCACTGATAAGGGCAGATTTTACACACTTGTCCTCTGCCATCATTCTGACCACAGAAGCTCTGGTACCAAAGTTGAAGGCAGAGTGGAAGAATGAGATAAAATTCATGATTCCAGAATGTTCTGTGGAAGAGGTTCCTTTGAAAACAAATTTCCTCACTTGATCTTGTTTTCCTATAATTCGTGTAATTTGTCTCTTTATTCTGAAAAACGAAAACAACAATTTCTTCAACTCAAAGTCCTGGCTGCCAGTTAATTAGTATCTGACTGAAATGGGCCTTCAGGGACATCGAGAAGGTCAAGGAATGATTTGAAGCTTTTGGGTCAATTTTTAAAGTGTTATCTGAACCCCAGCGCTCTTCAATGAATGTACAAATAATTATTTCTTTGAACATGAGAATGTTTAATACTGGAGAAAAAAATATAGTAAAATGTGCAACTTCATCCACTGATGGTCCAAGTGCTAATAGAATAGAATTGATATCTTTTTGGAAAGCACTTTGTTAGCATGACTCAAGAGTATTAAAATGTTTATACCCTTTGGCCCAATAATTCTCCTTTAAAACTTTCCCCCTATTTTTATTGAAAAATGATCAATATAAACCATTTTCCTTTTAAGTTTGCTTTTCTCTATTTTTATTGAAAATGATGCAATAATTTGAATTCTGAGACCCTGTCTTAAGAAATATTTTAAGAAAGAATAATCTTGATACATAAAGATGTTCAGCAAGGTATTATTTAGGGTATTGAACACATAATCAACCTAGATGTACAGTTATAGTATGTTAATTAAAAATGACTGTGTACTGATTACAGAGTTAATTAACATTAATGAACATTTTGTTAAGAATCAAGATGGTTATACAAATGCATATGCAATATAATTAAAATTGGGCAAAATTTATGCACACCATATAGCTAGGATAGTTTGCTGTTCCCTTGAAGTCAACCCTGGCATAGGGTCCTCTTCAGAAATAACAACAAAAAACCTGAGAAAAATCTCAAAAAGAATGAATGTAAATCACTTTTTTTGTGTATGTGTTCTCTTGGAAAACATTAAAGGGGATTTTTTTCATAACACACATCTAATCTACTTAAAGTTTCTCTTCTGGTTCCCATTGGCCCAATGTCTTAGTCATTGGAGAATGAAAGCCGCCCAATTACTTCCTTTCTTTCCCCAGGACTCATCCTTAATTTCTACTGGAATGGCTCTGGTCTTTCTCACTCTTTCCCCCTCCTCGTTTACATCCTCCTCCTTTGATCTTCCTAGAGAATAAGTTTTGCTGTTTCCAGCGTAAATCACTCAACTCTTTCTACTCCTTCATAATCTCAACTGCCTAATTCTGCATGACAAAAGTCGAGAAACAGAGTGAGCAAAGAGAAAAAAAACCTCCGTGGGCTGGTCACAGGCATTGAGAGACTGTGAATACTAAATATACTATTTTTTTTTCCTGTCCCATATGTTTTCAGAAAAGTCTGGATAACATATGCCAGAATGTTTTAATTGAGATTATGGGCAGTTTCAATCTTCTTTTGACTTGTCTTTGTTTTCTAAAATGTTTATATTTAATATGTACTTTTTCAGCCATTAAAGGAAAAGACTTTAAAAAGAATCTTACTTCCAAACTACTAAGCAGAATAAAGAAGGGTAAAACAAATAAATAAAATTAGTAGGTATGAGATAGTTAAATTACTAAGAATAAGTCTAGAGAAGAAATGTGGGATGGATACAGAAAAATAAACTACATACAAGAAATCATTTTTTCCAAATGATAATTATTTAACATTATTATGTAAATGTTATTTTAATAGAATTCTCAGGCTCATTTATTTCCACATATTTAGGCCAGAATGTTCCCACATTATTCCAGATAGATGTGAAATTCCTGTTTTAGAAGATCCCCACCAGGAAGTTAGTCTCCTAGGATTATGTCTAATACTTTACCAGGAATAAGAATGTATATCCAGAGTAAATTTTCTGGATTTAATGGAGATGAGAGGCAGCTGTATAATGATTATCCTTCATACGTTTGAGTAACACTGTTCACTTTTTTTTTTCATTCTGAAGGTTAAATTGCTACAGCTCTTTTAAAATCTTTCCTCTAAGGATCTCTATGTCCTCCCTTGGTACCTTCACATCTGCCTCTGGATTCTCCCAACATTTTCACTGGATCTGTGTCAGCGGAAGCTGAGTCTTTTCCTTGTTCCTGATTGCTACTCCCAACATTATTTAATGATACAAAAGTATGGTGGTTCTTCTCTCCCACAAATGCACTGTAATGGTGTTAGAAAAATAATAGTAGCAATGATGATAACATGTGATCTTAATACCAGTGTCGTGTCTTGATAAACATCTTAAACAACAGAAAACAGGGTCTGTCTTTTTTTCTCAGCCGGCCAACACTTGTGGAAAATAGACCTACATTGAAATATTGGGGGTGGGTTCCCCGGATAGGTTGCCACTGAGGAAAAAGATTTTATTAATAAGTATGGCCAAAATCATCATCGTGCTTCCATGCACATAGATCTTGTGTATGTGTGTGTGTGTGTGTGTGTATGTGTATACATGCCCACAGGAAGTCCAGAGAAAAATGAAAAAAAAAACCTTTGCTCTTCTAGAAATGTAATGAGATGAAGCATGCTCTTCCTCAATGCCTATGGCTGTTTCAGGATTAATCCCTCTGCCCCACATTCCACCTTCTCTGAATATTTAGCGTTGCCTCCCTGGAATTCAGGACTTCCTGTCGTGGCTCCTTGATGAAGTCTTCCGTCCCATACATAGTCTTATATTGTGAATTTCTGCTTTTCTTCCCCATCTTCATCATTTCTCTATTCTGTATTCTGTTCTCTCAGAATCACCCATGGCACCTCACTGACATCAGATTTAGCAAATAAAAATTCAGGATGCCAGTTAAACTTGAATTTCAGGTAAATGGAAAGTTATTTTTCAGTTTAAGCATGTCCCAGGCAATATTTGAGACATATCTATATAAAGTAGTCTTTATTGTTTATATGAAATTCAAATTTAACTGGCTGTTGATAGAGATGAAAGTAAAGGAGATTCTTGTGATTTAGTGAAGAAAGCTCAGCTGAATTGTGTTCTATTGTTATATGGAAAGAAGAGCTCATAGTTATGAACTTGTGGATGTTTAGGTGATGGAATATCAGCAAAGTGTTGAAGGTTTAGCTTGGTTTCTTCTTGCTTTCTTATAGTGAAACGTGACAGAAAAGAGACAGATTGGGGAAAGTTCTCTAAGCAGAAAAAGAACTAGGACTTAGGTACTTGGGAAATTCTCAGCCTATCCAGATGGAAAAAAATGCTACAATTAGGAGATTTGCGGTCAGTAAGTTGTGCCCTGGAGAGAAAGCCAAGGGTATGGCTGGACAACTTTTCACTAGCTCCTTGTAAAGATCAAAGGTCCAAGAATTTAATCACATTATGTCTTATATTTCATGGATCCCCTAAACCATTTCAGGAGAAGTTAAAAATAGAGATGAGATTATCCAGGAAGGATCTTTGAAGGAGCATCTTGTTTAATGGAGTAAGTCCTTGGAACAGACATGGAAAACCCACACCATTCTTGAGGATGTTATACCATCAGAAACACTGCCGGTTTGGGCTAAAACTGATAGAGAGGAAGAAATGAAAGAAGGCTGTCAGGCTCCAAAAATTCTACCTGCAGGAAACAGGCTTATAAATTACTCACTTGTAAAGATGTTCTGCCTTTTGTGAAAAAGGAAGGATGACCCAGATGACAAAACTGTTGGCCAAAAGGGCTGTTTTATGTCCAGAGAATGGAGCTGTGGACCAGGAGGGCAGAAGTGTAAGACTCAGAGGATTATTCCTAGACTTCTAAACCTAATAAATTTTTTTCCAGTTTGATCTCAATATTGCTTAGGATGAGTGATTCGTTTCTTCCTTCTATCCCCACTCCATCTCCCCCTTTAAATTGAAATTACTATAACTATTTTCCTATGTCTGTCCCATCATTGTATTTTGGGATCACATTACTTGTTTTCTAGTTTTACAGGTCAAAAATGGAGATATTTTTTGCCCCAATTGATCACACCAAGAGTTTCACCCATATATTATTTAAGTAATGAGATTTGGAACTTCTTGGTCAGTGAATTTAGATGAGATTTTTGAACTGGATTGATACTGTAGTGGCCTGAGATTTGTGGGAATGTTGGGATTGGGGGAAATGTATTTTGCATGTAGAATGGAAGTGAATCTTTAGGGACCAGAGAATAAACTGTAGTAAGCTGAACAATGGCTCTTAAAGTAGTCCATGTCTCAGACACCAGAATATGAATATTTTGCCTTACATAGCAGAAGGGACCTGGCAGATGTATCTAAATTAAGTATCTTGAAATGAGATTATTTTAGACTATCCACCTGGACTCATATAATCATAAGGGTCCTCATAACAAAGAAGATGAAAGGATGGAAGCAGAGGTCAGAGAGAGAAGAGAAGACACCATGCTGCTGGCTTTAAAGATGGAGGAAGGACCCAGGAGTCAAGGACTATGAGATGGCTTCTGGCAGCTAGAAATGACAAGGAAACATTCTGCCCTAGACTTTCCAGAAAGCATACAGCTCTTAAGTTCCATTTTGGACTTCTAACCTTCAGAACTATAAGATAATAAATTTGTGTTGTTTTAAGCCACTAAATTTGTAGTAATTTGTTACAACAGCAATAGGAAACTACTATGCCTGGTGTCCTATATTATACCTGGTAACAGCTAATTTCATTAGATATGTATTATGGACCAGAAGCCTTATATACATTAGCATACTTAATTATTTCAACAATCTTGTGAAGTAGTGACCATTTTACAGATAAGAAAAATGAAACTCTTTGCTGACAGTAGCAAAATTTAATTTGAACTCAGGTCCGAGGGACTAGAACTAACTTCCTTTTTTCCTTCCTCCCTTTCTCTCTTGCTCTTTCCCTCCTTCTTTTGTCATCATCATTATTTATGATGACTGATATGGTTTCACTGTGTCCCCACCCAAATCTCACCTTGAATTCCTAAATGTTGTGGGAGGGACCTGATGGAAGGTAATTGAATCATGGGGGCAGTTATTTCCCATACCGTTCTTGTGGTAGTGAATACATTTCATGAGATCTGATGGTTCTATAAGGGGGAGTTTCCCTGTACAAGCTCTCTCTTTGCCTGCTGCCATCCACGTAAGATGTGTCTTGCTTCTTCTTGCCTTCTGCCATGATTGTGAGGCTTCCCCAGCCATGTGGAACTGTGAGTTCTCCATTAGTCCTCTTTTCTTTGTAAATCACCCAGTCTCAGGTATGTCTTTATCAGCAGCACGAAAATGGACTAATACAGTAAATTGGTACCAGTAGAGTGTGGCGTTATTGAAAAGGTATCAGAAAATGTGAAAGCGACTTTGGAACTGGGTAATAGCAGGGGTTGGAACAGTTTGGAGGGCTCAGAAGAAAACAGGAAAATGTAGGGAAGTTTGGAACTTCCTAGAGACTTGTTGAATGGCCTTGCCCAAAATGCAGGTAGTAACATGGACAATGAAGTCCAGGCTGAGGTGGTCTCAGATGGAAATGAGGAACTTGTTAGGAACTGGAGCAAAGGTGAATCCTGTTATGTTTTAGCAAAGAGACTGGCAGCATTTTGCCTCTGCCCTAGAGATTTGTTGAACTTTGAACTTGAGAGAGATGATTTAGGGTATCTGGCAGAAGAAATTTCTAAGCAGCAAAGGATTCAAGAGGTGACTTGGGTGCTGTTAAAGGCATTTAGTTTTATAAAAGAAGCAGAGCATGAAAGTTTGGAAAATTTGCAACCTGATAATGTGATAGAAAAAAAAATAGAAAAAAAAAAATCCCATTTTCTGGGAGAAATTCAAGCCAGCTGCAGAAATTTGCGTTAAGTAACGAGCTTGAATGTTAATCCCCAAGACAATTGGGAAAATGTCTCCGGGGCATGTCAGAGGTCTTCATGCCAACCCCTCCATCGCAGGCCCAGAGGTTTAGTAGGGAAAAATGGATTTGTGGGCTGGGCCCAGGGTCCCTCTGCTGTATGCAGTCTAGGGACTTGGTGCCCTGAGTCCCAGCCACTCCAGCCATGACTAAAAGGGGTCAGGGTACAGCTCAGGCTGTTGCTTCAGAGGGTGCAAAGCCTGAAGCCTTGGCATCTTCCACGTGGTGTTGAACCTCTGGGTGCACAGAAATCAAGAATTGAGGTTTGGGAACTTCCACCTAGATTTCAGAAGATGTATGGAAAGGCCTGGAGGCCCAAGCAGAAGTTTACTGCAGGGGCAGGGCCCACATGGAGAACCTCTGCTAGTGCAGTATGGAAGGGAAATGTGGGGTCAAAGCCCCCACACAGAGTCCCTACTGGGGCACCACCTAGTGGAGTTGTGAGAAGAAGGCCACCGTCCTCCAGATCCCAGAATGGTAGATCCACTGACAGCTTGCACTGTGCACCTGGAAAAGCCAGGGACACTCAACAACAGCCCATGAAAGCAGCCAGGAGTAGGACTATACCCTGCAAAGCCACAGGGGAGGAGCTGCCCAAGGCTGTAGGAACCCACCTCTTGCATCAGTATGACCTGGATGTGAGACATGGAGTCAAAGACATCATTTTGGAGCTTTAAGATTGACTGCCCCACTGGATTTCAAACTTGCATGGGGCCTGTTACCCCTTTGTTTTGGCCAATTTCTCCTATGTGGAATGGCTGTATTTACCCAATGCCTGTACCCTCATTGTAGGTAGGAAGTAACTAACTTGCCTTTAATTTTACAGGCTCATAGGAAGAAGGGACTTGCCTTGTCTCAGATGAGACATTGGACTGTGGACTTTTGAGTTAATGCTGAAAAGAGTTAAGACTGTGGGAGACTGTTGTGAAGGCATGATTGATTTTGAAATGTCAGGACATGAGATTTGGGAGGAGCCAGGGGTGGAATAATATGGTTTGGCTATGTCTCCACCATAATCTCCTCTTGTAGCTCCCATAATTCCCATGTGTTGTAGGAGGGACCCAGTGGGAGGTAATTGAATCGTGGGGACAGGTCTTTCCCATGCTGTTCTTGTGATAGTGAATGGATATCATGAGATCTGATAGTTCTCTAAGGGGGAGTTTCCCTGTACAAGCTCTCTCTTTAGCCTGCCAGCATCCATGTAAGATGTGACTTGCTCCTCCTTGCCTTCCACCATGATTGTGAAGCTTCCCCAGCCACGTGGAACTGTGAGTTCTCCATTAAACTTATTTCCTTTGTAAATTGCCCAGTCTCAGGTATGCCTTTATCAGCAGCATGAAAAAGGACTAATATGATGACGATATTATCTATGAAGGATCTACTTCTGGGGCAAAGTATGTTCTTGATCCAGTGAGTTCAGTGTTTCCTCTATGTATAGAGATACCTCTGCTTATGGAATATCTTACAGATTCTAATTTAAAGGATATTCAGATATAAACTAATAATCTTCTGAATAAGGTTTCCACTGCGTTCAAAATGAGTATTAAAAATACTATACTTCATAGATCAACCACACGTTCTTCAATGCCAAAATGTTCTGGTCTGCTCTGCAAGCAAAGAAAAGGATCCAAGTGTTATAAATTTCAACAAATGAGTCAAAACAATTAGTTTCTTTAGATGGTTAAATAACATAATAAGCCAAAAATGTTCCACAATCAGGCTTGTAGAGAAGCAAATTCTCTGTTTTTATTAGCAGCTTACTTGCAGATTTTTACTTCAGCTAATGAACATTCTAATAGCTCAAGGGAAAACAACCCAAATGCTGCAAACTCAGACCACTGCTCACCAAGGAGCCAGTGTTTAAATGGGGTTGGCCAGCTGTACATATTGCTTCTCATTTTCAACGTGAAGTAATTCCACTACCATCTCCGTATGCCCCAACCTCCGACTAAAATCCTGTAAGTGCTGTATTGGAAGAAAATCCCACAGAGGGCTTCCTGCAGACTGGAGATATTATCCGCTCATGTATCTGCCAGTTGACCAGCAAAAAAACATCTGGCAGGGCAGCTGGAGGGATGTCACATGCAAGCTAGTAGGGGGCCAGAAACAGCTTACTGGGCACTAAGGGGAAGGGCCATGGCAACTGGCAAATTGCATACTATACATTTTACCAGAGCAAATTTGTTGTGAATGATTTGTCACTTTTCAAAGGCAAGCAGGTTTTCCCTTCTTCCTGGTTCCTTTTGCTGTATCAGTTAATTATGAAAAGCACTGAGTACAGTGCTTGGGAATTAAGTGCTCAACAAATACTAGTTATTCTTACTTTCTGCTGTGTTATTATTACAACAGAACTCTTCCCTCATGGTCACTGAATGTCCCAGAATTCAGCTGCATGGTTGAATTGTGAGCTTTAGTGGGAGGTCATGAAACCAGGTAGTTAATGATTCAGTGAGTGTTTATACTGTTTGTGTTATTTAGGCAGCACATTTTTGTTCGGAATAGTCAAAACTATCTTTGCGGTGGCATCCCAATGAAGGAGGAAGGAGGAATTTGTATCTGGTAGGTGTACTTACTTTGAAAAGTTGACCACCAGATCACAGACCACCAGGACAGTCCCTGTTATGTCAAGGATAAGTCTTTTCTGCTTCTCTCTGAGAACTATTATTAGTAGAATTGGAAAGGGTTAACTTTTTCATCTAAAACAAGTGATTAAAAGAACCACTGCAGACCTGGAGATGTGGGGATAATTATAAAGTTAATGTTTTCTTTCCTATTGAAAACATCTGGATAAATGATAGCTATGGGATTTCTCTTCACCCTGCACCTTCCACAGATTCAGTGCCTTTATGTGAGTGAGACTGCATTATTTGTAACAGGCAAGTAAAGCAGGACTGTTCTTTTCTCTTTTTGGAAAATGGTTTTGAATTCAATGTTCTGGAACATACTAGGAACATGTCAGGTCCCTATTAAGAATATGTACAAAGACAAAATGGGGTAGATGTAATCAACAGCCATGGTTCCAAACTTAGGGGTGCATGAGAATTATGCAGGGGGAAGATGACGGGGAGGATGATTATGTGTGTGTGTGTGTGTGTGTGTGTGTGTGTGTGTGTGTGTGTGTGGAACGGGGTGGGGGATGCTTAAAATGCAGATTTCTGGGCTCCACTCTAGAAAATCTGATTTTATAGGTTTGGGAAGGGACACTAGGAATTTGCACTTGAACATGCAGACCCGTAAGGAGACAAGGAGCCTGTGGGCCAAGAGGCTGAACACTTAGGGAAATGGCTTGGGTTTCATGGAAAGATTTGACACTAGGAAATAAAATACTATATAGAACTCTGAAGAGGTCGAGGACCTGGAGAGATAGCATGTAATAAATATTATGTTGATACTAGAGCCCTTTCACCCTTGTTGTAAAGTGGAGTGCTTATGAGACAGTACAGCTCAGTGCACTTCATGGGCTCTGGGTTCAATTCCCAGGCCGCGCCATTTATAAGCTGGGTAACTTTGGGTTCAGTGCCTCAGTTTCCTAAGCTGTAAAGTGAGGATAATCATAGCATCTACTTTATAATGTGGCGATGTTGATAATACTAGCTAGCAATGATAGGGATGACATGTGAGGTCTTACATAGATGGACTCATTTAATACTTACAAAATCCTAACAGGATGTGCAGTTGTTTCTAATTGGAAAAATGAGGTTAATAGTTGACTTCAAGTCACATGATTAGAGAATGGCAAGGCTGGGTATCAGATCTGGGTGGGCTGGCTGCAGTGCCCACCTTCATTACCTCCCTTGCTATCCTGCAATAAAACATGAGCTCCCCTTCCTCCTCCTATCATATAGCTCCAGATGAGCCAGCATTAGTTCCTGTTGAGTAAAATGTCATTTTATTAGCTGAGAAAAGTGAATTCTGCATGCATACCCAGGCCTGGGCTATAATGCAGGAGAGAGAAAGCAGTGTTATGATTCCCAAGCAGTAGCTTCAGCCTGGCTCTGTACCTAAGTGCTCCAGGGTCAGCTGTCCGAGAGAAAGTGTGGTTGGCTGTGGCTCAGCTTAAGCTTTTTTCACTGGTGGTCTTAGCTTTTCTAAAGTAAAAGGGGCTGAGTCACCTTTGTACCCACACCTCCCCCAGCAGCAGCAGTATGGCAAAGTTCTTGCCAGAGACAAGCACGGTCTTCTTTTGAGGCCCTGGAGCTCAGCGGGATGAAGCTGAATACACTCTATTCCTTTGCTGGTGCTGCCATAAGAAAGTACCATGGACAGGGTGGCATAAACAATAGAAATAGATTTTCTCACAGTTTTGGGTCTTACCCCTGCAAGATCAAGGTGCTGGCAGCATTGGTTTCTTCTGAGGCCTCTCTCCTTAGCTTGCAAATGGCCATCTTCTCTCTGTGACTTCATGTGGGCTTTCCTTTGTGTGTACTTGTATCCTGATCTCCTCTTCTTAGAAGGACACCAGTCACACTGGATTAGGGCCAACCCTCAATTACCT
Source organism: Homo sapiens (assembly GCF_000001405.40). Taxonomy (NCBI): domain Eukaryota; kingdom Metazoa; phylum Chordata; class Mammalia; order Primates; family Hominidae; genus Homo; species Homo sapiens. The sequence goes on from NC_000014.9 coordinate 62,249,992, forward strand.
TTTGTAAAGGCCCTGTCTCCAAATATAGTCACATTGTTAGGCACTGGGGGTTAAGACTTCAACATATGAATTTTGGGAGGACGTAATTCAGCTCAAAACAGGACTTAATAACTGTAGTAGGTACTAATTATTGAATGTACCTGGTCTGCACTCAACACTTTTTAGATATTGTCACATTTAATCCTCAGAGTAAACTTCCACTTATTTTTAGGGGCAGCTCTCCTGCTGGGCCCACCACCATGGGGACATCCCCTTTACTGTATGTCCCTCTCTTCACTTGTGCAGAGATTGGCCACTGGATGCATGGTGATAAGGTGTCATAAAGCTGCCCTTGCATTGCCCAACTGTGTGTGTCTGGTCTCTGACAAGGCTGTGGCTTCAGGACTCCTGGCACTCTTTCTTGTTTTGCCCCATGTCTGAGCAGTGCTTGTGCCTTGCTAGGCAGGAGCAGCTCTTCCTTAAGTGCTCGCTTGAAGGAATGGAACTCAGTTTGCTGAGCCCAGTGAGCTCTCTCTTGGACTCACATGCATATTCTCTCTCTCACTCTCTCTCTCTTTCTCTTTCTTTGTGTGTGTGTGTGTATGTGTTTTGCTTGCCTGATTTTCTGTCATCAGATTGTTCCAGGAGCAGTGATGCTCTTAATTAAGCTGAGATCTGAGGTGCTTAAAATGCAAAATTCACAGGCAAGCTGGCTAATGCCTGAGGCTGGAAAAGGAAAAGGATGCTCTTAACTTTCAGAACCCTAGACGCATCACACCATAAAAACACATTAATTCCTATGGAGCTAGCTCACAGGACCAAAGAGTGAAATCCATTCGCAGTGAGAGGAGTTTATGACGAGCTAGACTACTGTGTGTCTTCTGCAAGCCAACTGGGACCTCAGGGGTTGCATTTAGCAATGAGGAGAGGCCACAAGGGGTCTCTTGGTATACCTCCCCTACCACATGAAGGTAGCCTGAACTCATGAGAGGATGAACCAGTGAGCTAATGAAGAAATCCCTAGGCAAGGAAGTTCTGGTTCTTAGAAAAGATGGGAGACCAAGAGCCCAACCATGGACCCAGCGATCACAAGTACATAAGGGGAGGTTGCAGTTGGCCTGGAAAAACCTTAGAATTAGGCAGAAATGGTCTTTAGTACTCACCTCCCATTGTTCAACACACAGGTTGAAATTCTTCCCTTTGACACAACTTAGCTTTGACTTCTCCATTTAGGACGTGGACTTTTCAGATATGGTCATATCACTCAGCTCTTGTCACTCAAACCCCCACTCATCCCCCTTTATTGCTGAGCAGATGTCTGCAAGTATCCACACCACTTCTGCTCCTCCTTCTCTTTCCTTGCTCCTTGGAAACGCTGCATGTGTTCTCTAATCTGTGTCTAGACTCTCTGGAGTTACTTAAATAAACATCCGTGCTCATAGGGTATTGACAAGAACTCCGGGCCCTCTGATCTTCCTGAGACAATGATCCCTTTGTTGTCAATCCAAAACAGAGCTCCCAAGTTGAGTGAGGTCTGTAGGAGGGCAGGGCGCAGGAATTGTGGTACAACAGTGGGGGGAGTTCCAGTTACCCCACAGTCCTCTATTTAGCTTCTGCTCATATCCAGTTGAACTGGACTTGGCATGACCTTTGCTTATGTATAAGGTGGTGTTATACCTACTAAGATAAAGCTGTATCTGTTTGGCAGGCCAACTATAAAAAACAAAAAAAAGGCACCCACTTTGGGAGTCTGTCCACTTAGTCCTGCCCAGGTAGTTGCCTGGCTTGCAGATAGTAGTAGAGTTCCCACTACTGTTCACATGGGCTGGGTGCTCTTGTGCAGAGCACAATTTGTATGACAGTTCAGGGCAGCCCTGGATCTAGGTCTCAGTGCAGATAGAGGGGCTATGAGTCCATTTATTCCCTCCACTATGCCCCATCTGTGTCCTGGATCCCCAAATAGTGCTCTCCCAGCTTCTCTTCCTTTTCAGCCTAGCTGAAAGCCTTTTGCACCTCCTGGGTGCTGGAACCCAAACCCACACTTGTTTATTTTGAAAGTTCTGGTGATTAGGTGACTTTGGTCTGCTAGTTGGATGGTTAGAATGTGATGGGAATGCAGATCTTTTGCCTTTATTGTCTCCAGAACCTGACTGTGTGAGCAGGAAAACCAGTCACAGCATCTCAATGACAGTATTCGTACAATCTGTGAAACAATTATTTTCCAATCAGGTTGTGCAGGGAGTGTGATATGCAGCTTGTCTTCTTGTGGGGAAGGATAGAACACCAAGTCACTGCCCAGTTCTGAGTAATTTCAGCCCCGAGCTCTGTCTAACCATGTGCTGCTGATCAGCCTGATACCAGAACATTGTGTCTTCCCCCTGCTTCATTATTTTCCAGGGATGTTGGGTGCTGGCCTGGTAGCCTTTGACCCCACTCATCCAGCTCATTTTTTGAAATAGACATTGACTGGTAAAGAAACACTTATCTCTCACTAAAACCCTTTCCTGAGTCAAAATTGCTTATTGTTCCCAGTGTCCTGGATACACCTGCAGATGTGCAGTGACACAGCCAGCGTGAAAAAACTGTAAAGCACATCATGTGTGTCTTTTGGGACTCCCTCTCCCTTACAGCAGTCATCTTTTTCTGCCTCCTAGGACTCCTCTCCCTTCTCTTTGTACCAGTCTGGATCATTTTCTTATTCTTCCCCATGGACAAACTGATCTCAAATAGGGAATTATCAGACAAACCAAGTGTTAACTGATAATGACTTAAGCCTTACTTCTCACAGCGTGCTGGCATTTTAAGTGGGGATTTGCCCCAAATGAATAAGGTCATAACCATTAAAAGAGAGGTGATATTCTTCTGGCACTTTACAAAACCAGGGTGCCTCTATTCTCTAGGCTAGGCCTACTTACTGGTACTTAAAAATAAGCAATGAGGTGGAAATTTCAGGACACCGAAAGACCTACAGGCCAGTCAGGTTGTACCGAATGACATTTGACTCTCTGTTCAGACAGTGCACACTGTTCATACAGTTTCATGCATCTTTCTGTTCTCTGTTGCTTTTTACGCAATATCTTTCTTTTCACAATTTGAACAGATCTCAACCCTCCAAATGCTTGGGTTGAAGGTGGATGAGGAAGGTTGGTTCACAAGCAGCCACTTGTTCACTATGCTCTCAGCCTTTCTGTGTAGTCCTCTGAGATGGACAGCATTGGCCATAAGGACAGGGTGATCTCATTTTCAGCATGTTTAACTCTGGACATGTTTTCTGTTCTTTAACAGCACATTAAACATCAGGGTGACACAGTTTTGAACTGAGATTTTGCACAGAAAATTTACAAGCATCTCCTTTTTTCTTTTGGCAATGATGTGAAATTTGTCTTTCTGAAGTAAATGGGCTTACCAGATCTTGATGAACTTTACTTGGCTTGAGAACAACGCTTAAGAGTCCTATTAATTCTATGGTTTTTTTCCCCCAAGCAAGAGCAATAGTTTACTAACTATTTTAGTTGTTAAGAGGAGGAAGAAGATTATATAAAAGGAAATTCAATTAAGTGCCTGTTAAAGTGAATAGAGTCTTTGATTTAGATGGGGGCCTCTGCCAAACCTCCTTTATTTAACAATATATCCGTAATTTTGTTTATTAAATTGAAAGCCTACAACGTGCCAAGTTATACACAACAAGCTGAAGTTATAAAGATGGAGACAATGCATTTTCTACTCTCAAGGAGCTTGTTTGTTATTGCAAAAGACTGAGTAGTCTAGGTGTCTGGGCTTCAGCTTCCCTAGTATAAAATGGGGGTAACAGCAAAACTGTACATTGGGCTGCTATGATGATTAAATAAGGTGAGATTGTAAAGAAATCAGGACATTTCCTGGCACATATTAAGTGCTTTATGCGTGTTTCAACAAAATACAAGCTAAAACGTGTGATAAGAACATCGACTGGGAATGTGCACATACACATGGGTGGGAAGAAACTGCTCCAGAAGGCATCAAGGGTTTAGAAGGGGAGAGTGTGATGGTTGGGGCTGGCTTCACCCATGGAAGTGTGGAGACTTTATCTGGGTGTTGAATGATGAGTAAGAGTTCAGTATATAGAGAAATAGGGTGTTCCCAAGAAAAGAAAGAACACAGATGTTGTAACTCAAAGAGCCCTGTCTAGAACATTCTGCGCAGAAGCCTTCCCTGACTACTTGCTCACCCCACTGGATTAGTTCAAATCAGGCACTCTGCAGCACTTGGTACAGACCTCTTTCTCATCATTATCTCAACATTTTCTAGCCATTTTCCTCTAATATTTATTCAACAGCATATATTGAGTACCAGCTTTGTGTCAGGCCTTGCACTGGGCTGTCTGTTCTCAGGAACTCGTAGAAAAATAACAGATTTGGCTGGGTTTCGTGGCTCATGCCTGTAATCCCAGCACTTTGGGAAGCTGAGGCAGGCAGATCACGAGGTCAGGAGTTTGAGACCAGCCTGGCCAATATGGTGAAACCCCCTCTCTACTAAAAATAAAAAAAAATTAGCCAGGCGTGGTGGTGCATGCCTGTAGTCCCAGCTACTCAGGAGGCTGGGGAAGAAGAATCGCTTGAACTTGGCGGGTGGAGGCTGCAGTGAGCCGAGATTGCGGCACTGCACTCCAGCTTGGGCAAGAGAGTGAGACTCCGTCTCAAAAAAAAAAAAAAAAGATGCTTTCTCTCTGGCACCAGGAGTTCCCATAGCACACTGCTTGGCTCAGTATAGCAGTTTAAAAGAACACTTTTGAAAGAATTTATGTATGCATTAGTAAGGTATCTTTCTAATCCCCAGGTTTTTGATACTTAAAGAATTGTCTTTAACTGAGAAACTCAGGTATATAGGGCTTACCGTCAGGGGAATAACTGGGCAAAAAAAGATAACTCTTGTGTTCACTATTTCTGGGATCTGTTTATTCAAACCTGTGTAGAGTTGACTTTTTAATTTCTTAATTTTATTTTCAACTTTTTATTTGGTAGAGACAGGGTCTTACTATGTTGCCCAGGCTGGTGTTGAATTTCTGGCCTCAAGAAATTCTCCTGCTTCAGCCTCCTAAAGAGCGGGGATTACAGGTGTGAGCCACTGCCCCTGGCCAAAGAATTGATTTTTATAAAGAGCTCGTAGCACCTCAAAGGAGGAAGAACCATTGAATATCATTAGTATCTCCTTAGGAGAACTTTTTAAATGATCTGTCAATTTAGCTGAACAATTACATGTGGTAGCTGTTTGCTGGAGCCAGCTTGTGGATTCTGAAGTCTGTGTCTATTTTATATAGACTCTGTCTGTTTCATCATTGGGGTCACAACAGTATTTTGAAAGGAAGAGACCCTCTGAAGTGCGATTGGGGGATGGAAGTGTGCGTGTGCCAGGGCTGGGGTGTTTGTAAGCAGGATCACAAAGCTGCTTGGCAATTTTCAATCTCAGGAATCCTGTGTTAGGGGAAATAACAGCCATGGAACAGTTCTTTAAAACAATTCAACATTTCTCATTTTGCCCTGTTGTAGTGAAGATGGGTTTTACTCATGACTATCTCAGTTACAGCAGAAAACTCAGATATTTTAAATCAGATCATGAAGAGCAGCCAGGTGTGGTGGCTCATGCCTATAATCCCAGCACTTTGGGAGGCTGAGGCCGGCAGATCACCTGAGGTCAGGAGTTCGAGACCAACCCAGCCAACATTGGGTCTGTCTCTACTAAACTCTGTCTCTACTAAAAATACAAAAATTAGCGTGGCATGGTGGCGGGCAACAGTAATCCCAGCTACTCAGGAGGCTGAGGCAGGAGAATTGCTTGAACCCAGGAGGCAGAAGTTGCAGTGAGCAGAGATCGCGCCACTGTACTCCAGCCTGGGTGACAAGAGTGAGACTCCATTTCAAAAAAAAAAAAAAGCCCAAGGGTCTTGTGTTTTGGAGACTCATCTCTTAATCTACAGTTAGAGAGCACACATCTGTGCAAATTCTGCTTTTTTTTTGAGACAGAATTGTTGGAGCTAGCATTTTATATTTTGGATTCTATTAAATCACAAATGTATAAGATATAATGATAAAATGTAAAAGATATAACAACATACAAGATATATTAATACAACAACATACAAGATATATTAATACATTGTACTTTGTAGAAGCTATCTCTGTGGATTATCTGAGTGTGACCTATCATCTCTTTTTCCTTCCTTTCCTTCTGTCCTTCCCTGCCTTCCACCTTCCTTTCTTCTCTGTATAGCTTTTTGTTGTTGTTGTTGTTGTTGAGGAGTCTCAAATTATTGGGACATAAAGACAAAATAATCTTTTACTCCCAACAACTAACCTCAACTGTACCTTACGGATCCTTAAGAACATCAAAATCTGATTCCATAACTTTTGGGGCATGGCTACCAAAAAAGTTTCATTCAGTTTTTTTAAGGCTTATTCTATTTATTTAAAAACTGAAATTTCATATTTAGCTCAAAGCCACCCTCCCTTCCCCATTTCAGACTAGATTTTCATTACTACCCTTGTTCATACTCCCCTTACCCACCACCTTCCGTCTGCTTTTACTCTGAGGTTGGGCTGGCTGGAGAGACAGCATGATGTGGCTTCTGTACTCTCCTTTGTGGTCATGACCAGCCAGTGTTCAAGCTCTTGTCTTGATGTGGACAGGTGGGGCCGGCTTCCCTGGGCACTAGTGGTTCCCTGAGGGTCTGTGGCATCATGTGGGTGTTCATGGGCAGCAGCATCACACCACATCCCTCTGACATGCACTCTTCTTTGTACCACTGTGAGCTCCTCATCTCATCTACTCTTCATGGCTATCATATCTGGCGTCTGTTGCTAGGAAGTGATTTGGCTTCTGTAACTTTTAGGATCTCAGGGAGCAGGAATTTAGGGAAGAGACCCATACCATATAACAGTCCCACGCTTGTAACATGCCTGGTGGTTTGGCAAAGATTCAAGCACAGAATGATTGAATATTTCAGTATTCCTGTCTTTCAGTTCCCCTAAAACTCAAGTGATTATTCTCAGAGCCTCTCTTGGCTTTATTGTGGGTTTATCATCTCATGGGAAGGTCAGGAGAGGAGAGATTTCTCTTTTCCGGAACTCTAAATTTCAAAGACTAGCTTTCTCCATCCAGTTGCCTGCTTATGTACTGGGGTCTTGAAATATTGGGATGATCCTGTTATGCAGGTTCTGTTTAACAAGCTTCTATTATCAAGCCCCACTGGTGGAATGTGGCTTCCCTGGCAGCCTGTAGTTCTCTTGTCCTTGAATATAGAGTACCCAGAATGCTTTCTAGGAAAATAGAAAAATCCCCCTTTCACCTAACAGGATCCTAATAGAGATTGATTCATTCGTCACCTATTCCTTAGGCTAAGCATTGTGCTAAACACTGGCAATAGAGCGATAGTTCCTATTCTCACAGTGTTTATGGTTTAGTGGGGAGACGTCAACAGATAGAATATGGTAGAGATGCACTGAGAACAAAAGGAGAGGTTCCAGGGTACAGGGGATTGGAGCTAGGAAAAGGATTCAGAGGAGATTGCTAGAGGTGAGGCTGATAGAACGACCAAATCTTGAAGGGTGTTGGTATGGCAGACAAGGTAAATAGGGCATTCCTGGCACAGGAGATGACGCTTGCAAAGTCTCAGAAGCTTGATAGTGTCACTTAGTCAAGGAAATGGAAGGAAATCCATATAATCCAGGGGTGGGTGTTCCAAGGGAAATGGCAAGGATGATGCAGCAGAGGGAGGCAGGTGAGAGCAACTTCATAGAGGGTCTTGGCTACTATACTTAGTTACCAAGAACACTAGAAGAATCTAATGGTGGCTAGAATGGTGATCACATATTACATGATCAGATGTGTATTTTCTAAAGATTTCTGAAAGAGCTAAGGAGAGTGGAACCAGTTTTTGTATGAGCAGGTGGATGGTGATAAACACTGGAAGCAGGAACACCAATAAGCAGGTGATTTTCATAATTTGCTTAGGAAATTATAGTTTGTGCACAAAGGCAGCAATGGTAAGGATGGAAAGAAGGAAATGAACATGAGAGATACTGATTTTTTTTTCAGACAGAATTGACCCAATTCAGTGACTGAGTGTGGAGAGAAGAGAGACAGGGGCCTGTGAGAGCTCTCAGATTTCTGGCCTGGGTCATGAATGTTGTGGTGGTGTTCATGGGGAGAGGACATCAAGTCGAGAAACTCATTTGGAAGGAAAGGTGATTTCAGTTTTGGATGTGTTGGATTTGAAATACCTGTGGCATGTGGACGGGGCAATGTTTATAGGCACTTGAATAAACTAACTCAAAGGAGATGGAAGAGGGCTGAAGACACAGAAATAGGTGGGATAGCGCATCGGTGCCTGCTGATGCCTTCACACCAGCTGCCTGGGGACCAGCAGAGATGAATAAGACCTAGACAACTGATTTTATGGATAAATTCACATGATCCTTTAGAAACATTTGTAAGATTATTACAAATACATTGGCAAGTAAAGAAAAAAGTCTTTGGTTAGGCTACTTGTTTTGAGTTTTGGGTCCAAATACATGGTCTGAGGTAGCGAATGACATCTCAAGGTCCCTTCGCATATGAGGATTGCAGGAGCCCTGGTGAACACAGGGAGGTATTTTTAAGTGAAGCTCTATCATACAATTACAACTGTAGGACAGAAGAGAAATCAGACTTAGAGCTGAGATAGCATTTTTCCCCTCCCCTTCGATTTCAGCTTTCATTGAATTTGGAAATCATATCTTTCTTTATGTGGGTCAAGGACTTGAGCAGAAAAGGCTAAGTGAGCTCAGTGCAAAACAGCATGTTCAGATGTTTGCATTAATCCCCTCAAATCACTCACCCGAAGAAAGTAGAAAGAAAAGACAAAAATGAAGTTCTTGTTAACAGATGGTTATCTTTTTGCCCCCCCCCCCTTTTTACTTTAAACTTAGCTACTACAATCATTCTGAAACCATGCTTCTTTGGTAAGTGGATAACTGGCATTAACGACTTTTGTTGTCATAGCTATTGAATTCCCTGCTTCCCCAGAATCTAAACTTCCTGGGAAAAGTATCAGATAGTCTCAGGATTTCAGTTTCTTTCAGTTGTTCACAACCGGGTAAATACACTGTAAGTAGAACAATCCTTTATGAGTATATAAGCCAAGCAGAACAGTTTAATTAATTAATAATAATTCTATGTTTAATTTTATAGAAAAATCTTAGGATTCTAACAGATAAATCAGCATAGGACATAAACATTCATTTTTCAGAAAAAAAATTTAGAGAAGAATATAGGAAACTTCTATACATACCTAGTCGTCAGAGGCCTAAAATATAAACAAAATTTAAGATGCATTTAAAATCGTATTAAATTACAAAAGCATCTTTTAAATGATAAATTTCAATCCTGAGAAGTATTTGATGAAATGTTTTCACCATTATTCTCTAGTGGCAGTATAAACGGCAGAACGGTTTTGTAAGTAACAAAATAGGATACTTTAAAAGCTATAAAAATGTTCACATTATTTGGCTTAGCAATCCCACTCTGGGTGTTACTTTAAGAAAATACTCTAGAAGAAATATAAAATCCACATACTAGAAATTGTCATTGTTGTGTTAACTATTAGGAGCAATTGGAAAAAATCTCAAGGCCCTAAATGAATCCAAATTTGATTTAGCAAATTATGGTATTTGACTCAATATAAAGTTAAAAAGATTTATAATTGTTTAGACAATATAGAAACCAGAAAACTGGTTATAGATACTTCAGGAAGAAAAAAAAGAAATGTGAAGAAATTTTGTTTTACCTTGTAATTCCAACCACCAAACAAAAAGTAAGTTCTGCTCTCTGTTTCTCTTTGACTGGAAAGTGAGCGCTTCACAGCTAGAAACTCTGTCCTAGTCATCATATTTCTCCAGCGCTCAGTGAATGTCTGCCAAATTGAATCTAATCTGTGCAAATCAAATATGTACAAATGGAATGGGTAGGGAATTTAAAGAAACTTTTCACTGAAAAATTTCCTAATGCCACTTCATATGTGCCATCATATGAGACACAAAGATATAAAATATTTTCTGAAATTTTTAAGGATAAAATGATTGTTGGGAAAGGTACATTTCATGACAGTATCATATATTTTACAGGAAATATATTTTATATATTTTTATGGGAAATTTATTTGTTCATATACATGTATTAGAGTTTAGAAAATCATATGTCATGGATATATTATGAGTATGATCATGTATATTCTAGTCCTGAAAAAGTGTAAAATCATAGTTATTTGTACATAGTTGTTTGTGTACAGCAAATATGTTGTGTGTCAAGTAGTAACAGGCAAAAAAACACAATACATTACTGGTAAATGAAGTTTTATATCATGTGGTTCTATAAAATCAAATATTGGTAATACATTGCAGAAAATTACGTTAACTTATAAAAAGCAAACTAAGTTAAATGAGTACATTTAATGAATCCTACTATATTGCATATATTACATGGAGCCAAAACTAATATATCACAAATACTGGTGCAAAGTAAATGGAAACATAAAATAAATTTGCATGAATTTCTATGCAGAAGTGCTTAGTACCTGTTCAGGGTTTCTCAGTCTCAGTGCTGTTGGCATTTTTGGGCTGGATAAGTCTGTCATGTGGTAGAATGTTTAGCATGTTGTAGAGTGTTTAGCATGCTGTAGAGTGTTTAGCAGCTTCCTGGACTCTATTCATTAGAGGCCAGTAGCAACTTCACCCAAATATGACAACTAAAAGTGTCTCCAGACATTGCCAAATATCCCTTGGGAGGCAAAATCACTCCCTGTATTAACCAGGGATCTCCAAAGAAACAGAACCAATAGGATACCTACCTACCTACCTACCTACCCACCTACCTACCTATCTACCTGTGAGGTGATTTACTATGTGAATTGGCTCAGATGACAAGGGAGGCTAAGGAGTCTTGTGATATGATATCTGCAAGATAGAAAACCAGGAAAGTCAGTGGTGTAATTCAGTGTGAATTAAAAGGCACAAGAACTAGAGTAGGTAATGGTAAAAGTCTAAGTCTGAGTTTGAAGGCTCAGGAACTAGGAGCACTGATGCCCAAAAGCAGGAGAAAATGGATGCCTCAGCTCCAACAGAGAGAGCAAATTTGCCTTACACTGCCATTTTGTTCTATTTGGACTCCCAGTGGATTGGATGAGCCTACCCACATTGATGAGCTTAATCTTGTTTACTCAGTCCAAGGATCCAAATGCTAAGCTCTTCCAGAAACATCCTCACAGATTGCTATGGTTTGAATGTTTTTGTTCCTCCAAAATTCATGTTGACACATAATTCCTAATACAGCAGTATTAAGAGGTGGGGGCTTTATGAAGTGATTAGGCCATGAGGACTTTGCAGCCCTCTTGAATAGGATTAGCGACTCTTCAAAAGTGCTTGAGGGGTGACTTCATTCACTCCATGCCTTCCACCACGTGAGGACCCAGCAACAAGACACCATCTTGTAAGCAAAGAGCAAGCCCTTACTAGACACTGCATCTGCTGGCACCTTGATCTTGGACTTCCCAGCCTCCACAACTGTGAGAAATACATTTGTATTCTTTGTAAGTTACCCAGTCTAAGATATTTTGTTATGGCAGCATGAACTCAACACACAGCACAGACAAATATTATTATATGAGAACATAATAAAAATAGAAAAAAAATTTGATGAATTTAAATAGAAATATTATGGTAGTGCCTCCATTACTTTTGACCTACCAATTATATAGTAGAAAAATATTTAGATCTAACATGTTCTGGATATATTCCAATCTCTGTCTCATGGCAGATGGTAGGCTCTATTTTTTGTTAAGAAAATTGCTGTTAGAACATGAACTTCACAGGGGTGATGTTTGTGTTTTGCTTTTAGTTTATTCTAGTCCTGATCTTGAGTGCTTGGATATAATATAACTTTGATTCTTCCCTCACCCACTTTCCTCCTCCTTTTTCTCTTCCTCCTCCTCCTCCCTTTTTCTCTCTCTCTTTCTTGTGTATCGGTAGAAAAATGCATCTTACATTCTTGTAAATATTATAATTTTAAAAATGTGATTAAATAATTTTAACCTCTGCAATGTACATGAAGATGCTCTTCTGTCTGTAGACACTAGAGTATCTTTCTTGTAGACCTTCAGCCTTCAGAGATCTTGTAGACTGTGGAGGTCATAGCACTGTCAGAAAACATAGACTTTGAAGTCAGCTAGGCATGTTTTGAAGCTTTGTTTCTGAAATAAATTAGCCAAGTATTGTGAGAAAACTTCTTAATCTCTGAGTCTCTCTTATCATAACAATTGGGTTAATAATACTGCATTATAGAGTGATTTTGGAGAGCCAAAGGATGATTCTCCTGAAGTACCTGGCACTGTATCCAGGCATACAGTGGGCAGTTATGTTAATTACCTTCACATCTTCTTTCTTTTATGAAATACTGCAGGTCACAGAGCACCAGGGCTTCGAAAACAGCCATACCCTGCTGTATTAGCTTGCTAAAGCTGCCATAACAAAATATCACAGATGGGGTGGCTTAAATGCCAAGTTAATTTACTCAGGATTCTTGAGGCTGGGAGCCTAAGATCAAGGAGCCAGCAGGGTTGGTTCCTTCTGAGGCTTCTCTGCCTGGCTTGTAGGTGGCCATCTTTTCCCTGTGTCTGTGTGTCATCTTCCTTCTGTCCATGTCTGCGTCTAATTTTTTTTTCTTGTAAGGACACTGGTCATAGTAGACTGAGGCCCACCCTAATCATGTAATTGTAACTGAAATGATACTCTGTAACCCATTTATACTGGAGGTTGCAATTTTTTGAATTGCAGACATGTGTGAAAAATCAGACTTTGGTGATGACCTTGAGCAGTAGGACATAAATAACTCCCACATGCTTAGTGTTCCAATAATGGAACACTAGGCCTAAATGGGTTTTAAAGATCCCATCTCCAAATATGGTCACTGTATTAGTCTGTTCTCATGCTGCTAATAAATACATACCCAAGACTGGGTAATTTATAAAGGAAAGAGGTTTAATTGACTCACAGTTCCACATGGTTGAAGAGGCCTCCCAATCATGGCTAAAGGTAAATGAGGAGCAAAGTCACATCTTACACGGTGGCAGGCAAGAGAGCTTGTGCAGGGGAACTCCCATTTATAAAACCATCAGATCTTGTGAGACCCATTCACTACCACAAGAATGGTATGGGGGAAACTGTCCCTATGATTCAATTATCTCTACCTGTCCCGGCCCTCAACACATGGATGTTATTACAATTTAAGGTGAGATTCTGGTGGGGACACAGCCAAACCATATCAGCCACCTTCTGAGGTTCCCTGGAGATTTGGATGTCAACATGCAAATTTTGGGGAAGACAAATTTCAGCCCATGCCCTGCCCTCCTCCTCATGTTGAACTTTAGAGAAGTGCTCCAAAAAGAAACTCTGCTGGGACTCTGATAAACCCACGTTAACAGTACCCCTCATTCACTATTAGTTGCTTTTTCCTATGTGTTCTAACAGTTTTGTCAGTAATTGCAAAAGCACACACTTAGCTGACATGTGTTTAGTGAATATGCTATTGATCCTACCATTTATTCTTTTAATCTTTTACTCACACAGTTAGTGGGTCTGTCCACAAATATCTATTGAGAATGCACTGTGTCCCAGGCACTACACTAGGCCTTTAGAGATGAGAAGAACACAAAGTATTTGCTTTTGGGAGCTCAGAGTCATGAGAGACACAAGGAGGGAGAGAGAAAGAGACTCAGAAATAGACAATTCTGAAACAATGTAGTTGTGCAAGAGAGAAAAGATATTATATCAAAATGAAATAATTATAGTGTTACATTAATATTATAAATGAAGTTGGAAAATTTCCTGTGCAGGGTGAGACTGAGAGTTAAGGGTTAGGTTTTGAGAACTACAGTTCAGCCATTCCTTATCCACATCCTAAAATAAAGCTAATCTTAGACTATCAGCTTGCTTATCATAAGGATGAAAGTCAGAAGGTTAGATAATTAGGAAATTGGACTAATCTCTATACCAAGTAAATAAACTGAACTTTTATACTTTTTTTTTTTTTTTCCGAAATAGAGTTTCGCTCTTATTGCCCTGGCTGGAGGGCAAAGGCACAGTCTTGGCTCACTGCAACCTCCGTCTCCCAGGTTCAAGTGATTCTCCTGCCTCAGCCTTCCAAGTAGTTGGGATTACAGGCACCTGCCACCACATCTGGCTAACTTTTGTATTTTTAGTAGAGATGGGGTTTCACCATGTTGCACAGGCTGGTCTTGAATTCCTGACCTCAGATGATTCGCCCGCCTTGGCCTCCCAGTGCTGGGATTACAGGCGTAAGCCACCACACCTTGCGAACTTTTATAATTATAAAGAGGTAATTTATACTTAAAAGTTTATGTTAAATTTATAGGTAACAGAACTATAGATGCAAGATCTTGTACTCTTGAAGCCATATGTCAAATACAAAAGTGCTGAAATACTAAAAAATACCCCAAAATACTAAATACAAATACTGAAAAAGTGCTAAGGATGTTGAGATGCAAAATTACAAGAGTGCTGGAAGGCAGCAAGAATAAAGTCAACATTGAATCTTGCATCCCCTAAGCCAGCCAAATTGCCAGGCAGCTTTGGTTCTGTGGGCTTTAGGTAGGGGGGATTTTGAGGGGATCTGGTTCAGAGGTATCAGATGTTTTGCTTGTTGGTCATATTTTGGGAAGTACTAGGTAGTAGCCCCTAAGAAAGACTCAAGAATGAACTATAGCGGGCTCCTAGAGGACAAACGGGAGAATACTGGAGTAACCAGGAGTAAAAAGATTTCTGTGGGTGTTTGCAGGGGAAGAGGGAGTGGGTATCTTCCATAGCCACTGTCCTCAGTGGCTTCTATTAAGATTGCAGATATGGGTAAAGATTCAATTTCAAATGAGTTTTTAAGAGCTCTATTTTACCACTTTTTTTTTTTTTTTTTTTTTTTCCTGAGACAAAGTCTCGCTCTGTCACCCAGGCTGGAGTTCAGTGGCATGATCTCAGCTCACTGCGATCTCTGCCTCCTGGGTTCAAGTGATTCCCCCACCTCAGCCTCCTGAGTAGTTGGGAACACAGGCACACACCACCACGCCGGGCTAATTTTTATATTTTTTGTAGAGAGGGAGTGTTGCCGTGTTGGCCAGGCTGGTCTTGAACTCCTGACCTCAAGTGATCCGCCCACCTCGGCCTCACAAATTCTGGCATTACAGGCATAAGCCGTCGTACCCCGCCTTAGTATGTCATTGAAAAGAGCCTGCTAATCATTTTCTCTGAGAACTGGAAAGTTCTGAGGAATTGTGAATGTTTCTGGATGCAGTAGTTATTTGCAAACTCCACAATTATCAGTAAGTAATTGTTATCTATAAAACCATTGTAGTCCACTCCAACTGAAAATGTCTTTAATCTCACCTTTTGAATTGATCTACTTCTGAGCAGTGAACAGAGATGCCTAGGTCTGCTCTTCTACCTTTCCTGAGAAGTCCCTGGGCAGGGAAATAAGTTTCTATTTAAGTACAGCATCTGGAAGGAGGTAACGTACAGGATGGTATGAGGGGGGTCAGAATGAAAAGGGTACTGTCCCTTGCCTACTTCATTATTTAATGACTATGGACATTGGGTGTTATTCCCATGGGATGGTACTAACGCAGTAGTTGTTTAATTATGATGCTCTGAAGCTGAGTGGATGTTTGCAAAATATTTGGGTACCTTGGAAAAGTGGCATTATTTGTATGTAAAATATTACTAAATGTATTGTTTGCCAAATAATTCAGAGAAAGGTTCAGCTGACTTTCTTTGGTTCGCTGATTTAGAAACTTTTTCTTCAAAGTAGAAGTAATGATCCTTTTGCTTAAATGTAGCTCTGGGCACAGTTACAAATTTTCAGCATGTTTTTGGCTTCTATTACTCTACATCAGCTATTCAGCAATTTGGCATTTTTGTTGTTGTTGTTGTTATTGTTGTTTTTTCCTAATGCAAAATGTTATTTGTTAAGCATTTTTCCTGCTAATAAAATATCACTTTTAGTGACTCTGCTACTGGGGCTAAAAATACCTTTGCTGATATTTAAGTAGAAGGTTGAAGAGGGGAGCTGATATTTTGTATTTTGATAAATTTTAGTTGAATAAAAGAAAGCAAATAAGTAGGAGAATTTTACCTCTTGTGTATGGGAATGTTACATGCTCTGTTTATACCTATATCTGGTAATGTTCCTTAACACTAATATGCAATTTGTAGTTTAAACTGTAGAGCATAGTGTACTCTTTCTCTCTTTCCCTCCTTCCTTTTCCTTCCACAGATAATTTTTAAAGTACCGATTATATGTAAGATACTTTCTGGCATCATTCAGATAATGTCTGCTCTTCTTATGAGATACATACAGTCATTTATTTTTAAATAGGGAAACTCACATTTTATGGTTTAATCAGTGGATGAGTCAATAGTTATTGAACAAACTGTCACTAATATTCTAAAGAAATAAATTTCACATATTGATCTTGAGATTTATAAACTTAATGGAGAGCCATGAAAATGTCATAAATATATCCATAAATAAAATCAGTGTTGGATAGTTAGTGTAGTAGAAGCAATGTGATATAGAGGACTTATTGACCACCTCATTCCAATGATTCTTCAAAGGATAAAAGTATCTGATTTCTTACCTCGGGATCCAGGTGTTAGTTTCTGCTTATTTTGAGATAAAATAACTTATTTTCAACACTTCTATTTGCTTATGCATTCACATATATTTCTATATTAAATATAGAGTTATCTCTCCATTAAATATCTCTC
This sequence comes from Homo sapiens, assembly GCF_000001405.40. Taxonomy (NCBI): domain Eukaryota; kingdom Metazoa; phylum Chordata; class Mammalia; order Primates; family Hominidae; genus Homo; species Homo sapiens. The sequence goes on from NC_000014.9 coordinate 62,266,809, forward strand.
CATACAGTTTGAAGTACATCACCTCAAATAATGTATCAAACTCCTACTCACCTACAAATGGACACTCCTATGTATTCTATGAAGTACACTAAATGGACAGTATTTGTGTTCTCTAAATGTTCACATCTTTCATAATTGACCCCTAAAAATGTGATTAAGGCCCTAGCCAAGAAATATTCAGGATATATAAAAGTGAAATATTTTGCACATTATAATCTTATGCTGCATACATTTAAAATAGGTATTAAGGATCTACTAAAATGTAGGGAGACATTGGATTTTTGTGTAGGATAATAAAAAGTCTTTGATTTCAAAGAGCTTTGAACTAATTTAGGAGAACCAGGACCTATACACTTTAGAGGCGAAATCATTCAGAAGTGAAAATAACTGTATGCAGCTTTGAGAAAAGAAATGTCACAAGACAGGATGATAAGCTTGTCAAAAGGGTCATCCAGAGAGGAGAGAGACTATGAGACATAGTTCAGGGCTGAGCTAGACACAGCACTGTGAACTGTCAGTGGGAAGAGAGAGTTCTTCTGATCCTCAGAGGATAACCATCATAGAAATAGTGCAGAGGAGTGGTGAAGGCTTCCATGCAGAATGAATGATGTGAGCAGAATTGAGCGAGGCTGAAATATTAGCCAAACTGGGAGAAGCCATTTTCTGGTAGAGAGTAGGTGGGAGAAAGTGAGATGGCAGATGAGGACCAGGTTGAGAAGAGGCTTGAATAGTCAAGCAGGGAGTATTGCCTTTATTCTGCCAATGCCGGACAATCCTAGTGATGATCATGAGCAGGGAAGTGACTGGCCACAAAGTGCAGGAACGTAATAATGAAAGTATTTTTGATTAAGAGCAAGCTTGAAGTAAGAGGTACCTTTTCATCTTTGTGATTCCAAAGATGATAATTCAGAGTATTTTCCAGGGTGTGGCTTTTGCAGGCAACTTATAGTTCTCATTACCTGTGTTTTGGGATAGTTAGTATTTGGGATTGCCATTACTTATTTTTAATTCACCCCAAAGGACATTTTCCTATGTCCCTTTTCAGGTTAGCACATGAGCTAGGGAGAAAGTTAGTGCAAAGTCTAAGCAACAGGTTCACTGGCTCCGAGAATATGTAACTATGTATGTATGTGCTTATGTACGTACATGGTTGTATATGCATGTATTTAAGTATGTATGTACTAACAGAGATCAACTTCTCCTGTCCCCATCCTTCTGTTCTCCAAATTATAGAGACTTTACCGAGTTTTGGAAGACATCACAAACTTAGCATATTGTTTTACAAACTGACTCCCAAGGTCCATATTGTTTAAGCTGTCCCTCTGCCATAGCAATTCTTTAGAGTCTAGCCAAGAGATGCCAAGAAGAAGAAAGGATCCAAAGCGGGGGCAGGGGGAACTCTTGGTCTTGATACTTATCTTTTAAGATAGAGAAATATATTTAGTGGTCTTTTATTACATTCCTCTAACTTGACAAAGATTGGTAAGAAACAGAGGAGAGAAAAGTCTGTATCCTATGAGTTGAGGAGTGTTAAGAGAAAGTCCCTCCAAACAAGGTGCAACTGAATTGATTCTAATTTCTTAGAATTGTATTAGTTTTCTAGGGTTGTCATAATGAAACACCAGAGACTGGGTGGCTTAAAGACCAGAAAATAATTTTCTCAGCTCTGGAGGGTGGAAGTCCAAGATCAAGGTGTCAGAAGGTTTGGTTTCTTCTGAGGCCTCTCTTGTTGGCTTGCGGATGGCAAACGTGCATGTGTGCATATCACCCTGGTGTCTCTTCCTCATTTATGAGGACACCAGTCATGCTGGAGTAGACCCCCTCCATCTAATGACCGCATTTAGCTTTAATTATCTTCTTGAAAGACCTATTTCCAAATACAGTCACATCCTAAGGTACCGGGGGTTAGGGATTCAACATAGAAATTTGAGGGGAGCACAATTTCCTAACAGTTGTCTATATACAATTTGCCTTGTTCACAATTGACAATGAACAAAAAGAGAGAAACAATCAAAACCATATTGTTTCCAGATAGTGAGACTTACTTACTACTGTTCTCTTTCTGAAAATAAAAAGAGCCATTACTTATGTTTAATTCACCCCAGACTATAAATAAATAGGCCATAAAGTGTCACTGTTTTATAAAGAACCAAGGAATGTTTCTCTTACATACCATCCTGCTTAAATCCTCATAAGTGCTTCTTGTGAACTCATTTTCTTTCACACTTCAGATGAAACTCTCAGCTATGAAACGCAGCAGCTAAAAGCCTTCAGTTTCTCATTGGTCCCACAAAGCCTAACCTATGAACTACATTATCAAACAAACAAGTCCAGGCCTAGAGGAAATTGGCCCATTCTTAAGAAAACCCAAACTTTTAATTAAAATGGTAGTATAGTAGTTCCCCCTCCACCCTCTATCCTTATCTATGGTGTCAGTTACCCATGGTCAACAGTGGTTCAAAAATAGTAAATGGACAATTCCAGAAACAGAAATTCATGTTTTAAATTGTGCACTGTTCTGAGCAGTGGTGATGAAATCTCGCACTTGCCCACTCTGTCCCACATGGGATATGACTCGTCTCGTGGTCTGGCATTTCCACACTGTATACGCTACCTGCCCGCTAGTCACTTAGTATTCTTCTTAGTTATCAGATTCACTGTGGTGGCATCATAGTGCTTGTGTTGATGCAACCCTTATTTTACTGAATAATAGCCTCAATGTGCAAGAGTACTGCTGCTGGCCATTCAGAAGTACCAAAGCGAAGCCATAAATGAGGGTGAAAAATTATCATAGGTAGGTATGCATAGGAAAATACAGTATGTATAGGATTTGGTACTGTCCCTGGTTTCAGGCATCCACTCAGGGTCTTAGAACATATCCCTGTGGATTGTCTGGGATGAGGGCGTCTAGCATGTCTCTAGGCTCTCAAAAAATTTTGCCATTACACATTGTCAGATGTAGGTAATTTTAGGGAGAAATAGTAAAAACACCAATTACTATTGAAACTCCCACAGGCTGATAAATGGCAAAATACGTTAAGCCTAACACAAATTTTTCAGTAAAATTGTTTTTCACAAATTTCTTCTAAGTCTAAAAGAGAAGGCTTTGCTTACCAGTATTGGATATGTATATTATACTTCAATGTACTTGTTATTTATTTCCCAAGATTATTTACTTGTGATTTATTCTCATTCATTGTATTTTTTCATCATATATTTGAAAATTGTACATCATCCAATAATGTACCAAAACACGGAGCCATGATATCTGGATATTGAACACGTGTTTTCTAGAATGCAACTGGTGATAGAAAGTGACAACTTATTGTCTTTGCATTCAGCAAGGTCCTTTCGTCTTTTTCATTCAGATGATTCAGTGCTTATTGCAAAAAACATAATTGAGAGGATACCAGATTTATTTCAGCAATTCTATGGATAAAGTCCTTTCGAACTCTAGATAGTAGTCTCTAAGTTGCATATGTATAGTAAGATAATGTAAGCAATATACTTGAATCTTAGTATTGAGGCTTTGCTATTCATGAAATATATAACCTGAATTTTTTTAAAAAATCAATGAATTTGATCATATCTTGGAACCTCATTTCACTCTCTCTGGTGTTGTCATGGCAACAGGAAAGCCAGGGTGCTATGGGGAGCTGTGATTTGAGACTTCTGCTACAGTTATTCCTGTGTGTGGTCCAGAGAGAAAAAAATAAAGTGATGGTGCTTGATTTTTAAAAATTATATTTAATATGCATTATGCTAATATAGCAGTCATGGAGGATTCACACTCTTAAAAATGCCCAGTTTTGTCTTTTGTCTTTTTACCCATTAAGTTGGGTTCGGGTTTACTTTTTCCTGTTTAAGTCCAGTTCAGTGACTATGAGAATTATTTTTGATATGAATAGTATATAGTTAGTTATTAGGTCTTGAAACAAATAGGATGGATAATATAAGATTCAAACAATTGAATTTATTAAATGGTTATGTTAAACATTTGAATTAATTACAAATGCTTTATAAAACTGTGAGGTGAGCTTTGGCTATAAATCCTGCCCACCAATGATATGGGCAGCTCATGGTCTTAGTCCACATTATTGAGACCCTGTGCCTGCCTGTCTGTGGCTCCATGTCCAGTTTACATGATATGACAGCTTTACCACTTCACATGTAAATTCTGGTAATTCCCTTTTACTTGTACCTTTACTTGATTCTTTCTTTGCTTTCCTTCCTTCAATCCATCCTCTTCCCTTCCCCATCCATCCTTTATCCTTCCCTCCCCCATCCATCCTCCATCCTTCCCTCCCCCATCCATCCTCCCTCTCTCCATCCTCTTTCCATCCTCTCACCCTCTCTCCTTTTCCTTACTCCCACCCTCTCTCCTTTTCCTTCCTGCCATCCCCTCCTCTCACCTCCCCTCCTCTCCACTCCCCTTTCCCTTCCCCTTCCCTTCCCATCTTTCTCAGATGGGAAGGGAAAAAAAGCATATCCCAGATGCTTTATTTGGGATATTTATTGCATTAAATGTACTTGCTGCTCTGTACTGTCCAGCTGCAGGCTGCTTTTACTCTTCTAAGTAGGTTAAATTAACTTCCCTTTGTCCCCACCTTCATTCTCCTACCCCTCCCACAAACCTCTTCCCCAGTTTCCCCACTTAGCCCCAGGTGAAACAAACCCATAGGTCTCTGTGCCCAGTGGCCACTTGCTTCTTCATGCCAGGTCTCTGCTCAGAGTAGATGGAGTTCTTGGAAAATCTGGTGAGGAGCCTAAATATATGCAGCAGTTTTATATGCAAAGGCCAGAGGCAGAGGGGAACAGAAAAAATTTAAACTCCTTAGGAATGAGCAGGAATTATGAAGAAGGTTCTAGTCACTATGAAATAGAAAATTGATAGCACTCTGAGAATCATGTCTAGACTTCCAGGGAACTCTGATGAACATCAGGATTATGCACATTTAAGATAGAAAAGAGCAAATACTTAAATACATTTTAAACAAAGGTGTGGTTGAGGCTGCAGTGAGCTGTAATTGTACCACTGCACTCCAACCCAGGTGACACAGTAAGACCCTATCTCAAACAAAACAAAATACAAAGGTGTTCCAAGGCAGCAAGAGCTAGGCTTATATGCATACATCTTTGCAATATTTATATTATTTTAGAAGTTCACCATATTCAGAATTTTTTTATTTAGCTCAAAACAAAAATAGTTACCTACATTGATTCCTGGGAGCATCGTTCCAAATAAAGGCTAATTTGGAGTTCAAATGTATTGCAAATTAGAAGAATAGAAGAGAAAGATGGAAACATTTTCTTGCCATGCAATATTAGTGTTTATAGGTTAAATTCCAGATCCTTTCTAGGATGAGACATTAAAAAGAATTATGCACTAGGTGTAATTATGCACAAGGGTGCCAGCTATGTCTTTATCACATCCTAGCCATTGATTGAAAGAATTTGTCTTCTTGTTCCCCTCATTAAATAAACCATAGACCATTGCTAACTCTGATTACTATTGAAGTCTTGTGTATTTAATTGCATGCTATATGCCTGCAGTGGGGCATTCAGAAGGACATGACAACACAGTTGATTTGGATTCTATTTAGGTAACCCACACTACAGAATGCACTGAATGATAGAAGTTTTCACGACAATCAAGATGAGAAACTTAAGATTACTAAATGACCTGAATTCATGCTAAACTCAACCCTATGCTGCCACAATTAGATCTGAACTGCAGACACACACTAAAAATGTCTGTTTTCCCAACTGGCACTTGTAAAGGATACAATAGATTTTCATCATTAAAATTATTAAGGCGACTACCAAAATATAAGTACCACATTCTGGTCAACTGTAGTTTGCTGGAATGGAGTCATGGATAGAGGCTTTAATTCTATACCTTAAGTTTATATGAAGTGGATTACAAGTCTCTAGAAGGTTTAAGAGATCATTGGGTCCAGAAACCTGCTAATCATTACAGAGACAAGAATAGACTCAAGAGGGCACATGGTTGATGAAAGTATTATTGGAATAAATAAGCTCTTCACATTTGTGGGTCTCACAATGTTGGCTGTGAAGGCAAAGTCTCCCTGTCTCCTTTCCTTTCCTGTGCTTCTCTACACAGCAAAGCCTGAGGATATGTAATGCCCTAGACAGATAGAAGCTATTGCAAGCATTAAGTGTGAAAGTCACATCCACACTTAAATAACTAATACATATTTCACAATTAACATGTATAACACTAAACTTATCCTTTAGAGTTGTGTCACCCAATGTCTTTCCCATCTCAATTACACCGACTCCATCTGTTTAGTGGTTCAGGCCAAAACCACTAGGGTCATGTGAGATTCCTCTCTGTATTTTCCACTACATGTCTAGTTTATCAGGAAATCAACTTGATTCTAGCTTCAAAATATATCAGAAATCAAACAGTTTCCCACTATCTCTGTGGTGACTACCCTGGTTAGAAACATCATCATTTCTTGCCTGAAATCTGGCAAAGTTTCTATTCTTTTTTCTCTAGAATTTTTAAGAGTTCCACATGTATTAGTGTTATTAGCTCTTTATCTGTGAAGCATTCTACACATGTTCTCTCCTAGTATGTTATCTTTTGACTTTTTTATGCCATGTAAAAGTTTTCAAAGCAACTTTTGTGAATGACACAATGTATTCACATTTATCAATGTTTTCTCTGGATTTTGAGTTAAAGCTAGAAAATCTTTTCTTATCCCTAGGTTTTATAGGAATTCATCCATATTTTCTTCCGGTACTTTTGTGGGTTTACTTTTTACATTCAGATTCCTGACTAATTTGGTGTTTTTTCTTATGTATTAAATGAGGTATGGATCTAACTGTCTTTTTCTAAGTATCAGTTCTCCCACCAACCACTTATGAAGATATCCATCCTTGCCCTAGTGGTTTGAGGTTACCTTCATGTGTCATATACATTAAATAGGCACTTTGTTCTATTTCTCGATTTTTAATTATTTCTCACTGGTCTATCTGCTTATGTACCAGTATCATACTATTTTAATTATAAACATGTTGTAGTATTTTTAAAAGTCTGGTAGGATCAATCCTCTAGTGGTAGTTTTTCCTTTATAGGATTTTCCTGAATATTCCGTATAAAATTTGTATTAACTTGCTTAGTCCAGATCCATCAAATGGCTTGCTGGCATTTTCCTTGGGGTTGCATTAAATTTATAACTTAGAACTGATACCTTTATGATGTTGAGTCATATTATCCAAGAACTAGAAATGTCTTTCCATTTGGTCAAGTCCAAGATTATTTCTCAGAGGAGTTAAGTTTTCTTTATGTAAATTCATACATTTTTTGTCAAAGTTATTCCTGGGTATCTTGTCTCATTTTTATGGTAAATAAAATTTTCTTTGCCATTATATTCTCTGATAATCTTATATGTTTATGAAAACTATTTCTGCATGTTAATTTTATATGCTGCTAATGTATTTTTTTTAGTTAGAATTATCATTGACTTTCTGGGTATATGGTCATCGATCATATCTTCAGCAAATAGCAGCAGTTTACTTTTTCTTTTCCAACACTATGCCTCTTATTAGTTTTACTCATCTGATTGCATAGGCCTCTAGTAAATGTTAATAGTAGTAGAGTTAGTGGGTATCCACTAATTTTCTCAATATCCATTTTAAGAAAGTATATACCAATTTATATTTTGCTGTATGATTTTTCCAAAAATGAATATTATATAATTCATTGAATTTGTTATACCTGTGAAAACATTAAAAAGTTCTCCTCTTTAGGTGTATTGTGTCATAATAATTTATCTTCTAAGATTGAGTCAATTTTACATTCCTGAAACAAATCCTACTTTGTCATGGTGTATTGCTTTTATATTATTGTGTTAGATTCTGTTTGCTAATGGTTTAAATTAAAGCTTTTGTTTGTATGGACTTTATCAGGTTTAATTATCAATGTTATTCTTGTTCCATACTAATAATTATAATTTTTTTTATTTTCAATGTTCTGGAACAAGTTATGGAGCATTGGTATTTTTGGTCATTAAATATTCAGTAGAACTGCCCTGTGAAGCCATCAGGGCCTGGTGCTTTTTTTGTGCTACAGCTCCTTGTTTCCTTTTTCTCTTTTATGGATATTTGTCTTTTTATCACTAATGGGACATTTTCATAAGCTGTATTTTCCTTAAAATCCATTTCATCTTGGTTTTCAAATTTATCTGCATAAAGCTCTGCAATACAATCCCTTATGATTTCAGAATATTTCTTCTGTTTCAGTGGTTATTTCCTCTTGTCATTTCTTATTTTGTGTACTTGTACTTTCTCCCTATTTTTTAAATGATGTTTTGATTTTATTTTTTAATAAGATTTTGATTTATTAAATTAAAATTACAATTTATTACATCAATTTATTATTTTTTCTCTACCATATTAATTATTACTTTTATTTTTAGTATTTTCTTCTTTGTAAGTTCCTTTGGCTTACTTCAATATCCTCTTTCTAGTTTTTTGAGATAATTTAATTATTTTAATTCTTACTTTTTGATTGATGTAAGTATTTAAGACTGAATTTTTCTATTCACTGTTTGAAACATATTCCAAAAATTTTGGTAGTAGTATTTTCATTATTATTTAAAAAGAAATTCTGTAATTTTGTTTTCTAAATTTTCTTTTCATCCAAGAGTTGTTTGCCAGATTTTAATTTTTTTAATTTCAGAAGAATATTTTTTCTCTTTTGTTTATAATTTTTATGTTTATTGCATTGTGATCAGAGATTATTGTTTGTAACATTTCTACTTTTCATGGAACTTTGTAATGTTTTCATTGTGACCAAATATGTGACCAGTTTTTGTAAATGTGTTTTGTGCACTTGAGAAGAAGATATATTCTCCATTATCAGGATATGAATTTTATATGTATTAATTAGATTCATCTTGTTGATTATTTGCTTAAATCTTTGTCCTTACTTTTTGTCCTCTTGATTTGTCTTACACTAAGAGTGTTGCGTTAAGGGTCTGCTATTTTTACTGTTTCTATATCCCCTTGAGTCTTTCATAATTTTATATATAAAGGTAATTTCTATGTAATTTCATACATTGATACACATAATAATTACAGATTTCTACCTCTGTTTTTGTATTTCCATTTGCCTGCTAGGCCTTTGCCCATTCCTTTATTTTCAACCTTTCTGGACCATTTTGTTTTGGATATGTCTTTATATATAGTATTTGGATTTGCTTTATGGGGCAGATTGGACATCATTTTTCTTTTATTAATTGGATTAAGTATTGTATTAGTCCATTTTCATACTGCTATAAAGAACTGCCAAAGACTGAGTAATTTATAAAGGAAAGAGGTTTCATTGACTCACAGTTCAGCATGGCTGAGGAAATCTCAGGAAACTTATAATCACCGTGGAAGGTGAAGGGTAAACAATACACCTTCTTCACAAGGCGGCAGGAAAGAGAAGTACCCAGAGAAGCGGCAAAAGCCCCTTATAAAACCATCAGATCTCATGAGAACTCCCTATGATGAGAACCGTGTAGGGGAAACTGCCCTCATGATCCAATTCCCACCACCTGATCTTTCCCTTGACCTCTGGGGATTATGGGGTTTATGGGAATTATAAATCAAGTTGACACTTTGGGCGGGGACACAGCCAAACCATATCAAGTATTCACTTTTTTCTTTGTTAATAAACTTTTAATTAAGCATTTAGGCTAGTTATAGATTTACAAAACAAAAGTTGCAAAGGTAGTACAGAGAGTTCCCATATAGCCCACAACCATATCCCTTTATTATCATCTTACAGTAGCACATGGTACATTATCACAATTAATGAACTAGTATAGATATGTTAGTGCTAGCAAGATTATCCAAATCTTTTTATTTTTTTTTAAATCTTTTTCTGTTGCAGAATACCATCCAGAATGCCACATATATTTAATATTCATGTTTCCTTACGTGCCTCTTGGCTGTGACTGTTTCTTAGATTACCTTGTTTTGCATGACTTCAACTCTTATAAAGGATACCTTTTATGTAATTTTAGAATTTGCGTCAACTGGGATTCATATGATGGTTGTCTCACAATTAGTCTGGGGTTGTGGGTTTGGAGGAAGACCACAGATAAAAAGTGCCATTCTTACCACATTATATCAAGGGTACATACTATTAACATAACTTATCATAGTTGATGTTGACCTTGACCACCTGTCTGAGGTAGTGTTTGTTAGGTTACTGTAAATTTACTTTATTCTGGCTTTTCCACACTGTTATTATGTGGAAAGAAGTTATTGTGTACAGTGTACATGTAAGGAGTGAGTAATTACCTTCTTCTTTAGGGTGGAGTGTAAATTATTGGGAATTTTTTGCACAGGAGGTCTCTTCTCCCCTGTTTATTTTATTTATTTTTTTGGTTTGTGGGGGACAGAGTCTTGCTCTGTCACCCAGACTGGAGTGCAGTGGCATGATTTCAGCTCACTGCAACCTCCGCCTTCTGGGTTCAAGCGATTCTTGTGCCTCAGTCTCCCGAGTAGCTGGGACTCCAGGCACATGCCACCATGCCCAGCTAGTTTTTTGTATTTTTAGTAGAGACAGGGTTTCTCCATGTTGCTCAGGCTGGTCTTGAACTCCTGAGCTCAGGCAATCCTCCTGCATCAGCCTCCCGAAGTGCTAGGATTACAGGTGTGAGCCACTGCACCTGGCCTCCCCTGTTTATGCAATCAATTATTTATACCACTGTGAACTCTTGGATGCTTATTTTATACTCTGGTTGACAATCCAATACTACTTGATTTATTTTATTTCTCAAATTGTTCCAGGGTTGGCCATTGAGAGCTTTCCACTTGGCTCCTATGTTCCTTTGACAAATCCTTATTATTATTTTTGTTAGTGTTATTAGCACTTTCTTACTTTTTCACACTAAAATGCACTGTAGGTTTATCTTAAGTATTTACCTGTCATGGTCCTAGAACCAGCCACTCAAGAAGAGTTGTTTCTTTTTATTAAAAAGAATCATATTAGAAACCAAGATCTGGACTGTTATTACTGAAAGTCATTGCTTTTAGACTCTTCCAACTACAGAGCAAGGAAGTTTATGTGTATATAGTAATCTGTGAATATACACATACATACACATATTTCTATATGTAATCATCCATATTTAAATTAAGTAGAATATGAGTTCATACTGATATCTCCAATCCTAATCAGTTACCACAGGGATTATTCCGGCCTTTTTCCCTTGGAAGTTTGCAACTCCTGCTTCAACAGTTAGAAATCTGGCTTCCATATTCATTTGCTTAATTGTTCAATTCCAGTACACATAAATGGTGGCTTCAGAATTAATAACTTATACCTCCATGGGAAATAACTTTATTAACTAAAGTACAGCACTTATGTATAGTACTTTTTGAATTTTTAGACTTAGAGATTCCTCTTCTTTTCCAAAGTTACTTAGGTCAGAACCATTTTCCATTCTTCAGTGAAGTTGTCTTATGTATTTGTAATACAGTTAGATTGTTCTGTCATATGGTGCATTCCATCCTGGGATTTCCTATCTCTTTTTTTAACATTTGCATATATTAAGTTTCATTCTTTTGTGCTGTATCATTCTATGGGTTTCAATTAATGCATAGTGTCATGAATCTGCCACCATAGGAGCATCATACAGAGTAGTTTCACCAACTTAAAAAATTCCCTATGTTTTACTTAGTCAATCCAATCCCTACCCCTCAAACATTGGTTACGCTTCCTACATTTGAAGAATTCTTTACATTTTCAGACTTGATAAGATTTAGATTCTATTTTCTCACTACTCTTGACAGCTAGGACACAGGGTGCAATTTTATGTGTACTGAACTTTGAATTGGAAATTAGGGGCACAAAGAAGGAGGCACTGTGAGTTACACATTCTGGCAAAAGTGGTGGCAGTTAAATGCAATCTACAGAGGTAGCAATAATAGGCATTCAAGCAGCATTTTCCAGGGTAAGATGGTTATGCTAGTTGTGCCCAGTGGAGGCAGTGGCCATGAGATCTCCAGCTGACAAATTCTAAGGTGTGACTGGGGACATTATTATTGGCTTTACAGCCTCTAAATCTGATCTTCTGGCCCATTTTGAGATTCTGAGAACTCAAAATATTTAATATAGATATTATAGTAACATAGATAATATCTATAGTAAGTTCTTTTTCAGCTCAAACTAGTGATTTCCATTGTTTTCAAATTAAGAAGCCTGACCACTTTTCCGAAATAGGCTCCTTCCCTTTACTCTCTTTTCAAGAACTAATATGTTTTGAAACTTGCTGCATGTTGGTCATAGTGCTAAGCATTTTTTAAGTACCATTTCAGTAAGTTCCTGAAAGATAAGTACAGATTACTTTCTTAACTACTTACTGTGTGACCTTTCTAGGATCGATACATGATAAAAACTTGTGCTCATGGTGTATTATCTATTAGCTTTCATTCCATAGATATTGATGACATAGTAAAAAATTGGATAGGGATTTGTCTTAGTCTGCTTTGCCTTAGCCTCGTTTAAATACCATAGACTGGATGTTTAAACAACAGAGATTTATTTTCTCACATTTCTGGAGGCTGGAAATCTAAGATCAGAGTACTAGAATGGTGAGGACTCCTCCTGGCTTGCAGACAGCTGCCTTCTCATTGTGTCCTCACATGGCAGAGAGAACAAGCAGGCTCTCTGATGTCTCTTCTTACACAGGCACTAATTCCATTGAACCACGGTCCCACCTCAATGACCTAATTAACTCCTGAAGGGGGGCCCCATCTCCAAATACAATCACATTGAGGGTTAGGGCTTCAATATGTGAACTTTTTTGGCAGGGGTAAGGGGGGCGGGACACAAAAATTCAGTTTATAACAGATTTTGGATATATGACATCTTGTGTTTTTTCCCTTTGGGTAGAGGAAGGAGAAAGTTCACCTTCACCTATGAACTGAGATGGAAAATGAAATCTAATGGAAGGGGTCTTTGTTTGGGGAGGTAGTTTGGAAAAATGTGAGAAAAATAATACTGTTACATCGACTAAACAGCCAAAAAAAGCTTGCAAATTAGTGGAACTACAGAACAACAAATTATCTCAATCTTCTTTCCATTACTCAAATTATGAAAGTCAACTTTGTTACAAAAGGATTACCTTCAGAAATAATGCTATTATCTTTCCTACCGCTCCTTGTGGGTTTCATTTATTTTTGGTTTGCTCACCAGATACTCCTTTAGAAGGCTCTGCACATACATTAATCAAGGGTTTTGAAACTTCCTCAGGGAGAGTAAGAGGAAATGGGGGAAGTATTAAAACATCCATCCCTGTGCAATTTCTGCTGTTCATCCTACCTGCCTTTCCTGTGGGTTTTAGCCCTCTCTTCTACTTGAAGACGGGGAATAGATAATATCCTCTGACCTATTATTTGAAATCATTATTTAGTATGATTCCCACTCCTGGCTTCAATTTAGGGAACTAGAGAAGGGCAGTGAGCAGAAATTGGGATTTGTTATCACCCATGGTTCTGCATTAATGAGGCAGGATTCTGGAGCTCTGAACTACCACTGGCTCAGGAGGGGAAAACAGCAGTGTCTCCTCACTGAGAACATTCTGGCAGCAGCTCTGCCAACTCACAGTGTTGCTCTTCCAGCCACCCCATGATGGTGGATCACAGTGAAAGCTGGCAGAGAAAAAGGCATTTCAGATTTGAGTTGGAAAAAAGTTTAAGCATTCACTATTGTGTAGTGGTTAAAAGAATGGGTTTTTCATTAAACCTCACTTCAAATCCTGACTAAGCTCCTTACTAATTATAAACAATTCTTTCACTACCCTAAGCCCCAGGCTTTCCTCAATAAATGCAAGATAATTCCTCCCTTGTTAGGGGTATTGTGAAAATTTGATCTGATAATGTATCATGGGGTACCTGGCATGAAGTAGGCACTCAAACCACATTCTTTGAAGGATGAATGAATGGACATGTGTCAAGTGCTTAGTATACTAATTTGTACTTATTTATGTTCAGTATATGGAAGCATTTGCAGGCTATCACTGAGGAAGAATCCTACATCCTAGCTCTAGCTCATCTTCCTTGTACATATCCTCAAATGAAAGAAAAATTCATGCATCTGATTTGCCAGTTTCCATCATGCCTACCGAACCCCCTAATTGTTACAAGAGAGAGAACCTTGAGCATGCTTACATCTCCTTCCTTTATTTCATGTTGCCAGGGTGGTAGGGGCCACTTTCTCCATGCCCCTCCACTGTGTATCAAAAGGAGAAAGAATAGGTTTATTTTTGAAGCAAGTCAAATGTGTTCCTTTTATGCTCCTAGAACATGATAAGATTTGAATGTTGGCTGGGGGTGGGAAGGAGGGCCTCAGGCTCCTAGTTGAGGGCTCATGTCCAACCTAGCTTTCCTTAGACCCTTAGGTTATTAGGTACTGGATATGCCCAGAATATCTGGAGGTTCCTTTCTCTTGCCATCAGTTGAATTGCAACAATTATACTTACCTAAATATATTAGCTTGAGCCACACAAAACTGTCAATCATTAAACATTTTTATCTACAAAACAGTGATTTCATAAAGCTTAATAAAATTAAAGAGGAATAAACCACTTCAGACCAACTCCTAAAGCATGATACAAATATTTACTAAACAGGTTTCTTCAGAAGACATGAGAGGCTGATTTTCACACAGAAGTATTCCCTATTAAACCCTTTTAAACCTTCCCAAAGTCCTGTCTTTGTCAGACTGGCTGCTATAATAAAACACCATAGACCGGGTGGCCTAAACAATAGACATTTATTCCTCACAGTTCTAGAAGCTGAGAAGTACAAGAGCAAAGAGCTGGCAGATTTGGTGTTTGGTGAGGGCACTCATCCCATTAGGAGGGCCCCACACTCAAGATCTCATCTAACAATATTATTTCCCAACGGCCCTACCTCCAATACCTTCACTTTGGGGATTAGGGCTTCAATATGTGAATTAGATTGTGGGGATAAAATCACTCAGTCCACAGCAAGTTCCATTGTTCCTCTTCCTTTGGCTGTCACTACTATCCCTTTTCTAGCCCACGCTTCAATTTTCCAACCCACTCCTCCCTCTCTCTCTGGTATTAGGTTGTCTTTTCTTAAGTAGAACAATATGGTTTTCTTAGCTTCCTCATTTTTCCTCTCCATTTATCACCCCACTCAACACAATAAAAGTCTGGAAGCTACAAAAACAGTAAAATCTCCATCCCCTTTATAGAGGAGGGGAGTAGAATTGCAAATACTTATAATTTAATGTATTTCCCTAACACAGAAGAAAGTTCTCAGAATTATAAGTGACATTCTATTTGCAGTAAACACTTAGCTGGAGGGGTTACAATAAACCTTTACATTTTCAAGGTGTGACAGGGATTTCAATCTCTTACCAAGTCATCATTTTCTCCATTGTAGCATTAGACAGTTTGTGTCATGAAACTTGTCATCAGCGAAATGAGAGCATGGCAGTGGGGTCCCTGTAAAATGATAAACTCATTTCTTTTTTGTGTTTAATAAGTCCGAAAAAGAATCCAACAATTTTAGGACCACAGAATATATTTGCATATGTGTACACACAAAAACATGCCCACCTATATGTGTATATGTATACACATAAGCTCACTGTTATGGACTAAATTTTGTCCCCCTAAAATTCATATGTTGAAGCCCTAACTCCTTTTGTTACTGTATTTGGAGACAGGGTCCATAATAAGATAGTAACGATTAAATAAAGTTATAAGAATGGGGCTTTAATCCTGAAGGACTGGTATTCTCACAAGCAGAGGAAGAAATACCAGACCTCTCTCTCTCCTCCCCTCTCTAGGTATACACAGAGGAAAGGCCACGTGAGGACACAGTGAGAAGGTGACCATCTCTAAGCCAGAAAGAGAAGTCTCACTATAAACCAAGCTTGTTCGCAACTTGGTTTTGGATTTCTAGCCTCCAGACTGTGAGAAAATAAATTTGTTGTTCAAGGCACAAAAGTTTTGTTATGGCAGCTCTAGCAGACAAGTACACTCACGATCCCAAAACCTCAATGGCGACAACACATATTCTAGATTTGCAACATATGACGGTAGGAAAGACTGAGAATCTATCAATGAAAGCTTCCAGCAGTATAAGGAAGTCATTACATGTGCTCCATTTTAGGAGCATGTGGTTAAAACATAGCTTCTGGCCGGGCGCGGTGGCTCACGCCTGTAATCCCAGCACTTTGGGAGGCTGAGGCAGGCGGATCACGAGGTCAGGAGATAGACACCATCCTGGCTAACACGGTGAAACCCCGTCTCTACTAAAAATACAAAAAACAAAATTAGCCAGGCATGGTGGCGGGCGCCTGTAGTCCCAGCTACTCGGGAGGCTGAGGCAGGAGAATGGCGTGAACCCGGGAGATGGAGCTTGCAGTGAGCCGAGATCACGCCACTGCACTCCAGCCTGGGCGACAGAGCGAAACTTCGTCTCAAAAACAACAACAACAACAACAACAACAACAAAGAAAAACAGCCTCTAAGTCATCTTTTACAGGTATACAATACTGGTACTCATACTACCTGACTGGGGTAGGGAGTATGTGTGTATGTGAGAAGGGTGCTGTAACATTTCAGGTGGTACTTTTAGGGTGAACAGTGTAGCAGTCTGGAAGGTTGTTCTGGACTTTAAAACTATTCTTATACCTGCCTAGCCCCACCCACTGGTTAGACTTTGAGTACCCATGACTCCTGCTCTATTTGATAGAATCCTTGCTTGTAGGTGACTTTGGCTTTGGTCAAGGAATCTGGATCTCCTACAGCTCTTAAAGATTTTCCTTTAGGACCTGGTAACTCTGTTAGTCTTTGTCCTTTTCTGCTGGCCTGGCTGGCATGTCCTTTTCTGCATGTTTGCATGCTATTCTCCAGGAAAGCCCTGAATTCCACTTTGCCTTGTCCCTGTGGCTGGTGTGTACATATAGTCCAAATGCTGTCTGGGGGCAAAGCTCAGAGTTCAGGGAATTCTCAGAAGTCCCAAAAAAGTAACAGGATCTCAGGGTCAGAAATTTTCAAGAGAGCCTTCATCCATCTTCTCTGTGGCCTGAGGCAAGGGAAGGGGAGTCTGTTAATTTACACTGAGGGAGATTGTTATGAACAGAATGTTTGTCATTCTCTCAAAATCTGTATGATGAAGCTCTAACCTAAATGTGATGGTGTTAGGAGGTGGTGCCTTTGGAAGGTAATTACGTCATGAATGTGGCGCCCTCGTGGGTGGGATTAGTGCCCTTTTAAGAAGAGACACTAAGAAACTTGCTCACTGTCTGCTCTCTGCCATGTGAAAAATAAATGATGTTTAAGCCACCCAGTCTACGGTATTCTGCTGTAGGAGCCTAAGCTGACTAAGGAAGGGCTCAAATAAACAGGTAGGAGTTCCTGGGACATCAGCTTGAAGTATAGGACTTGGCCTGTCCTCTTTAATAGTGACTC
Source organism: Homo sapiens (assembly GCF_000001405.40). Taxonomy (NCBI): domain Eukaryota; kingdom Metazoa; phylum Chordata; class Mammalia; order Primates; family Hominidae; genus Homo; species Homo sapiens. The sequence goes on from NC_000014.9 coordinate 62,284,289, forward strand.
ACTATCCATTTGGTCTTCCAAGGTATATTTTTATTTCAAGTATTAGACACAACCATCCCTTTCTACCCGCTTCTCTTTCCACTCACTTCTTGGTAGAGCTGGCATTTAACATTGAGAGAAATGGGGACTTGGAAAAGGCATAACCTTTTGGTGACTTTTTGGGTTGGTTTTTTTTTTTTTTTTTAATTTTTTACTTTTTCTTTTTTTTCTTTTTTTTATTGTTATACTTTAAGTTTTAGGGTACATGTGCACAATGTGCAGGTTAGTTGCATAGGTATACATGTGCCATGCTGGTGCGCTGCACCCACTAACTCGTCATCTAGCATTAGGTATATCTCCCAATGCTATCCCGCCCTCCTCCCCCCACCCCACAAAAGTCCCCACAGTGTGATGTTCCCCCTCCTGTATCCATGTGTTCCCACTGTTCAATTCCCACCTATGAGTGAGAATATGCGGTGCTTGGTTTTTTGTTCTTGCGATAGTTTACTGAGAATGATGATTTCCAATTTCATCCGCGTCCCTACAAAGGACATGAACTCATCATTTTTTATGGCTACATAATATCCCATGGTGTATATGTGCCACATTTTCTTAATCCAGTCTATCATTGTGGGACATTTGGGTTGGTTCCAAGTCTTTGCTATTGTGAATAGTGCCGCAATAAACATACGTGTGCATGTGTCTTTATAGCAGCATGATTTATAATCCTTTGGGTATATACCCAGTAATGGGATGGCTGGGTCAAATGGTATTTCTAGTTCTAGATCCCTGAGGAATCGCCACACTGACTTCCACAATGGTTGAACTAGTTTACAGTCCCACCAACAGTGTAAAAGTGTTCCTATTTCTCCACATCCTCTCCAGCACCTGTTGTTTCCTGACTTTTTAATGATCGCCATTCTAACTGGTGTGAGATGGTATCTCATTGTGGTTTTGATTTGCATTTCTCTGATGGCCAGTGATGATGAGCATTTGTTCATGTGTCTTTTGGCTGCATAAACGTCTTCTTTTGAGAAGTGTCTGTTCATGTCCTTCGCCCACTTTTTGATGGGGTTGTTTGTTTTTTTCTTGTAAATTTGTTTGAGTTCATTGTAGATTCTGGATATTAGCCCTTTGTCAGATGAGTAGGTTGCGAAAATTTTCTCCCATTTTGTGGGTTGCCTGTTCACTCTGATGGTAGTTTCTTTTGCTGTGCTGAAGCTCTTTAGTTTAATTAGATCCCATTTGTCAATTTTGGCTTTTGTTGCCAGTGCTTTTGGTGTTTTAGACATGAAGTCCTTGCCCGTGCCTATGTCCTGAATGGTAATGCCTAGGTTTTCTTCTAGGGTTTTTATGGTTTTAGGTCTAACATTTGAGTCTTTAATCCATGTTGAATTGATTTTTCTATAAGGTGTAAGGAAGGGATCCAGTTTCAGCTTTCTACATATGGGTAGCCAGTTTTCCCAGCACCATTTATTAAATAGGGAATCCTTTCCCCATTGCTTGTTTTTCTCAGATTTGTCAAAGATCAGATAGTTGTAGATATGTGACATTATTTCTGAGGGCTCTGTTCTGTTCCATTGATCTATATCTCTGTTTTGGTACCAGTACCATGCTGTTTTGGTTACTGTAGCCTTGTAGTATAGCTTGAAGTCAGGTAGCGTGATGCCTCCAGCTTTGTTCTTTTGGCTTAGGATTGACTTGGCAATGCGGGCTCTTTTTTGGTTCCATATGAACTTTCAAGTAGTTTTTTCCAATTCTGTGAAGAAAGTCATTTGTAGCTTGATGGGGATGGCATTGAATCTATAAATTGCCTTGGGCAGTATGGCCATTTTCACGATATTGATTCTTCCTATCCATGAACATGGAATGTTCTTCCATTTGTTTGTATACTATTTATTTTCATTGAGCAGTTGTTCGTAGTTCTCCTTGAAGAGGTCCTTCACATCCCTTGTAAGTTGGATTCCTAGGTATTTTATTCTCTTTGAAGCAACTGTGAATGGGAGTTCACTCATGATTTGGCTCTCTGTTTGTCTGTTATTGGTGTATAAGAATGCTGAGAGATTTTGTCACCACCAGGCCTGCCCTAAAAGAGCTCCTGAAGGAAGCACTAAACATGGAAAGGAACAACAGGTAGCAGCCGATGCAAAATCATGCCAAAATGTAAAGACCATCGAGACTAGGAAGAAACTGCATCAACTAACGAGCAAAATAACCAGCTAACATCATAATGACAGGTTCAAATTCACACATAACAATACTAACTTTAAATATAAATGGACTAAATGCTCCAATTAAAAGACACAGACTGGCAAATTGGATAAAGAGTCAAGACCCATCAGTGTGCTGTATTCAGGAAACCCATCTCATGTGCAGAGACACACATAGGCTCAAAATAAAAGGATGGAGGAAGATCTACCAAGCAAATGGAAAACAAAAAAAGGCAGGGCTTGCAATCCTAGTCTCTGATAAAACAGACTTTAAACCAACAAAGATCAAAAGAGACAAAGAAGGCCATTACATAATGGTAAAGGGATCAATTCAACAAGAAGAGCTAACTATCCTAAATATATATGCACCCAATACAGGAGCACCCAGATTCATAAAGCAAGTCCTGAGTGACCTACAAAGAGACTTAGACTCCCACACATTAATAATGGGAGACTTTAACACCCCACTGTCAACATTAGACAGATCAACGAGACAGAAAGTCAACAAGGATACCCCGGAATTGAACTCAGCTCTGCACCAAGTGGACCTAATAGACATCTACAGAACTCTCCACCCCAAATCAACAGAATATACATTCTTTTCAGCACCACACCACACCTATTCCAAAATTGACCACATACTTGGAAGTAAAGCACTCCTCAGCAAATGTAAAAGAACAGAAATTATAACAAACTGTCTCTCAGACCACAGTGCAATCAAACTAGAACTCAGGATTAAGAAACTCACTCAAAACCGCTCAACTACATGGAAACTGAACAACCTGCTCCTGAATGACTACTGGGTACATAACGAAATGAAGGCAGAAATAAAGATGTTCTTTGAAACCAACGAGAACAAAGACACAACATACCAGAATCTCTGGGACACATTCAAAGCAGTGTGTAGAGGGAAATTTATAGCACTAAATGCCCACAAGAGAAAGCAGGAAAGATCTAAAATTGACACCCTAAGATCACAATTAAAAGAACTAGAAAAGCAAGAGCAAACACATTCAAAAGCTAGCAGAAGGCAAGAAATAACTAAAATCAGAGCAGAACTGAAGGAAATAGAGACACAAAAAACCTTTCAAAAAATCAATGAATCTAGGAGCTGGTTTTTTGAAAGGATCAACAAAATTGATAGACCGCTAGGAAGACTAATAAAAAAAGAGAGAAGAATCAAATAGATGCAATAAAAAATGATAAAGGGGATATCACCACCGATCCCACAGAAATACAAACTACCATCAGAGAATACTACAAACACCTCTACGCAAATAAACTAGAAAATATAGAAGAAATGGATAAATTCCTAGACACATACACCCTCCCAAGACTAAACCAGGAAGAAGTTGAATCTCTGAATAGACCAATAACAGGAGCTGAAATTGTGGCAATAATCAATAGCTTACCAATGAAAAAGAGTCCAGGACCCAATGGATTCACAGCTGAATTCTACCAGAGGTACAAGGAGGAACTGGTACCATTCCTTCTGAAACTATTCCAATCAATAGAAAAAGAGGGAATCCTCCCTAACTAATTTTATGAGGCCAGCATCATCCTGATACCAAAGCCAGGCAGAGACACAACCAAAAAAGAGAATTTTAGACCAATATCCTTGATGAACATTGATGCAAAAATCCTCAATAAAATACTGGCAAACCGAATCCAGCAGCACATCAAAAAGCTTATCCACCATGATCAAGTGGGCTTCATCCCTCGGATGCAAGGCTGGTTCAATATATGCAAATCAATAAATGTAATCCTGCATATAAACAGAACCAAAGACAAAAACCACATGATCATCTGAATAGGTGCAGAAAAGACCTTTGACAAAATTCAACAACCCTTCATGCTAAAAACTCTCAATAAATTAGGTATTGATGGGACGTATTTCAAAATAATAAGAGCTATCTATGACAAACCCACAGCCAATATCATACTGAATGGGCAAAAACTGGAAGCATTCCCTTTGAAAACTGGCAGAAGACAGGTATGCCCTCTCTCACCACTCCTATTCAACATAGTGTTGGAATTTCTGGCCACGGCAATTAGGCAGGAGAAGGAAATAAAGGGTACTCAATTAGGAAAAGAGGAAGTCAAATTGTCCCTGTTTGCAGATGACATGATTGTATATCTAGAAAACCCCATTGTCTCAGACCAAAATCTCCTTAAGCTGATAAGCAACTTCAGCAAAGTCTCAGGATACAAAATCAATGTACAAAAATCACAAGCATTCTTGGGTTGGTTTTATAATCTGAACCCTGATGTACTCATTCTACAAATACTTGTTGAGCATCTAGTATACACCAGGCAGTGTTCTGGACACTTAGCATATATAATGCTGAGAATGTGAGAAAATGTTGAGCAGGGAAAGGAAGGCTGGGAGTACATGAAGAAGGAGATGAGTTGCAGTTAAATATTGAGTGGTCAGGGTAGGTTTCTTTTAGAAGGTGACATTTGAGCGAAGAGTTGGTGGGGAGTTGGCTATGTATCTATCTTGATTAAGAGCATTCTGAACAGAGGCAATATTAGGACAACAAATCTGAGGAAGGAGTGTGTCTGACATGTGCAAAGTATGGTAATCAGGTTTCTATATCTGGAGTGAAGTCAGTGAGGTGTGGAGAGTAGAAGGAAAAGAAATGGGAGGAATTGGGGGATGGTGGCAGGGAGGGTAGTGAGCTAGATCATGCATGGCCACATGTGTAGAATGTTGTAAGGACATTAGATTTTAATATATAACCATCCCATATTGAACATGCTGACCCTTGTTTTCAACTTATCTTCTATAAATTCTAGTTCTCAATGTGTAGTCCATGGACCATTGCATTGAAATCACCTGAGAGCTGTTTAGACCTGCAGAAAGTGAGGCCCCACTCTGGACCTACAAACAGAATCTAAATTTTAACTAGATTCCCTGGTGATGGGTATGTCCATTAGCATTTGAGAAACTGTTGTCTCTTTCATCACTGTATTAGCAACAATTGCACCCCTATCTTAAGATTATGAAAATGTGCCAGTTCTGGAGAATATGCTCTGGGTGAGGGGTTGGTTGTCTCCTGCTGCCCTGGCTACATCACTGTTTGCATGAATGCGGTTTGCACATTCATAGCAGAGGTTTGTGCTGCTTCCTCCATGGCATGGTGTTGTGGCAGGGAGTCATGCACCCAGCCAGGGACAATATTTTCTGGTCTCCTTTGTATCTAAATGTGACTCATTAACTAGTTCTCATCAATGAACTATGGGTGGAAGTGTTGTGTTTTATTTTCGAGCCAGGAATTTTGAGATGAGAAAAGGAATTCTCTACTCGTTTTCCCCCATCAATCAAAATGCAGCAAACTCTGAGGCCATAATGGATGGAGCAGACTCAAGATGAAAGCAAGTTAGCTCCCCGAATCACTGTGTGAATCATACTGAGCTATTATGTGAATGGTAAGTCATTGTTTATTATGTAAAGTCACTGAAAATTTCAGGTTTATCTGTTAAAGTGGATAACATTATCCTAACTCAAAGATTTTCAGACTTCAGGAGACATCAGAATTACCCGGAGAGCTTGATAAAGCACTCATTGTTTGATTCCACTTTCAGAATTTTGGATTCTGCAGATCTGGGGTGAGGCCTGAAAATGTGCATTTCTTTTTATTATTATTATTATTATACTTTAAGTTCTAGGGTACATGTGCACAACGTGCAGGTTTGTTACATATGTATACATGTGCCATGTTGGCGTGCTGCACCCATTAACTCATCATTTACATTTCTAACATGCTTCTTTGTGATGCTGTTGTTGCTGGTTTGGGGATGTCACTGTGAAAACCACATCCCTAACTAAGAAAACATCTGTGAGAGAGTGGGAAAGCTCATGACCTCTAAGGATATGTCATTGACTCGAAAGCATGAAATGAAAATAAAGCCAACTTAGCCCTAACAGGGACCATTGGGTGCTACTGTATTGGCTGCGTCTCCCTGATGCTGCCATGTTCACTATAAAAATGGATTCAGAAAAGAAAATTGACATTCATTAAGCTTAACTTTGGAGGGATGATTTAACTGATATTGGCATCTCTGCTTTTTTAATTACTCCACCTTTTATTCTGTTCTTCCAGTTCCCTAGAAGAGAAAGCAGTTCATTTATGACCCTCAAAAAAGCTGTTAGCCTAGGGTGGCCCTGTTTGCATCAGAGGGAATACAGCTGAGTCACGGAGACAAGAAGCCAGAGGATCCTCTGCCTCTCACAGGAGGTGAGGGACAGGCAGGGTCTTTTCCTACCCTGAACTTTAACAAATTATCCAGAAGTTTCACTGTCATTTAATGTTATGGAATAAGTTTAAAGGATTTTTGCTGTCTCCACTGGAGTATTCTGGGCTAGGCTGAAATGAATTAACTTCATCACTTAGAAAAACTAGCTTTAGTTTTGGAAGGAGTTAGTGTAGGTTTTTCCAGATTGGACTTAGTCCTTTTAAGGTGCCTCATATAAATTAAGCCTTGGAATTCTTCAGAGAAATTTGTAATTTTTTAGCGCCTGTCTTCCAAAGTGCTATTATTAAATTATCATTCTGGATTGCTTCACTGACAGCTCCACTTCTTAAAATAGAGATCAGCTGTATTCCTGGACACTGGCATCAAATAGCTGACTTAGAAATGCTGGTTTCCAAATGGTCGCTTGTTTCTAACTACTATTTTTCTACTTTGAGTTCTCTTGATTTGTTTTAGAGGACATGACACATGTTTCTTCTCTAAATATCTTTGTGCTCAGTACCTATACATAATGAGTACCATTTTCATTTGCTTCTCTGTTGCTAATTGGTGCTTGAGCCTCCTTTTCCTACATGGGGTGTTTTTGCAGCTTTAAATCCTACTTCTAATCACCGTGATGTCAGGGCAGGTTCGGAATGGGCTTGTGTTGACATTGGCAATGCCCTCAGAAGAACTCAGATATAACCTAGCTGTGTTCCATCTTGAGAAATGGTAAAGAGGGTGGACCTCCTTCTTTCCCTTCTTCCCTTTCCCCCTCCAATACTCATTTACCACTTACTCTATGCCAGGCTCTGGTGATTCATCAGTGAACAGCATGGACACAATTATGGACCTTATATTCTAGTGGAGGACAGAGACAATGACACATTAAACAGAGAGACGGAGTTGAAATACAACTAAGTGTTCTGAAGAAGATAGAGTACAGTGCTAGAGACATATTGGAGTGGGTTGCTCCAGGTGATGAAAGAGATCAGGGAAGTCTGACTTGAAGAGGTGGCATCCGAGCTGACCACTGGATAGATAAGTGAGCTTTGTGAAGATCTGAGGAAAGAGTTTTGCAGGCAGATGGAAGAGCAAGTGTGAAGGCTGTAAGCTGGGAACCATCTTGGCACACTTGGGGAACATGAAGGAGGCCATGTGGCTGGAGTCTAGTCAACAAGTAGGGGAAAGGGAATTGTCTGATGAGATCAGCTCTGGCAGAAGCCATAGCACATGGACCTTATACACTGGCAAATTCCTTTAAATAATAATTTCAGTCAAAATCTCTTGGCAGCTGAAAGGACTGAATTTATTCTCATTATTTTTGCTAATGCAACCTGCTTAACTGGCTGTTTAATTTCCTAAATGGTGCTCTGTCTTTATTAGTGGGTGATTTGAGAGAAAAGCCTACTTTAACGTTTGGTACCAGCATTCTGGGTGCTTCTTCTTTCCTCTCTTTCTGTCTTGGGAACAAAGGGGCAAAGATAACTTAGTTATCTTTGGAGGTTAAGAGCCCATTACCATGCTGTTTTGGTTACTATAGCCTTGTAACAGAATTTGAAGTCAGATAATATGTTGCCTCCAGCTTTGTCCTTTTTGGTTACGATCGCTTTGTGAGTGAGCTACAGGTTCTTTTTTGTTTCATACAAATTTTAAATTTTTTTCTAATTTTGTGAGAAACGGAAAAATGATCTTGGTATTTTGATAGGAATTGCATTGAATCCATAAATTGCTTTGTGTAGTATGGTATCATTTTAGCAATATTGATTCTTCTAATCTATGAGCTTGGGTTGTTTTTCCATTTTTTGTGTCATCTGCAACTTCTTTCATCAGTCCTTTATAGTTTTCCTTGTAGAGAGCTTTCACCTCCTTGGTTAAGTGTATGCCTGAGTATGTTATTTTATTTTGTAGTTATTGTAAATGTGATTAACTTATTGATTTGGTTCTCAGCTTGATTGCTATGGGTGTATAGCACTGATACTGATTTTTGTATGTTGATTTTGTATCCTGCAACTTCAGTGAATTCATTTATCAAATTGAGGAGTCTTTAGGATTGTCTAGGTAGAAGATCATATCATCAGAGATAATACATAGTTTAAAAAGCCAAAGTGCTATAAAGTGTATAACACCAAAAACAACAGCAACGACAAAGTGTCTTGCCCCATCCCACCATACTTAATTCCACTCCTTAGAGGCAACTACTTTCTACTTTTTAAGTTGTTTGTTCAGGCTTTTATTTCTGTATATCTAAATATTGTTCAGTATTTTTAGATGTTTTATCCATTATTGACTTTCTTTGGTCAGGTCTGCTTTTCTGCCTTGATTTTTTTACTCCACACTTCCCTTTTAACCAATTTGGATATATTTAAACATAGCTATATTAATATTATTACCATACACAGATAATCCCCTGCTCAAATGGTGTGCTATGACTACTCCTACTTTTCAAACAATTTTCCCATTGCCTGAAGCTGTGTTATCTCTCTTCCTCCTGTGTGCGTCTCTCTTTCCTTGATGTGCTTAGTTTTGTATGTATACAACTATCATTTATTTTTCACAAGCTATGGAATTATGTTTTCTAAAAGATCAAATAAACCAGCTAACTCATCAGGTTGTTTTTCTTGGGGCCATACTTGAGGAACTCTCAGTCCTTCTCTTTAACCCCGGCCTGGTTGTTCTCTTGGCCTGCTACACAAGTGTTCTTTAGGACCTCCACCTATTTCTCTCTGTTTTCTAATAAGGTTAAGCATATCCTAGTGTAACTTCTTGAAAACCTAAACATGGGATAATTTTTTTTTTTTTTTTGACACGGAGTCTTGCTCTGTCACCAGGCTGGAGTTCAGTGGTGCTATCTCAGCTCACTGCACCCTCTGTATCCCGGGTTCAAGCAATTTCCCTGCCTCAGCCTCCCGAGTGGCTAGGACTACAGGTGCATGCCACCATGCCCAGCTAATTTGTTTGTATTTTAGTGGAGACTGGGTTTCACCATGCTGCCAGGATGGTCTCAATCTCCTGACCTCGTGATTACCTGCCTTGGCCTCCCAAAGTGCTGGGAATACAGGCGTGAGCCACCGCGCTGGCCAATGTTTTTAAGGTGTTGACCAGTTGAGAATGTCTTTATTCTAACCTCACAATGATTAATTTCTTGGCCAGGTAGAGAATCTTGTTGGAAATAATGATTCTCAGAATGTTTTTGAAAATTTTATTACATTTTTAATAACTGTCTTTTCCTCTTCAATTCACACATCATGCATATACTTTTACCTCAGTGTGTTAGTGAGATGAAACCATGTGTGCTTTTCATAGTGATCTTCTTGTTTTCTCTCTTCATTTTTGCTTGGTTACCTGGCTGTCTCGTCTACCAATTTTGAAGTGTTTTTTTCCATTGTTTCCTTACTGCTGTGTTGCCCTTGTGGAGCTCTCCTGATATTTTTATTCCACTTCTTTTGTAGGTGGCTTGTGATTTATTTACTGAATCTTCTTTTTCCTCCTGGTGTGCTGAAATTTAGTAATAATGTGACTTGGTGTGATTTTTGTTTTGTTTTGTGTCAATTCATTGGGTCGGGCACTTGTTGGGTACCTTAAATTTGGAAATTCACATTCTTTAGTTCAGGAATTTTACCTGTATTTGTCCTTTCATCATGTCCTTCCATCTGTTTTCTGTTGTGTTTTGTTTTCTTCCTAAAACTTTTATAACTTAGTAGTTGGACTCTGGATTTTTTCTTTCGTTTTCTTGAGTTTCCTTAACTTTCTTCTATTTTTCTCCTTTTGTAAGAAATCCTTAATGTTATCTTTTGATCCTTCCAATGAATTTTAGTATTTTCTTTTTCTCTATTCAATTTTTTAAAAGCATTCTTTCTTTATGGACTCAGTAGCTTTTCATTTCTTCAAGGCTGTTAAAATACTTTTAAAAGCTTACCTGTTTTATTTTTCATACAAATTACAATCTTCATTCTTGTGTTTCTCTTGTTTTTTGTCTTTCACACTAGAGACTTTCCTGAAATAGCTGTTGAAATTTATTTAAGAGTAAGCCACTCCTTTATTTAAGAGTAAGCCACTCTAAATTTAAAAAGAGTGTAAATACCCAGTGTTGGTGATGATATGGAGAAACAGGAATTATCTAGGATCATTTTGGGGAGACCAAATCGGTACAACATCACTAGGAAGAATGAGCTTGCACATAAAGTTGAAGATATGCATAACCTTTGACCTGGTACCTCCACTTTTACGTAAAAACCTAACAGAGATGCTTTGCACATGGGCCTGAAGAGACACATACAACAACCCCCAAAGCAACAATAATCGTAATACATAGAAAATGGAAGCAAGTGAGATGTCCATCAACATTAGAATAAAAATTTGTTCTTATAAGGGAATGTTATACAATAATGAAAAGGAATGGACTATAATTACCTATCACAACATGGATACCTCTCACTAATGTTGAGCAAGAAATGCCTGAAACAATACATAATAGGTATCAATTGATGTCTACATAGGTGTTTACTATGTGATATTTCACTGAATACATTTCATTTGTCTTAGGCACTGTTCTGTATGCATGTTATATTTTAAAATGCAAATAGTTTAGGAAAGAATAATGAATTAAAAATGTAGTTGCAAATTCTATATGCATGGTTGAAGCTGGACAACTTGCAGTCTTTACTGAAGGCCTAATGAGTAGGGATCCAGAAGTTTCCTGGCAGGGAACCCTACATGTCAATATCTGTTAGTCTTCCTCACCCCCCGGAACTATTCAATTATTCCAGCAAACAATTTACCAATCACTTACCAAGGCAGTAGTTGCCTGTCTGCCTGCATTCCTCAGGCAGAGTGTAGAAGAGCGGTAGGGGGCTTGTCATTTAGTGTGCCAATATTAACTCAATCTGCCTGTTTCCAGGAGGGTGCCTTCCCCACCCCAATCCTCCCTGTGTTTGGAATATCCAGGGTTCAATTTCTCTACCAAATAAGTCCCATTTGTGGACAGGGAGGATGCCTGGGTATATGAGTTTTCCTTATATATATTTTCAAAATAAACATCTTGCTTTCAGCTCCTTGCTTTTCTTTCCTTTTGGGGAGAATAAGTTGCTACCATTTCTCAAGCTTTCTGGTGTTGGTTGTTATGAAATACTCTGTTTGTTGTTTGCATTCCTCCGGTGTGCATCTGACATTCAGATTTCTTAGGTATTCTATTTTTTCTATTTTTCATCTTCCAAAACTGTTTTGTTTCCAATTTTCCTTTTTTTGTCTTTGTGGGTTTATTAATACTATGGGTTGAATTTCACTTCAACCCCCCAACTCCCAATTTATATGTTGAAGTCCCAACCCAGTACCTTCTGAGGTACTGGGTTAGGACTGACCTTATTTGAAGACAGAATCTTTACAGAGGTAATCAAGTTAAAATGAGGCCACTAGGGTGGGTCCTAATCCAATGTGATTGGTGTCCTCACATGAAGGAGAAGTTTGGACACACAGACACGCATAAGGAGAGGACCATGCCAAGGAAGGAGGCCTGGAACTGATCCTGCCCTTCCAGCCCTCAGAAGGAACCAACCCTGTCAATACCTTAATTTTGGACTTCTGTTTCCAGAACTGTGAGACAATGCATTGCTGTTGTTTAAGCCACCCAGTTTGTGGTACTTTTTTATAGTAGCCCTAGGAAACGAAAAGGATGACTTCACAAATTTATTTTTCATTATTATAGTTTCATTTTGGGAAGGAGCAGAGAAAACACTATGACAGGAAGTTCTGCTAGACATTTTACATATATTATTTAGTGGTGGTATGACTCTCTTTATACATGATAAACTTTCTATAAAGAATAGATTGAGAATCTGAGTTGAAGTATGCTCTATCCAAACTGTAGGGACCTTATTACTGCACTAACATCTCTCCAACCTTGTTTTTTCATCTTTCGAGTGTGTTGACATGGATCTTGCTTATGGATTTTGAAAGGACAAAATAAAAGTTTCTTTGAAAGTGTTTTATTTATTGTCAGCTGTATCAATGTTAATTATACTTATTGTTTAGTATAGGAAAGAAGGAAGAAAAACTGATATTTGTTGTCTTACTATATTCTTATATTGTTCAATTTTGATTTTCAAAATAGCCCTACTGAGGATTATAATTATTAAAATTTTAGAGAGCACTGGCTCAGAAAATGGTATAATTTCTCCTAGACTGTAAAGTCAGAAATTGGGCAGATCCCTCACATGAAAACTTGGGGGCCATCTTTGTCACACCGTTTGAATTATATGCTCTGCAAGAAGAGAACCAAGTCATTTGGACAGCAAGTGAACCAGATTTAGAGATACTCCAGAGAACGGGCTCCTCCATTGCGGTAACTGCCTTCCAGAGGCTCTGCTATTGGTTTGTGATGGTTTCACTGATCTAATGAACTTCAGTGCTAGGTACTTTCATACGCAATGTGTTGTCCACAGATGAACAGCATCAGTATCACCTCAGGCAAAACTGCTAGCCTCTCTCCAAACTTTCTGAATTGGAGTCTACATTTTAACAGGATTCTCCAGGTGATTTGGATGCACAATAAAACTTGAAGAGACACTTAGGTTAACTCATTAGGTGGATTGAGAGCTGAATTAATATCAACTGAACCTTGTTCTGCAGGAGCCTCTCTTTTTCTTTGCTCATTGTCAGTTCTCTGTGGTTTCCTGTTTTCCGTCGATCTGTCACTGGTACTTTTCATTATCTTACTCTCTTTTACTCAATTCCTTCAGTGACTTACTAAGGTAACTGTGCATAACCTCCCTTGAAAAAGTCATTTCTGACAATATCCTCCACACGGCAGCCCTCTCTAGCCACCAGACTCACTGTTTTGTCGCATGCTGTGTTTCTCTGAATGTTAAGCAGCACAAGTAATTTGGGGTCTCCCTTTTAGTTCACCACCTGTCATGTATGTGTGTGAAAAGTTCTCATCTTAAACTCCGCAGTCAACTCTCCTCATTAAAGCTCCTCCTAAAGGAGAAATAACCTGAGTTCTTCACTATGAGGAATCTTAAATACAATTCTTGACAAACTGGAGCAGAGCTTGATATCCTTAAGTTCTCATTTCTTTTCATCTCTCTAGCTCGGGGTGTGGAAAATGGCACCTGTACCATCAATGTTTGTTGAATGATTAATTCCAAATAGTCGGGTATTTTTCTAACTCTTAATAAGCTGTGAGATAGGATGGCATCTTCTTCAGCTGTGACTTCTCGGTGACTGTTTTCTGATTCAATAACTCTACATGAGTGGCCTCCAGTATTCGTACAAAGATATCGATATGACAAATACCAAGGGCCACATGGAATTGCTTCATCTTGGTCTAGGACAAGTAGTTTGTGTGGCATGGTGGAGGTAAATTGAATGTGTTTTATGAGCCTTGTCTCCTTTTTATCCGAGGTAGTTCAATTCTGAATGACAAGAAAAGCTGTATTTAGTGTGAGTTCTTATTTGGATCAGTTTCCTGGAAAGGTTACACGTACTCAAACCTGTGAACCTTCTGATGTTTAAATTCCTTTGCATCCCTTCCTCTATCTGAAGAATAAGAGATACAATATAGGCTGAGTTAGAAAATGAATGAATCTACAAAGGGTCTTCAGGGATAGTGGAAGGCACATCTTATTTAGTGAAGAACAGTTTTTAGTGCATTATTCATGGTCTCCAGCCCACCTCTAATAGCAGTACTTTATTAATGAGATTAAAACCATATATTTAAATTTCCCCATTGTACAATTCTTCCCAAGTTCAGTTTCGTCATGTATATATATAATGTGTGATTGAAAATTCTGTAGGTGAGAACCCACAAAACAAAGCTGAAGATTTATGAGGCTTTGGAATCCTTTCAAAAAGGATCAGGTGTTTGTGAAACATCTTAGTTTTATTTTTATGCTCTTCTCCAAAGCCTGTTTTAGGAAATTACATCTTGAAATTTCAGTGCAAATATAAAAGCAAAATCCTTTCTCCTTGAAACTGTATAATAAAACCTGGTACAGTTGTCATCAAAGGAAAATACCAGAGGCAGGAACATAGAGAGGAAATTCAATGTGGACAGAAATAGAGCCCATAAAAAGAAATCTTGGTCTTAGGGTATTTGTCGGGAGATTTGATACTCTGAACCTGGTATTTAAACAAAATTCCAGGCCTCTTAATTCTATGAATTTACAGCACATCCATTGTCACATCCTTTCTTTTTGATCTTTGTTAGGATCTCATGTGCCCAGTACTTCCACCCTGTACCTTCTCTCCTTCTGATTCCTGAACTCATCTGTTCCTCCTTCACTGCTACTTTCCCCACTTTGGCATGGCTTGGCTTCACCCAGAATCTAAATAAGAGAATGAGTTTTAAGTTTTGCAAAACATACCCAGATTTCTTTCTGATCTAAAATTTCACATTTCCAACTGGGAATCTAGCTCCTATGCGGAAAACTGACACTTTTGCCTCTGGTGAAATTATGAAATTTTATGAATTTGCCACAGGCAAAGTTTGCTGTTTCTGCAGAGCCTAAATATCTTTATTTTTTGGCATCAAAAACCAATGTTCGTGATATTCTACTAATAAAAAAATTCCCTGCAATTTTTGTTTATTGCAGTGTTGTAAATTTTTCTTAAACAACAAGACTTTTGGAAGAACCCTTTCAAATGTCTCTACCTTCCCTTTCCAACATTTAAGGCAATAGACAGAATGGACTCCTTTCTATATTTACTGAACATCTACTCTGTGCAAAGCAGTGGTAGTAATAGACTGTATTTCTTTAATTATTTTATGGCAGTGACCTATTCTGTTTGGAAGAATGATCAATATATCATTTTCTTACATTTCTTCCCACCTAGCTTTGTAATTTTTTCTCTTTTCTTTTTCTTTTTTGCATTATGAAAGTCTATCACACTGACCTAATGAGTTTAGATACAACTGAAATGTGGTGTTTGGGGTGTTTGCTTTGTAACCTTGATTTTTGTGGGTAGTCTAAAGACATACTTGGACACCCAACAACAAGTCAAGCCATGAACTATTGCTGAGACCTAAATGGTGCCACATGTCTTTAGGAAATCTTCCTTTCTAGCCACACTCATCACAAACTCCAAAAAATTTATTTGGCATAGGTCTTACTTGAACTTTTGGCTTAGCTTTAACATTTAAGCAGCATAGACTGCAACCAAGTTTTGGTTTAGCTTTATATTTAAGCAACATACTCGCCCCCCCGCCCCCAAGTAATTTTTTGCCTAATCTTTCCTTCATTTGATTTTGAAATAAGATTACAATGCAAATACCATTGGAACAGGCACCATAATCTTATTGCTATTATTTATTAGGATTATGCAAGGGTTTTTTTTTTTTTTTTTTTTTTTTTTTTTTTGAGACAAGGTCTTGCTCTGTTACCCAGGCTGGAGTGCAGTGGCATGATCATGGCTCACTGCAGCCTTGATCCTCCTGGGCTCAAACAACCCTCCCACCTCAGCCTCCAGAGTAGCTGGGATTAAAGGCATGAGTCACTATACCCAGCTTTTTTTTTTTTCTTGGTAGAGACAGGGTCTTGCTATGTTGCCTAGGCTGTTCTTAAACTACTAGGCTCAAGTAATCCTCCCATCTCAGCCCATCCCAGCCTCCCAAAGTGCTAGGATAACAGGTGTAAGCCACCAGGCCCAACTTCAAAGCTATTTTTAATTACTTCATTAATCCTCATGGAAAAACCTCTGCAGTAGGTGTGATCCCCATTTCAGGTAAGTAACCTGAAGCCTAGATGAGTTAACTAACATGCTCTGAGTCACACATTGAGGCATGGTAAAACTGGGATTTAAATATAGGCTTTCTGGTGCCAGTATTAACCAATATCAATACTTCCAAGTAGTGATTAAATTCTTTCTGATACAGATTACTTATGCACCAGATGTATTTAAAATCCAGCTTTGTGGGTATTGTGAACAGGGAGGAAGGCAAAAGAATGAGACAACTACATTACCAAAGGGAAGAAGAGGATAATCAGAGAGGAAAAGGCCCAGGGTATAAAAGGTTTTCTGGTCAACATGTTTACTAGGACTGATCCTGGGCACAAGGCCAAGTGTTGTCTCTTGCTTGTTAAGAACAATTACCAATTATCCATATGAATAGGCAAGTGGTGTAGCAAATTCAATAGAAATGATTTTGTATTCTTTTCCATTTTCTAGCACCTTTTGCTCATGTATCCTGTCTTCTAGAAGAACTAGAGAAGATAAAAATATATTTCTTTTAAGAAGTTGTCAATCATGACAATGCAATGCCTGAATGACATGACAAAGGAAAAGATGGGAAATACCAGAGTTGTAGTTGATATGTGACTGATTTATCATGCCAATTAGAAACTCTTGTAAATTTAATGTTTTAGAAATGATTTATAGTTGAATTATGATTCATTGGTGGGATTTTTTTTCCAAAAAAATACCTATGTGTTTTGTATTTATGCATAGAGTGAGATCCAAAGGTTGTTCTATTTGTTTTCCATCCCTGGGGTGAAATAGGTTTCTCCCAACCTCTGTCTTTATTCTTCAGCATTTACTTCTATGTGACTCATTCTGCATTTTCCACCTCACACCCAGCATTTGCAAGTTTCCTATCTCTGAGCAGCAATTCTCTGCTGCTATTCGATATCACCATTCTCTGCTTATATTCTTGGAAGCTGTTAGAGCAGTTTGTACAGCTGTACCCTGTGTTTTCCAATCAAGAGAGGCTAGGGAATATATTAATGAACTTTCCACATAAATCCAGTGAACATGCCCAGGTAAGGATCATATGACTTGAATTTCTATTTTCACTTCTTGACACAAGTTTGTTAGCCAGGCAAATGTGTCAATCTGGGTATCATCTGTGTTAGTACTGTACTTCCCCTGATTTTTGGATTTTATTTTCAAATATTTTGCCAGAGTCAATTAAGGCAGAGCTTTGTTTTTGAAACAGTAGAGTGTTCTGGCCAAAATTATGCAGGATGAGAGTGCCAGGCACAGAGTTCCTAACTAAATTTATTTCTAATGAAAAGATAACAAGTAGGCATATGAAATGCTTTTGAGAGGAGTGCCTGCCGCATAACCATCAGGCAGAGCTCATCCACCAGTCTGGAAGGGTTTCAGATCTCCCTGTACCTGTATACTCACAGAGTGGGAAAAGAAAAAACTCTATGGCTGAGGACAAGGTAAAGGGGTGAGATAGAATGACTAAGAGACACTGTGGCAGGAGACAGAAAATCACCAACTGTTGTGGGTTTAGAGGACCAAGTTCAGAACCAACATTGCAAGGCATCAGACAGAAAAAAAGTGAAATACCAGCACTATTACTAGTAAAGCTGAACTGGAGAAGTTGGCTTGGATGTGAGGCTACAGTGAACTTCCTAACACTGTTAGCATTCTTGACCTAAATCAAAATTAGATTCACATAATGAGTCACAGGCAGTACTGAACAACCTCAGGCCTCCTTCACAAAGGCAGAATTTGCCCCTGCAAGATTGCCACATCAAGGAGCAGACTAACCCTCTAAAGGAGAGAAGGACGGGGTGGCTGGGCTGGGCTGGGTGTCCAGTGTCTTCTCCCAAACTGATCTATGAGACCCCTTTCTCCTTTCTTGAAGGAGAGAGTAGGGAATGGAGAGAAAGATAAGGAATGTTATTTCACCAGAGACTCCTCCACAGGGAGACAGGAGGCAAGATTGTGACACCAACTGCAAGGCTTATTCATGACGTAGTGACACCTTTTTAACTTTACTGTGAAGCCAAAACTACTTAGTATGGCACAGCTAACAAGACTGTAAAACGTTTCACATCTGTAGCTTTTTCTAGTGTTTTCTGGTATCTCAGTCTCACCTTGTCCTCTCTGCTACTCAAAACCCTGTGTTTCAAACACACTGAACTACTTGCAGTGCTAGGAGCACCTTCATTTCCTTTGTTTGGAATGCGCTTCCTGTCTCCTTCCCCGATACTTCCTCTCAGTCTGCCCACCTCACTTGCTTTTGGTAGCATTTCAGTGCTAGTCTTAATTGTCCTCTCCTTTGGAGAACCTTCTTTGATCTATGCCCTGTAATCCTTTGGAGTTCCCCTTATTCCTGTGGCAGATGCTGCTAGTTGTCAACCCAGTTGTATTTCTCCGCTTCTTCCTCATTTATTAGTAGAACATATTGAGGCACAACTAAAATACTTCTCTCCGCTACCTTCTTGGTAGGAGTGACTGACCCATTTCTGGCCATTGAAATGTAGAAATTTCTAGACAGAGCTTCTGGGAAAACTTTTTGAAGGGAGATGTTTGACTGCTATGCTTCTCTTTGCCTTCATCTCTTGCTCCTTTTTCCCCTAGAGTGTGAATAGGATGTATAGTTCTAGTTATGCCATTTTGTGACCAAGAAGATGAAAGCCATATCCTAAAAGATGATGGATTAAAAGGTGAGAAGACCTTAATGCCATGATTAGGACATGAATCAGTCCCTGGCCTGACTTACCCCAGCTTTCTTGTTAAATGAGGCAAATCACTTCCTCTATTCTGAACCCACAGTTAATTGGGGT
The DNA here is from genome assembly GCF_000001405.40 of Homo sapiens. Classification (NCBI taxonomy): domain Eukaryota; kingdom Metazoa; phylum Chordata; class Mammalia; order Primates; family Hominidae; genus Homo; species Homo sapiens. The sequence continues at coordinate 62,303,232 of NC_000014.9, forward strand.
TTCTTAACAGAAAATGCAGCCAAATGCGTTACTGACCAATGATCTACCTATCATGTGTTTTTAGTTGCTGCTTATTTTTTGGTTTTCTTTTCTTTTTTTCTTTTTTTTGAGACAGAGTCTTGCTCTGTCACCCAGGCTGGAAGGCAGTGGTGTGATCTTGGCTCACTGCAACCTCTGCCTCCTGGGTTCAAGAGATTCTCATGCCTCAGCCTCCCGAGTAGCTGAGATCACAGGCATGTGGCACCGTGCCAGCCTAATTTTTGTAGTTTTTGTAGAGATGGGGTTTCACCATGTTGGCCAGGCTGGTCTCAAACTCCTGACCTTAATTGATCCACCTACCTCAGCCTCCCAAAGTGCTGGGATCACAGGAGTGAGCCACAGCGCCTGGCCTATTTTTCAGTTTTCATAACTAGTTGGTGAGCAATTTGAGATAAGGGATTATGCTGTATTTATTTGTTTTTTCAGCACCAAGCATGCTCCCTAGCACATAGCAGGCACTCCAAACATCTTTTTTTGAATCCATGATATTTATAATGTTAGTACAAAAGCCAATTTTCTCTATGCTGGTGATCGTAACTACAATTATTAATATTACACTTATATCCATAAAACTAATAACTCTCAAGCAGCTGAGAATAATTCACTGCAATAAGGTATGAATTTAAAATCATAAGACCGATTTTTTTTATGTGTGGTCTGTTATCAGCCTCACAATTTGATATAAAACCTATCACTGTTGAATCTAATAGGGAGAATATTGGCAGAAATCACAGTAAATGAAAGAAAGACAAGATTTGGCTCATAATATTACATGTATTATTTGAATTAAATGAATTTGGACTTTTCTGGGGGAATTTGAATAAGTTTAATTATTAACTTTATATAGAGAGTGTTGATTACAGACATTTTCCCGTCACCCCCACAGAAAAGCTAAATGAATGAATTCCTTTTCTCTTTAATAGTTGGTGCTATACACACATACATGACATAAAATCTTGAGCCACATTTTAAGTTTATTTTCTTTGCTCAGAACTAGCAAGCATGAAACATAATTCTTTTGGACAATGACTTCTGTGTTCAGCTGGTAGCAAATGCAGCCTCAGGATTAATTACACATGAGTCTTTATCACACTGGACAAAGGTTACTCTTACAGCATGTTCATGAAGGGCATGTTTGATGGTTTAGTGAGGAGATCGATTTTCAATGAGGCCCTTAAGCAGGATGCTTTTCCTTTCAATTTCATTCTTAGGGCACACAATGCTGTTGAAGCCATCAGAGTACCAGGATGCTGATCTCCACGGCAAGTGCCTGAGCAGAGGGAGCTCAGTGAAGAGGAACTGCTCCAGCACTACACAGGCATTCTTGGTATTACCTACTCAATAATCACGGATTGTACACTAAGCAAGTGCATAAGGACAGGCTTCGATGTAGTAATAGAGGCCCCAACATAAGAAACTGGCATCTCAATGAAGAGCATAGCTCACTTGGGGCAAGAATAATGAGAAACATACAAGTTAGATTGATATAGAGACAATTACCCTAGCAATGCTCCCTGAGTGGTGATGAGCTCCAATCTGATCTTTGAATCTATTCTAAATCCTTTTAGGTCACTTTATGTAAAGTGCATATAATTAGCCTTGCAATTATCATTAGAGAATGATAGATTGCTCTTCTCAACAAAGCCTTTAATTATATTTAAAAAGTTCCCGGTTAAAATCATTCTAGGTTCTTTGTGTGGGTACCTGGACCAAGTATCTCCTGCATGATAATTAGCACTAAGGTATAGAAGCCCAATATGGGGCAAATCAGGTGAGGATGTCATCTGGCATGAAGCCCATTTTTTAGAATGTATGCTATGAATTGCTAAAAGCAGTAGATTATCGTGAGACTATTGTTTATTTTTCTCTTAACCATTACTTTTGGTGAGCCAATCCCAACACATATTACAATTCATAATAGCTCTAAAAATTTGTAGCAATCTTAAATAAAATTGTTGAAAGACTTATTGCAGAAGTACTTGAAACGTGATTCATTTTTTTTATTGAGGAGAACTAGAATTTTATTTTTTTCACCAATGGGGTGAAAAAAGATAAAGGACAGTGATGGATGGCAATCTTTTCTGGAGTGTTTTACTTATCACATCCCCTTGGCTATAAGTGATGGATAACATTTTAAGAGTTCAGATATTAATGGGTTAGAGTTAAAAAAAAATTGAGTGTATTTGTGTGTACATGTGGATTGCATGCTAAGATGGAAGTGGAATCACCATGCCCTTCTTATATGTAGTGTCACTAAATATCATTTATTGCAGATCTGAGTAACATTGACTAATTTTGTCTTTCTGCTGAGAAATAACCATGATCCTTGAAAGTTGGATAGAATATCTGATGATTACTAGTTTAGAGTTGAAAAGCTAAATGCTTGTCATTTTATTTTATTTATTTATCTTTTTATACTTTAAGTTTTAGGGTACATGTGCACAACGTGCAGGTTTGTTACATATGTATACATGTGCCATGTTGGTGTGCTGCACCCAGTAACTCGTCATTTAACATTAGGTATATCTCCAAATGCTATCTCTCCCCTCCTCACCCCACCCTACAACAGGTCCCGGTGTGTGATGTTCCCCTTCCTGTGTCCATGTGTGTTCTCATTGTTCAATTCCTACCTATGAGTGAGAACATGCAGTGTTTGGTTTTTTGTCCTTGTGATAGTTTGCTGAGAATGATGGTTTCCAGCTTCATCCACGTCCCTACAAAGGACATGAACTCATCCTTTTTTATGGCTGCATAGTATGCCATGGTGTATATGTCCCACATTTTCTTAATCTAGTTTATCATTGTTGGACATTTGGGTTGGTTCTAAGTCTTTGCTATTGTGAATAGTGCCGCAGTAAACATATGTGTGCATGTGTCTTTAAAGCAGCATGATTTATAATCCTTTGGGCATATACCCAGCAATGGGATGGCTGGGTCAAATGGTATTTCTAGTTCTAGATCCCTGAGGAATAACCACACTGACTTCCACAATGGTTGAACTAGTTTACAGTCCCACCAACAGTGTAAAAGTGTTCCTGTTTCTCCACATCCTCTCCAGCACCTGTTGTTTCCCGACTTTTTAATGATCGCCATTCTAACTGGTGTGAGATGGTATCTCATTGTGGTTTTGATTTGCATTTCTCTGATGGCCAGTGATGATGAGCATTTTTTCATGTGTCTTTTGCCTGCATAAATATCTTCTTTTGAGAAGTGCCTGTTCATATCCTTCACCCACTTTTTGATGGGGTTGTTTGTTTTTTTCTTGTAAATTTGTTTGAGTTCATTGTAGATTCTGGATATTAGCCCTTTGTCAGATGAGTAGATTGCAAAAATTTTCTCCCATTTTGTAGGTTGCCTGTTCACTCTGATGGTAGTTTCTTTTGCTGTGCTGAAGCTCTTTAGTTTAATTAGATCCCATTTGTCAATTTTGGCTTTTGTTGCCATTGCTTTTGGTGTTTTAGACATGAAGTCCTTGCCTATGCCTATGTCCTGAATGGTATTGCCTAGGTTTTCTTCTAGGGTTTTTATGGTTTTAGGTCTAACATTTAAGTCTTTAATACATCTTGAATTAATTTTAGTATAAGGTGTAAGGAAGGGATCCAGTTTCAGCTTTCTACATATGGCTGGCCAGTTTTCCCAGCACCATTTATTACATAGGGAGTCATTTCCCCATTTCTTGTTTTTGTCAGGTTTGTCAAAGATCAGATGGTTGTAGATGTGTGGTATTATTTCTGAGGGCTCTGTTGTATTCCCTTGGTCTATATCTCTGTTTTGGTACCAGTATCATGCTGTTTTGGTTACTGTGGCCTTGTAGTATAGTTTGAAGTCAGGTAGCGTGATGCCTCCAGCTTTGTTCTTTTGGCTTAGGATTGACTTGGCAATGCGGGCTCTTTTGTGGTTCCATATGAACTTTCAAGTAGTTTTTTCCAATTCTATGAAGAAAGTCATTGGTAGCTTGATGGGGATGGCATTGAATCTATAAATTACCTTGGGCAGTATGGCCATTTTCACGATATTGATTCTTCCTATCCATGAGCATGGAATGTTCTTCCATTTGTTTGTGTCCTCTTATTTCATTGAGCAGTGGTTTGTAGTTCTCCTTGAAGAGGTCCTTCACATCCCTTGTAAGTTGGATTCCTAGGTATTTTATTCTGTTTGAAGCAATTTTGAATGGGAGTTCACTCATGATTTGGCTGTTTGTCTGTTATTGGTGTATAAGAATGCTTGTGATTTTTGCACATTGATTTTGTATCCTGAGACTTTGCTGAAGTTGTGTATCAGCTTAAGGCGATTTTGGGCTGAGACGATGGGGTTTTCTAGATATACTACCATGTCATCTGCAAACAGGGACAATTTGACTTCCTCTTTTCCTAATTGAATACCCTTTATTTTCTTCTCCTGCCATTGCCCTGGCCAGAGCTTCCAACAGTATGTTGAATAGGAGTGGTGAGAGAGGGCATCCTTGTCTTGTGCCAGTTTTCAAAGGGAATGCTTCCAGTTTTTGCCCATTCAGTATGATATTGGCTGTGGGTTTGTCATAGTTAGCTCTTATTATTTTGAGATACGTCCCATCAATACCTAATGCTTGTTATTTTAGAGTGAGTTAGACAAGTATTTTTTTTTACGTAAAGGATTATGCAAATAATAAAATGGGTTTTCCTGATTAGTCCCACTGACTTTGAGAGGAAATAATCAAGCATTCAGACTCATCAATGTCAGCATGCCATTGGGTCATTCTTTCAAGACACCTGGCCTACCTAGTGGGCCAAACAGGTATCACAGGCAGTGCCTACCTGGGCTTCTCCTTTCAGCTCCTGCCTTTCTGAAACAGACGTACACTGCCTCCCTGTTGCCTTGGAGCTGTCTCAGAAGTTGGGCTCTCTTCTCTCAAGTCTACGCCTTACTTGCCTTTTCTCTGTTTGGGCAACCCTTTTGAAACCTCCACTTTTGCAAAATTCCTCCTTTATTTTTATTCCTGCACCTTCAGGGTGGCTTATGATGCCTTAATTAACGTTTTTATCTAGTCACAATTGTGACTGCTTTCCAGGGCCATGGTAGGAGGGGCATTTTATAAATAAAGTGATTATTCCCTCAAAATCAAACCCGGCAAGATTTAGCCTCCTTTGTGTGGGTCTGATGCTTTCTTAGAGGCATCCCCTTAGCCGAAATCTACATCTGGCCGAGCACTTCCTTGCACTTGTGTGGGGGAGGGGTCAAATTGCACAACCTGTTTACTTGAGTTGGGTGACATCCTTAGGTTGCTGGTGGGTGGCATCACAGCTGTTATTTGGAAGCTGCCTCAGTAGGGAAGCAATGGCCTTAAACAGAACAGAACAAATTGTACCAAAATTGAAAAATAGTACAATTGACAAATCTATTCAGCAGCAGAATTAATAGCCACAGAGCCTGAACTAGGTCACTGACAACCCACCTCACTTGGTTAGGATGGCCTCACGATTTTCTTTAATTTGTGCCATTGCAAGTTTTCAAATGCTATTAGATACAGGTGACACAGAGAAAGCATGGATTCACGGCTTCTCTGCTCCCTAGCAAAGGCACTACATCTCCCAAGCACAGCAATACAGGTTACAAGTCTGACAGGTCTCAGCAGCTCCAAAAATTGAATGTGGAAGCTACATTTTGCGAGATCACCATATTTCATTTTGCTTTATTTTAGAACTGTGAAAATAATCTCAGCATCAGCACTCCTCACTTACAGGAGGGAAGAGGCTTATGTCAGTGAATGTTGGCTACGTAATTGAGCTTGGTTTTTAATTATAAAGAAGGGTCATGGGACAGGGAAGTAACTGTCACTGCAGTGCCCCCTTCTCCATTGAGTTCTGCCCTTTTTGGCAAACACTGCATCCGGTACAAAGGCTCTGGCTGAGTTATTAATCATGTTTGTCAGGCAAGCTACAATAATCTGCTGCCTAGAAACAAAGCAAAGTACGGAGTTGCAGTCAGGAAGCAATGATAAAACACTTGATACCTCTCACTTTCAGACTCTGATCCTGCTAAGGATTAATTTTTTTCATCTCCATTTAATTAAAGGGGTTAAAAATTAAAGGAAGTGATTTCAAAGTTGTCTCATGCTCTCAGTTGTTTATGTCCTTGATTACAAAAAAATGGGCAGCATGAAGGCTGGCAGAGCTGTTTGGATGTAGGGCACATTGCTCTGGGCTGCTGAAGAAAGAAGGGCCCAGGGCTTCCACAGATGAGAAAAGGGGGAATGTGTATCTGGACTTTCACATCTGATTCCCATCCCTTCTGTCTTTTGCTAAGGGGAAGGAGGGGGGCTCTGCTAGTCTATCATACTCCATTTCCTGCAAACTGAGTCAAGGAGAAGAATATCTACTAATATGGTTAGGCTTTGTGCCCCTACCCAAATCTCATCTTGAACTGCAATCCCCAGGTGTTGAGGGAGAGACCTGGTGGGTGGTGACTGGATCATAGGGATGGGTTCCCGCGTCCTGTTCCTGTGATAGTGAGGGAGTTCTCATGAGATCTGATGGTTTTATAAATGGCAGTTTCCACTGGACTTTTCACTCTCTCCCTCTCACCTGCCACCATGTAAGACGCGCCTGCTTCCCCTTCTGCCATGATTGTACGTTTCCTGAGGCCTCCCCAGCCATGCGGAACTGTGAGTCAATTAAACATCTTTCTTTATAAATTATCCAGTCTTGGGTAGTATCTTTATAGCAGTGTGAAAATGGACTAATACAGCAACTTACCCACTGGCTATTAGGGATGACCCTCATGGTAGAAGCAAAGTTTCTACATGTTCTATCTTTGGAAAGGCAGATTACCTGTAATCTGATTTACAGAAAGCTGCTATAACTTCATGGGATCAAAGACTAAATAGTGAAATTAGTTAAGTTAGTCTTAAGCCAGAAAAGTCTTAACTGCTGTGAAATGGTCTCAAAATGTTCATAGGATACAATACTTATTTTGTGAGGAACATCTTTTTTTTTTTTTTTTTAGTGTGCTCGTTTGAAAACTGATGCTGCAGGTGTTGAGGGCTAAATGATGAAGGTTGGAGAATGCTCAATAAAACAAACTTAAAACATTTAATGTTCTAACTAGTATGTGGACATGTGTGATATGAACCACTTTCTGTACATGACAAGTATCTCATGAGACGTGGTGTGTTTAACAGGGCACACTTTGGATAAAACCGTTATAGAGTATGAATGTCCAAGAGCCTTAGAACATTTTTCCTCTTATCTGTAGTTCAATAATTTTGACTCTTTGGAGTTGAAAATTCTATGCTTCTTTCTTATCTATAGTTTAAATGGCTAACCATGTAGTCTTTTGACTCGTATACTCTGACTGTAAATACTTGCCATTTTTTTCTGGCTGCCTTGCCTCTGAATTGCCTTATTGATTCTAGGGAATCTCCTGTTTTGTGGTTGTGAATGGGCCAGAGGGTGGGGTGGGGGCAGGAAACCTCTCTTTGTCCCATAGCAACAAGGTTTGGGCATATGACAGTAGCTTAGCAAAATAAATGCTTCTGTCTGGGAGAGGTTAATTTTGAGTATGTGACAAAAAGAGGAAGGGCAGGTGATGCAGGTTGGGGAAGCATCCAACAGTGGTGGTCCTGGAAACAAGCAGAAGTCACCATGTTTTGTCTGATCTCTGTCTCCTGTTTGTTTCTAAGCTGAACCATCGTGAATCTTATAACAATATCTTTTCAGTAAGTCCCCTTTTAAAATTGAGACAGCAGAGTTTGTTTCTTTGGGATACAAGCAAAGACTAACTAGTTGAGGACTCTAACTAACTATAGGTACCTGATATCTCTGCTCCAGACAAATATAGTAGAAGAAAACAGTACTGTTTTCTTTAATGCTCCATGTTGTTTAAGGAGAATGAGTCTATTTGAGTTCTCTTAGCAGGAATGCATATGAGGAGGGTGTTAATGGAGGCTTGCTGCTTTTTCAGTTTTTCCCTGTGAGTCTTAAACCTCTACTAGAAAAGGCCTAACTCTCATGGAATCCTCCAACTCTCAATTTAGTAAAGAATTTACAATTAGAAAAAAATATTTAGACTACATACCATGTACAGATACGTACATGCTTACGGTTGGTTCGTGTTCAGAATAGAGGCCACAAAGCTGAGTGGCCTTTGCCATAAGGCCTGGATTCTAGGCTTGTCTCTTCATTATTTTAATCAAATTACTTCTAGGTAAGAAAGGAGGATCTGATAATGAGTTCATTGTTTCAAAAATGTTAGAATTTTTACAGCCAAACAAAACCGTTCAGTGGTACTATATAGTTAATCCTGGATAAACTAAAGCTCAGCTTCTTGAAAATGAAATTAAATGTGTAAATTAAATTAAAAATTAAAGGTGGTACATAGCTTCATTCCCAAAAGAAGAGATAGACCAGGCGATTGTTTTCTGGTGTGAATGCTGCTGAAACCTAGTGTTCTGCGATAATATCTCAGGGGCAGCTGGAAGGTGAGGGTGGGAGGTTGGATTTGGGGCAGAGGTTCAGGTCCATTCCACAACTTCAACTAAGGCAGCTTTTCTTATTTCATGCAAGCTGGTTCATGACCTACATGTGGTTTTTAAAATTCTAGATAAGAGTTAATAGACACTAATGCCTTAGTTATAACAAACAAACAAACAAACAAACAAAAAAACACAAACCTAAACACTGAAATGTTTCAATATTTTTACGTATAGTGTTTTACTTTTAATTTTTAATGTTCTCTACCTCTATCCAAAACCTCATTTTAAAAAGGGAATTGTTGAGAAATTAAGTATAGAACAGGAAATAGAATTATGGTTATATTTATACAGTATCGTTGCTCTTCAAATGTGACACAATCTCGTAGTTAATGCTTTTTGTGATGATTTGATTTTCAAGGAAAAAAATGACAAAATTCTAGGCTTCATCAGCTCCTCACCACACCCAGAGGCTTTACACTGAGTCCAGGATTGACAGGGGCAGCTACTTTGTGATTTGTGTCCTCTATATGAGCTGTACATTGAGCCAAGAAAAACAATCACTAGATTTTTTTTAAGACAGTAGCTTTATTCACTTATCAACTAACCTACTGATGCTGTTATTGTCATCAATTCAGGTGAAGGGATATTTTCTGCAGCAGTTCCCAGTGACCATGCTGCTTGGAGTTAAGGGAGATGGAGAGGAGAAAGTAGACTTTCCAGGATGTGCGCAAGTCCTGAACCTCAACTTGCTATTTCCTTGGCTGTGATTTTGTTTTATTTTCACTATTACTGTCTTATTTTTTGAGACAGAGTCTTGCTCTGTCACCCAGGCTGGAGTGCAGTGGTGCGATATCAGCTCACTGCAACCTCTGCCTCCGAGGCTCAATCAATTCTAACTCAGCCTCCCCAGTAGCTGGGATTACAGGCACATGCCACCATGCCTGGCTAATTTTTGTATTTTTAGTATAGAGGGGATTTACCGTGTTGGCCAGGCCGGTCTTGAACTCCTGACCTGAAGTGATTCACTCTCCTGGGCCTCCCAAAGCTGGAATTACAGGCGTGAGCCACCACACCCAGCCAAATGTTTAAATTTATATAGATACACAATAGTTGTACATACTTATGGAGGACATGTAATTTGATACATGCATATAATATATAATGATCAAATCTGGTTAATTAGCATATCCATTGCCTCAAACATTTATCATTTCTTTGTGTTGGAAACATTCCAAATCTTCTAGCTAATTTGAAATATATTAATACATTAAATTACTGTGAATTACAGTTGTTCTAGTGTGCTGTGAAACACTAGAAATTATTCTATTTGACTGTATATTTTATTCACTAACCAAGCTCTCTTCATACCCCCACTCTGCCTATCTTTCAAAGCCTCTTTGGTCACCATCACTGTTCTCTATCTCTATGAGATCAATTTTTTTTTTAGTTCTCATATATGATAAATTATGTATGATATTTGTCTTTCTGTGCCTGGCTGATTTCACTCAGCATAATATCCTCCAGTTTGAGCCGTGTTGCTGCAAATGATAAGATTTCATTCTTTATTATGGTGGAATAATATTCCATTGTGTATATGTACCACATTTTCTTTATCTGTTCTTCTTTATGAGATCAGACTGCTAACTCCACCAGGGCAGTGATTGTATTTGTTTTGTTCATTCTTGTGAGTCTGTAACCTAGAACAGGGTGTGGCACAGAGTACACTAGACACTTAATTAGAATTAGATCAATGGACTTCCTCATCCGAAAGGTGTTTTCCTTTCTCTTCTACCTGAACTTTAACTGACTTTAAGGCCGAGTTTTAATTCTTCTTCTGTGAGGCTTTCCTTATTCCATATAGATATGTGCCCCCAATGAATTCATCTTTCTCTCAACTCAGCTGTGGAAAATCCTCAAGAAATATTTTAGGCAGCTCTTGTAATTTTGGTTCACTCACTATTCAATTATTGTCTTTATATTAAACTTTTCAGGTTGTGTGATTTATCTCAATACCAGATTGCACATTTTGTGGGCAGATACTATTTTACCTTCTCAGGTCACAATTCTTTGGCAAATGGAAACTCCACAAAATACTTGTTGGTGATGTTTTCACCCACCTGTAAAATTGTTTTCCAAATAGTCACAGTCTAGCGGCACTTAGAGCAAACATAGGCTTAGTTTTATTTTTAGTTGCTCAGTTTTGCGTCTTGAAAAATTTCCATAAAAATCACCAAATTGTGTTTGATGAATAAGTATTTTTAGTTAAATGTTTTGAGTTAACATATTGTGATTTCAGGATTGTCTTTATTAGACTCTCTCTCACCTAATGAAGATTAAAACTAGACTGGAATCATAGCGTGTGCACAAGTCTGCAATGAGGTAATTCTCCAATTAGCAGCAACAGTAAGAAAACAACAAACTGAATCATCTTTGCCAAGTCTGAAGAGATTACAGATTCCCATATGGACAAAGAAAATACTAAATATAGATGTGCCTATTCCCATTGAGCTGCTGCATCAGAAAGCAAAAAGAAAATGGAGGAGACAGAAGGAAACGGGGATGGGGGCAGGAGCTACCAAACCAAGAAACTTCTGTGGAGGATCTTGTCCTCCATGGTCACAAACTTCCTTGACTAAATTTTGTCTTCCTTCTCAAACATTTCCCAAGCAGCATACTGTAGGCTATTTTGGGGAAATATTTTCACAAAATATCTAAACCTTATGTTTGCTGACAGGCTACAAAGTCTAGTTTCTAAGTAAGAAATTTTCATCTCACACTAGAACTTTCCAGTCCAACTGGCACTTCTGCTTCCCCATGATCCTGAAGAACAGACGGAATTGGGAACCTAATTTTGACTGAGCTTAAATCCAGCCTTAGGTATAATTTTAAAAATCTCCTATCAACATTCCACTGGTTTCTGATGTTTTCATTTGACTGGACTGGCTTCTCTCAGGAAAAACTGAAAAAGAAAATCACAAAGGTGAGAGTCTGCTTTTAATGGATAGCAATATATAAGTAAATATAAGTAAAAATCATGCAGCATCACCAAATGAATTTTCAGTCATGTATTAAAACTGATCATGAATACAAAAGTGTGTGAGGGTACTATAAAACACTACACACATGGTGATAACGTTACTGCTGGCATTAGCAAGCTTCCTGAGAACATACAGCTAAATGCATGTTGACTGTCTTGCTTTGATAAATATGCTGCCTTTTGCTTTCTGCTTAACCCTAGGGCTGGCAGATCTCTTTCTTTACCAAGAAATGTGGGCTAGTCAGATCTCACAAGTAAAATTCAATAGTTTCTCCACTGTATAAAAGGAAAGCTTAGTTAGAAGAGATGAAATGCATTTTATGGCCCCTTCTGCTCTCAGAGTACCAAAGCCTGGATTATGATTCTTTGCTACTAGTTGATACTGAGACGTTAGAAGCCAAAAAAGAGGAAATATTTTCCTCCTAAATGCTGGAACTCAGTGGGGGTTTTCTCCAGGTCCAGTGATTGACTTGACTGTTCATTTGTATGTTCCTCTTGTCCCTGGTGGTACAAAAATACAAACCACCTGACAATTTTATCTGCATCTAAGTCTAGCCGGCTTAGAGAAGTTGACTGGTGAACTTTATGAGGCTAATACCTATATGCTATTCTTTCATAAATACAGATACTATCTTGGAGACTTAAGCTTTGTGGTAAAACTATAGATTTTTCAGACCTGGAAGCAATCTGAGTGGACCTTCAGTACAATAATTTCATTTGGTAGCTAATTAACAGCTTATGTTAATATAACAAATGTAATTCAATTTTCATTTACAGTATTTAATTTGAGGTAGACTGAGAAGACATGATTCTTCTTTTATACAGGGAAAGCATATTTAGCTTTCTTGACCTAAAGTAAATTTATAAGACTGAAGAGTAGAGTCAGAACCAACTTTGGAACTGAAGTCCCTTGCCTTGCAGGCCAATTATCTTCCTATACATAGTTTACCCATGTTGCACCCCCAGAAAACACTTCTCTGGCCTTCATCTCAAAACTGGATTACAATCAATCCACCTAGTTATCCACAGGCTCTTTGTAGAATTCTCCAACTTCTGCAAGCTTAATATCCCAAGCTCCAGAGAAAAATATCATAAATTTTAAACTGAAGTATGAGCTTTCCTATAAGCCCTTTTTTGATCTCTAGAAAAAGATTGGCAATTTTCTGTTATATGTTTCAGCCCAGAAGAAAATCCACCTCCTCAGATGCATCTTTGAAGCCTTCCGTTTAGTAGTTCATAAGGATTTCTATATTTCGTCATCAAATGTGTGACCTGAGTAATATCAGTTCTATGCTTTCACTTTATTATCTCAGGTAATTCTATTTAGAATATTTGCTAACTTATTACTACAATAGATGTGCTTAGATGATCAGTAAATATATGTACTACTCAGTGTCCCAAACAGTATTAAATAAGCACACGTAGAATTAGAATAAATTCAGTTACCTCAGAGGTATCCTATCTTTTAAAGTTTTTGATGGCAGGATGTATTTCTAGTTTTTAAAAATCTCTTATAGTATTTGAAAAGTGTCTTGTACCTAGTAGGTGATGCGTGAACCCTTACCTGTAGAGTTAGTATGGATTTAATGTGATTTTGCAGCAATGTGACACATCAGGACTCAGTTCTTCCCTACAACTGCTTATTCCAGGGGTTCTCAGTCAGAAACAATTTTGTCCCTCAGGGGACATTTGGCGATAGCTGGAGATATTTTTGGTTGACACACCTTGAAGGGTGTGTGATGGTAAGGGTAGGGTTGCTACTAGCCTCTATTAGTTAGAGGCTGAGGATGCTGTAAATATCCTACAATGCACAGGACAGCCCCTGACAACATAGTGTTATTTGGCTTGAAATGTCAATAGTGACCAGACTAAAAACAAGGCTTATGCAAATCTCTCACTAAAACCCTTATAAGTTTATATTTAACATAATAGGATATTTGAAGTCTATTTTCAATGTTTGTTTCTTATTGGTAGTGAATTTTGTGGGAAATCTGGAAGTCAACACAGCCACCAAAGCCATATATATGTATGCAATCTTGGATCATCACCACTTTTTAATTGTGATTTTATGTGTTACCATGACATATGGAAGGGTAGAAGGCAGGTCTGAAATGACTTCATGACTTCATGGGAAGATCAGTCATTTAAGTATCACTGTGAGAATTTGGACTGTTTACCTGCGTGATTATACTATGAAAACTTGAAAGAGACAGATTAAACATATTGGATAGTTAAGTATTATTTCACATTGGAATTTTAGATCACCCACATAATTTGGATTGGGAATATACAAACCTGAATAAATAGAAGGAATTAACATTAGGATTTCAAAAGCTAATAGTAATATTTATGTAACATTAATGTAACTGATACCTGGTTTTGTATCCCAATTTATGTCTACGGAATACAAAAGTTCTTTGCAATGGGCCAGTTTGAATGAGGGACTTAAGAGGAAGACAGAGTGAGATGCGCAAAGTTGGTCTGTGTATAGGGTCACTATATAATTTGTTGTCTATATCAGGGCACCTTTGAATATGGGACACTATTAATAAGCTAGGACAACATGCATAAATAAGGACTATTTGGGGGCAAATCAAGCCCGATCAGTTGTTTACAAGAGCAGAATTATTAAAAACACATGGAATTCTGGATACATTTTGTTTAAAATTTTGTTGTTTGCATATTTTATTTAAAAACACATAACCCTTGCTTTAGATGTTACTAGGTTTAAAGTGGTACCATAGTGAAAAAAGTTTGAGAAAATGCTAGGTTAAATCAAGTATCTAAGATTTTTTTTTCTTACAGGCCTTGGAGAGTGTTGAATATGTTAATATACATGGGCAATTCTCTAAGAGAAAATAAATATTAAGCATTTTCCAAATGTATTTGACCATAAGAACATTTCTGCGGTTCATGAGTTTTTTCGAGGGGAGAAGTCATACCTTCACCCTCTCTAGAACATAAATGATGCTGATTAAAAGGTGATAAATGATGCTGATTAAAAGATGATAAATGATTAAGTACAAGGAAAGGGAAAGTCATAAATGTACTGAAGTCTCAATGAATCAGGATGAAAGGAGACATATAGACAAATAAGCAAAGTAGGAAGTTGATGCCCTTTGAAGGTTTCACTCAAGTATGAGCAAATACTGATAAATTCCATCTTAGACATGCTGGACTGTGTGTCAGAACGTATGTTTTGCCCTTTCCTGCCTCTCTTGTAACTTCCATTCTCTTCCTTTTGGATGCCCCAGTCTCATCTGACCTCCTTTGCCAGTGTCTAATCCCTGAAAACTTTGGCTTGCAGAAGTTATCACCTAAGTAAGATATGAGGGAGGAATGACTTATTTTTAGTACCCCAGGGTATTATCAGAAATGGAATAGAACCTGTTACCCATTTCCACCCATTCAGACTCCTCTCATTTAATCCGTTGCCTTTCAAGTCCAAATTTGGAATAATCAGTAAAAAAGGTCAAAGCCCCAATAAACCCACGGTTGCAGTGAGGATGAATTTATATTATGATTCATGTCATTTATGAGAAGAGAGGAAAAATCCTTTCCTTCAGAATTCTTTACATATTCATTTAACAAATGTTTATTGAGAGCAAGTTGTATACCAAATACTGTATAAAGCTAGGGGAGGGGATCAAACAGGGACACAATCAAGACACAGTCATTGCCCACATATCTGGACATCTGAAAGCTTGCCTCAAAAACTGGGATAAGTCTTGTCACTGGGAAGGCTTTACCTCTTCATTTTATTCAAACGCTTGCACTAACCACCAGAAGTCTTATAAATTCTCCTGCGAAGATTACAGGATGATATATTCTCCGTTTCATGGACTTTCCTTTCAGGCCAAGTTTTAAAATAATTTAACATTTATTTAGCACCACTGGCCTGGGGGTGGTACAGAAAATGGAAAATAATCACGCTTTCTGTCTTGTAGGCTTGCAATCCATTAAATATTATCTCCTCTCTTTCTAGCTGAAAGTTTAATGGCTTGAGGCCAAATATAACAAGGTCATTTTTTAAAAAAGTATTAATCAAAATATGTAACTTTAAAATTACCTACTCTTTCTCGGGACATTAATCTTATATATGTATTTATTGCTGTGGGCTAGCAATACATTGTTGGAGGATTTCTCTAAGATACAAATTTCAAGGAAAATTTGCACACAAATTCAGTAATCTCTGTATAACCCACTTCTCCGTTTTCTGGAATCTGATTATTTTACGAAAAGGAATTTCTTTTCACTGACAGAAACCAATAAGGCCAATGTGTTGGGATTTGTATTCTATCTCTGATACCTCAAGAGAAATTTTTTAAATTTCTATGGATACACAATAGTTGTACATATTTGTAAGGTACATGTGATATTTTGATACAAGCATGCAATGTAATAATCAAATCTGGGTAATTGGAATATATATAACTTCAAACATTTATTATTTCTTTGTGTTGGGAGCATTCCAGATCTTGTCTTCTGGCTATTTTGAAATATATGTTATATTATTGACAACTTTAGTCACCCTATTGTGCTATTGGGAACTAGAACTTACTTTCTATCTGTGTATTTGTCCCCATCAACCAACCTCTCTTTATTCCCTCCTCCCCACTACCATTCTCAGCCTCTGGTAATCACTATTCTATTCACTATCTCCACGAGATCAAATTTTTTTTCCCGCTACAATGTATAAGTGAGAATGTGCAAGATATGTCTTTCTGTGCCTGACTGATTTTACTTAATATAATGTCCTCCAGTTCCATCCATGTTGCTGCAAATGACAGGATCTCATTTTTTTTGTGTGTGTGTGGTAGGATAGTATTCCACTATGTATATTTACCATACTTTCTTCATTCATCTGTTAATAGACACTTAGGTTGATTCCATATCTTGCCTACTGTGAATAGTGCTGTAATGAATAAGGGAGTACAGATATCTCTTTGACATACCAATTAAGGGTGAGGACAAATTCCCGCAAAGTCAGGTCTGTGACAATTCACACTCTGAAAACACTCCTTACTCCAGAAGAACTGGCTTGTTAAATGAGGGCTGACTGACTTCTGCGGGAGTTACATCATTCCATCTCCTTTCCTGTGTCCTTCCTAAGTCTCCATCCTTCCTCACCCATCCTTCTGCTTCTTGAGCTTGACAGCTCCTTCAGTGTCTGTGTCTGAGACATTTCTTTTTGACACATTCAGCTGTCAGAAAAATCAGTGTCCCCATCTACAGGAAGTGGAGAGAAGGAAGTTGTACAATACTATTTTTCATTTTCTTGGATGACATTTCATATCTCTTTTTACTTCAGTTTCTTGGATCCCGGGCATTTGTACAGTGTTTTGCAGATTTTAAAACAATGTTACCATTCATTATTCTATTTATTCTTCCCAATGAACCAGCTACGTAGGTAGAAAAAGCTTTCTTTATCGCCATTTAGCAAATGAAAGACCTGATGCTTACAGCATTTATGAGTCATTAAAAGTTACACGTTACAAAATAGAGCTGGGACAGGAGCTTGGGCCTTTTGTCATATCAAGGCAATGCTCATGATTATTAATTATAAAAATTCAGTATGGTTTGTGGTTTAAAAAAATTTACTCAATTCCCTAATTCCTTATATCACAGGGTAGCAACTGGGTGTGGTTTGGTATATACCCTTCCAGAGATTTTTATGAGGATACTTGTAAGTGCTTCACACATACTCATAGTTTAAAACATTTAAAATGGCACTATGTTATGAATATTATTTTGTTCCATACTGTTTCCATTTAATAATAAATCCCTGATATTTCTCTGTCAGACTGTACAGAGGGCAGCCATTCTTTTTAACCGCTACACAATATTTTGTACATGAATATAACATTATTTAACCAGTCCCCTATTAAGGGACATTAATACCTTTTCAAATGCTGCTGTTAAAAGCAAGACTAGAATTTCCAGCCTTCCGTTACATGTTGGGGAAAAGAGCGACTATTCATATAGAGTGGGTTTCAAAAGCAAATATATACATATTCAAAATTTTAATAGATTTTTCTGAATTGACCTCACAAAAGGCTTCAAAAATTTACAGTACCGCTGAAGGCATGGAGTCCTAATTTCTACATACCCCGGTTAACATTAAATAGGATCAATTTCTGCTTTTATGTTTGCTACTTTCTACTTCAAATTTATTTAATTCATGTTCTATGTTCTTTAGTTGAATATTTAGTTAATTTATTTCTGATCTTCTTATTCTCTAGTAAGTACATTTAGGCATATGCAATTTCCTCGGAACACCAATTAAAGTACACCCTATAGATTTTTGCCTGTAGGTTGAGGTATAATCACAAATTTTTCTGTAGCCTCTAATTCCTATATTGATTGCCTTTAAAACACTTGATATAGAAAGTTTCAGCTTTTAATTGTATAGATTTTTGTGTTCAATTATGTTATTCTTCTTTGCAATGAGAAAATATGGCTTCTAGTTTTTAGAATTTATTGTTCTTTCTTGACTAACTCGTAGTCAATTTCAGTAAATGTTAAAAGCATTTTAAGAATCAATGTGTAATCTCAATTTTGTAGACAAAAAAAAAAATTTGTTAGTAGTAGCGATTAAGGTTCATTCAAGTCTTCCACTATGCTGGGGACTTGTCATTTCTGTGTTTCCAACAGATTTTGCTTTGTATTTGTGTCAACGCTGTGCTGTTAGATGCATGATATTTAATGACACATTTCTTGGGAAATAACTCTTTCTTCTGCTTTAAGGATTGTTTACCTCAAATAGACTACACATGCTTTTGATATTGCCACTCGTTTGTTTTTTGTTACTCTTTGACAGGTATGTGATCTGCCTATCACCTTTTTTCACCCACACGAAGATTTTGTTTTATATTATTTGAGTGTGACTTTTGTAAATGACATATAACTAATTTTTAAAACTCAATCCAAGAATCACTGCTTTTGAATGATAGTGTCATTTACCGTAATCATCTGTAATAACTTACGTAATTGATATTATTTCTGACATCTATTTCTATTTTTAATGTTTCCTAGCATTTTCTTTAGCTGTAGTAATAGGTTTTTTTTCTATTTTTTGCCCTTCAGATGTTTATATGGCATATTTTCATTTTTTCTTTGTGTTTACCAATTCATTTTTAACAAGCATTACAAAATATTATTTTATAAACATAGATAATTGATGAAGTTATTTGATCTCTTCTGAAGAGGATAAAATTCTTAGCACCTGTATATTTTTCCTTTCCACACCCTGTGTATTCTGTTTCCTTGAAGACACCAAAATTTAGATTGTTTTTATTGTTCTTTTTTATTATGGTTCTAATTTCTTAGAAATAATTTCTTAACGATTGCCTTAAATTTCACAACTGTATTTTCAGCAGCTATTTAGAATTATCTACATTTTCTATTGTTCAAAAATTCATTGTTATGTCTAGTTTTTCAGTTCTCTCTCTCTCTTTTTTTTTTTTTTTTTTGGCTTGTTTGGTTGAAACCCATCCTCATAATTCTTTCAGAAAGATTTGTTCGTGGCTACAGTTTTGAGCTCGTTTCAAAAATGTTTTTATTTTGCTCTCACGCTTGAATGCCTGTTGCTCCACAACAAATGACCACTACACTCAGTGGCTTAAAACAACAAATTTTTTAAATAGTTTCTGTGGGTCAGAAATCGGAGTAACATTTTTCTGGTTGTCTCTGGCTCAAAGTCATCAAAGTTGCAGAGAAACTGGCATCTAGGCCTGTGGTCAATCTGAAGACATCACCAAGAACTAGATCAAATTCCCGGTTCACTTAAGTGATTGTTGATAGGATTCAGTTCCATGCAGGCTATTGGCTGGAGGTCTCCCTCCTTTTTATGCCACGTAGGCTTTTCCATAGGGCATCTCACAACATGGAAGCTGGCTTCCTGCAGAGGTAGGGAGCAGGAGAGGAAAAGAGACTTCTCTCCAGACAGAAGACAAAGTCTTTTAATTACTGAATCTCAAAAGTGACATCCCATTGCTTCTTCTGTATTCTATTTGTTTAAAGTAATTCACTAAACCCAACTCACACTCAGAGATTGCGGGGAATCACAGAAGGTATGAATACCAGAAAGTGGAGATAATTTAGGCCATTTTAGAGACTGCCTACTATTTTAGGTTCAACATTATTTTTCCTTGGTACTTTGAAGACATAAGCTCACTGTCTTGTAGTATCCATTTTGTGTGTGTGTGTGTGTGTGTGTGTGTGTGTGTGTTTGTGTGTGTGTGTGCTCGCAAATTGTAAGACTTCTATCTGATTTTTATTCCTTTACAGGTAACCTATTCTCCTCTAGATAAGCTTAGTACCTTCTTTTTATATTTAGAATTCTGAAATTCCACTGAGATATTTCTAGCTGTCATATTTTCTCATTATTTATAATCTTTTAATATTCCCTTTAAATATTAAGCTGCAAGTTTTTGTATAGCTTAAATATATTTTATTATGTTATTTCTTCTCCCTGATTTCCCTGTGCTTGGCTTCTGGAAATCTTGAAATGGATATTAGAACTTCTATATTTATCTTTTATTATATTTTTTATCTGTTCTTCCAGATTTTTAAAAATTTAAATCTTTTAAAATTTTTTTGTGGGTACATAGTAAATGTATACATGTATGGAGTACATGAGATGTCAAAACATGATACAGGCATTTAATGTGAAATAAGCACGTGGGAATGGGATATCCATCCCCTCAAGCACTTAACCTTTGAGTTACAAACAATCCAGTCACACTCTTTATTTTAAAATGCCACAATTAAGTTATTATTGACTATAGTCACCCTATTGTGTTGTCAAATAGTAGCTCTTATCCCTTCTTTCTATGTTTTTTACCCATTTACCATCCCCACGTAACCCCTCTTCCCACCACCCTTCCCAACCTCTGGTGACCATTCTTTTACGCTTTATGTCCATGAGTTCAATTGTTTTGATTTCTAGGTCACATAAATAATTGAGAATATGTGATGTTTGTATTTCTGTGCCTGGCTTATTTCACTTAACATAATGATCTCTAGTTCCATGCATGTTGTTGCAAATGACTGGCCCTCATTCTTTTTTATGGCTGAATAGTACTCCACTGTGTATATGTAGCACATTTTCTTTATCCATTCATCTGTTGATGGACACTTAGGTTACTTCCAAATCTTATCTATTGTAAACAGTGCTGCAGCAAACACAAGAGTGCAGATATCTCTTCAATGTGCTGATTTCCTTTCTTTTCAGTATATACCTACCAGTGCTATTGCTGGATCATATGGCAGCTCTACTTTTAGTTTTTTGAGGAACCTCCAAACTGTTCTCCATAGTGGTTGTACTAATTTACATTCTCACAACAGTGTACAAGGGTTCCCTTTTCTCTACATCCTTGCTAGCATTTGTTATTGCCTGTATTTTGGATATAAGCTATTTTAACTGGGTGAGATGATATTTCATTGTAGTTTTGATTTGCATTTCTCTGATGCTCAATGATGTTGAGCACCTTTCATGTGCATGTTTGCCATTTGTATGTCTTTTTTGGAGAAATGTCTATTCAAATCTTTTGCCCATTTTTTGATTGAATTATTAGATTTTTTTCCTATAGAGTTGTTTGAGTTCCTTATATATTCTGGTTTTTAGCCCCTTGCCAGATTGGTAGTTGGCACATATTTTCTCCTATTCTGTGAGTTGTCTCTTTACTTTGTTGATGGTATCCTTTGCTTTGCAGGAGGTTTTTAGCTTGATGTGATCCATTTGTTCATTTTTGCCTTGGTTGCCTGCACTTGTGGGGTATTGCTCAAGAAATCTTTGCCCAGATCAATGTCCTGCAGATTTTTCCCAATGTTTTCTTGTAGTAATTTCATAGTTTGAGGTCTTAGATTTAAGTTTTTAATTCATTTTGATTTTATTTTTGTGTATGGGTTAGATAGGGGTCTAGTTTCATTCTTCTATATATGGATATATATATCCATATATATATATATATATATATATATATATATATATATATATATATATATATATATATATCCCCACTGTCTGGGAAAACTGAATTTATAGAAGAGACTGTCTTGTTCCCAGTGTATGTTATTGGCACCTTTGTCAAAAATGAGTTCACTGTAGCTGTGTGAATTTGTTTCTGGGTTCTGTATTCTGTTCCATTGGTCTATGAGTCTGTTTTTATGTCAGTACCACACTGTTTTGGTTACTATATCTCTGTTACATAATTTGAAGTCAGGTAATGTTTTTCTTCTAGTTTTGTTCTTTTGCCTAGGATAGTTTTGGCTCTTCTGGGTCTTTTGTGGTTCTACATAAATTTTAGCATTGACTTTTTTTTCTATTTATGTGAAGAATGTCATTGCTATTTTGATAGGAGTTGCATTGAATCTGTGGATTGCTTTGGGTAGCATGGACATTTTAACAACATTGAGTCTTCTAATCCATGAACATGGAATATCTTTCCATTTTTTTGATGTCCTCTTCAATTTCCTTCATCAATGTTTTATAGTTTTCATTATATAGTCTTTCACTTCTTTGGTTAAATTAATTTCTAGGTATTTAATTTTATGTGTGGCTGTTGTAAATGGAATTACTTTTTAAATTTCCTTTTCACATTGTTCACTGTTGGCACATAGAAATGCTACTGATTTTTGAATGTTGATTTTGTATCCTGCAACTTTACAAATTTATCACTTCTAAGAGTCTTCCGGTGGAATCTTTAGGTTTTCCAGATTTTTCATTTTTGCCCAAGGGATCATATTTTGAGTAAATATTTCAACTTAATTTTCTAGTTGATTAATTTGATTCTAAATTGTGTCCATTCTGCTATTTTGCACATCTATTTTATTTCTTTAATTTGAAAATGCTTAGAATAAAAACGTTATGTCTACAGGCTCACTGGAACGTAACCTTATCATTCACTAGGAGCAATGGTTAGAAATAGCTGATTTAGTATTCATGGTAACTTTATAAAACATAATCTATGGTAAATAATGAGAGCTGACTATACTTCAAAGGAGCTTAGTTTTGGAAAGGAGAAATAAGAAACTTTGGCTTTCATTGAGCAGTGGTTTGTAGTTCTCCTTGAAGAGGTCCTTCAAGTCCCTTGTAAGTTGGATTCCTAGGTATTTTATCCTCTTTGAAGCAATTGTGAATGGGAGTTCACTCATGATTTGGCTCTCTGTTTGTCTGTTATTGGTGTATAAGAATGCTCGTGATTTTTGCACATTGATTTTGTATCCTGAGACTTTGCTGAATTTGCCTATCAGCTTAAGGCGATTTTGGGCTGAGCTGATGGGGTTTTCTAGATATACAATCATGTCATCTGCAAACAGGGACAATTTGACTTCCTCTTTTCCTGATTGAATACCCTTTATTTCCTTCTCCTGCCTGATTGCCCTGGCCAGAACTTCCAACACTATGTTGAATAGGAGTGGTGAGAGAGGGCATCCCTGTCTTGTGCCAGTTTTCAAAGGCAATGCTTCCAGTTTTTGCCCATTCAGTATGATATTGGCTATGGGTTTGTCATAGATAGCTCTTATTATTTTGAGATACGTCCCATCAATACCTAATTTATTGAGAGTTTTTAGCATGAAGGGTTGTTGAATTTTGTCAAAAGCCTTTTCTGCATCTATTGAGATGATCATGTGTTTTTTGTCATTGGTTCTGTTTATATGCTGGATTACGTTTATTGATTTGTGTATGTTGAACCAGCCTTGCATCCCAGGGATGAAGCCCACTTGATAAGCTTTTTGATGTGCTGCTGGATTCAGTTTGCCAGTATTTTATTGAGGATTTTTGCATCGATGTTCATCAAGGATATTGGTCTAAAATTCTCTTTTTTTTTGTGCCTCTGCCAGGCTTTGGTATCAGGATGATGCTGGCCTCATACAATGAGTTAGGGAGGATTCCCTCTTTTTCTATTGATTGCAATAGTTTCAGAAGGAATGGTACCAGCTCCCCCTTGTACCTCTGGTAGAACTTGGCTATGAATCCATCTGGTCCTGGACTTTTTTTGGTTGGTAAGCTGTTAATTATTGCCTCAATTTCAGAGCCTGTTATTAGTCTATTCAGAGATTCAACTTCTTCCTGGTTTAGTTTTGGGAGGGTGTATGTGTTGAGGAATTTATCCATTTCTGCTAGATTTTCTAGTTTATTTGCATAGAGGTGTTTATAGTATTCTCTGATAGTAGTTTGTATTTCTGTGGGATCGGTGGTGATATCCCCTTTATCATTTTTTATTGCGTCTATTTGATTCTTCTCTCTTTTCTTCTTTATTAGTCTTGCTAGCAGTCTATCAATCTTGTTGATCTTTTCAAAAAACCAGCTCCTGGATTCATTAATTTTTTGAAGGGTTTTTTTGTGTCTCGATTTCCTTCAGTTCTGCTCTGATTTTAGTTATTTCTTGCCTTCTGCTAGCTTTTGAAAGTGTTTGCTCTTGCTTCCCTAGTTCTTTTAATTGTGATGTTAGGGTGTCAATTTTAGATCTTTCCTGCTTTCTCTTGTGGGCATTTAGTGCTATAAATTTCCCTCTACACACTGCTTTGAATGTGTCCCAGAGATTGTAGTATGTTGTGGCTTTGTTCTCATTTGTTTCAAAGAACATCTTTATTTCTGCCTTCATTTCGTTATGTACCCAGTAGTCATTCAGGAGCAGGTTGTTCAGTTTCCATGTAGTTGAGTGGTTTTGAGCGAATTTCTTAATCCTGAGTTCTAGTTTGATTGCACTGTGGTCTGAGAGACAGTTTGTTATAATTTCTATTCTTTTACATTTGCTGAGGAGTGCTTTACTTCCAACTATGTGGTCAATTTTGGAATGGAAGAACATTCCATGCTCATGGTTAGGAAGAATCAATATCGTGAAAATGGCCATACTGCCCAAGGTAATTTATAGATTCAATGCCATCCCCATCAAGCTACCAGTGACTTTCTTCACAGAATTGGAAAAAACTACTTTAAAGTTCATATGGAACCAAAAAAGAGCCCGCATCGCCAAGTCAATCCTAAGCCAAAAGAACAAAGCTGGAGGCATCACGCTACCTGACTTCAAACTATACTACAAGGCTACAGTAACCAAAACAGCATGGTACTGGTACCAAAACAGAGTTGTAGACCAATGGAACAGAACAGAGCCCTCAGAAATAATGCTGCATATCTACAACCTTCTGATCTTTGACAAACCTGAGAAAAACAAGCAATGGGGAAAGGATTCCCTATTTAATAAATGGTGCTGGGAAAACTGGCTAGCCATATGGAGAAAGCTGAAACTGGATCCCTTCCTTACACCCTATACAAAAATTAATTCAAGATGTATTAAAGACTTAAATGTTAGACCTAAAACCTTAAAAACCCTAGAAGAAAACCTAGGCAATACCATTCAGGACATAGGCATGGGCAAGGACTTAATGTCTAAAACACCAAAAGCAATGGCAACAAAAGCCAAAATTGACAAATGGGATCTAATTAAACTAAAGAGCTCTGCAGAGCAAAAGAAACTACCATCAGAGTGAACAGGCAATCTACAGAATGGGACAAAATTTTTGCAACCTACTCATCTGACAAAGGGCTAATATCCAGAATCTACAATGAACTCCAACAAATTTACAAGAAAAAAACAAACAACCCCATCAACAAGTAGGTGAAGGATATGAACAGACACTTCTCAAAAGAAGATATTTATGCAGCCAAAAGACACATGAACAAATGCTCATCATCACTGGCCATCAGAGAAGTGCAAATCAAAACCACAATGAGATACCATCTCACACCAGTTAGAATGGCGATCATTAAAAAGTCAGGAAACAACAGGTGCTGGAGAGGATGTGGAGAAATAGGAACACTTTTGCACTGTTGATGGGACTGTAAACTAGTTCAACCATTGTGGAAGTCAGTGTGGCAATTCCTCAGGGATCTAGAACTAGAAATACCATTTGACCCAGCCATCCCATTACTGGGTATATACCCAAAGGATTATAAATCATTCTCCTATAAATTCACGTGCACACGTATGTTTATTGTGGGACTATTCACAATAGCAAAGACTTGGAACCAAGCCAAATGTCCAACAATGATAGACTGGATTAAGAAAATGTGGCACATATACACCATGGAATACTATGCAGCCATAAAAAAGGATGAGTTAATGTCCTTTGTAGGGACATGGATGAAGCTGGAAGCCATCATTCTCAGCAAACTATCACAAGGACAAAAAACCCAACACCACATGTTCTCACTCATAGGTGGGAATTGAACAATGAGAACACATGGACACAGGAAGGGGAACATCACACACCAGGGCCTGTTGTGGGGTGGGGGGTGGGGGGAGGGATAGCATTTGGAGATATACGTAATGTTAAATGATGAGTCACTGGGTGCAGCACACCAACGTGGCACATGTATACATATGTAACTAACCTGCATGTTGTGCACATGTACCCTAAAACTTAAAATATAATAATAATAAAAAAAAAGCAGTGACTTTCAAGTGACAAGGAAGAGCAAGGGGAACACTTGCCTGCCTCCTATTCCTGAAGTATTTCTTGGGAAATTGTCAGAAGGCATGGTCTCAGGAGACTTTCAGGGTGGTTGTTGTTTTTTTTTTAATTTTTTAAACAAACAAGGGAGTAAAGGTCATATTCGGAGAGGAGCCTCAGGTTACAAGAGAGTTTGTTATTCCATATCAGGAGCACCAAAACGCACAGTGAACAATTCTGGAAGAAAAGGAGATGAAGGTATTATTAACCCGGCCCTTTAGAGTATGTGCACTACAGTTTGGGTGGGGAGGTGGGTTAGTGAATGGCTTGGTTAACTTAGAGTTTTGGAAGTGACCAGGCAAATAGGAATGTGAGGCATCATGAGAGATTAGTTTGATAGTTTATTAGAGAAAGGGGAATAGTTGACACTTTCTTCTGAAGCTTGTCATGCTATAGCTATGAGTCAGTAGTAGCTGAATCTGAGATTTTGATGTTACACTTAGTCTAGGGTTATGTCTGAACTTTCACTTTTTTCAGATTTTCTCTTTTGACACTATGGGATTAAGGGTTTTTTCTCCCAATCCCTGTGTGGCTTAATTATTGATCTTTCCTCATCTTTTATACAGATTTCTGTAAGTCATAATATTATGGTCTGTCTGGTAGTGGTACTGTTAGGCCAGATTCCAAAACTATCTGCTTTTATTTTTATTCTTATATTTTCTTTGTCCTTTTAGTGGTTCTTTGGGAAGAAGGAGAATGTGCTAGGCCTTGGACGAACTTTATACGATTTCTGTTAAAGCCTTCCCCCGCCTCCATTACCATATTTAAAAAGTTGAAACATCAAGAGAGGAAATATTGTTGAAGTATTTTAAACATTGACAGAAGAAAAGTGGAGTTCATTTTCTGCCTTTTGTACAAGAGGTTACCTGTCATACTTGCTATGTTGATATGGGGACATGCATTTTAAATATTAATATCACTATTAAATGGTAATATAGAAGTCTATCAAGTGCCATTCCTTTGGCAATACGGATAAATGTGCATCAGCTTCACCTTTAGCATTTTCCTGCTGCCTTCCGACCATCAAGTTCTTCAGAATGCTCAAAATCATTCTAATCAATTCTTGTAATGAGGGAAGTTTCATTAATGGACTTACTATAATACTAATGAGAAATTAACCACTTGCCACTGTCTTTTAATGAAAGAGAGTTACTACTTAATTTCAGGAAGACTTCTACCACTTTTCGTTGCTGTTATGAAGCTACCTCTAAAATTTTAAACAGACTTTTCCCTATGACAAGAAGCTGCTGAGGCAAAGTACTTTTAGAAAAAGGTATTTGACTTCCAACAGGGAAGGCAAAATGAAGGAGGTTTAAGAATCAAAAGTACATATAGCATGCAGAGGGCAAATTATTGAGCAAAGCTAGGGCCCAGGACTATTTCCGAACAATAGATACAGGCTTTTCTAAATTGCCCTCCCTGAGACTTAGCACTAGAAACAATGTTTCGATAATGTTTTAAATAATAAATTACAAAGTTTTCTTTTTTCTTTTTTGTATACAAAAGAAAGATTCTGCTTTCATCATGTGGAATTGATTATATCTCAGGCATGAAAGTGCATTTCTGCATTTTCTACAGTATTGTCCAATGCAAAAAGTAGGCACATTTAGTGTCGTTAGAGTTCTTGTTGTCTTTATACTTTCCTGTACCAATTACCTTTAGAATCAAGAAAGAAGATCATCACATTCTTTCTTAACCAGGTTCTATTTCGTGAGAGATCTTGACATAGTCTGAATGTTTGTGTCCCCCCAAAAGCATATATTGAAATCCTAAACCCCAATATGCTTGTGTTAGGAGATAGAAGGCAATTAGGTCATGGAGGTGGAGCCCTTATGAATGGGATTAGTGCCCTTATAACAGACACCCTCACCCTTTCCACCATGTGAGTACAACACTGAGAAGGTGCCATCTATGAGCCAGAAAGTGGGTCCTCAACAGACAGCAAATCTTAATCTTAGAAGTTTTATCCACCAGAACTGTGGGAAATAAATTCTATTGTTTGTAAGCCACCCAGTTTATGGTATTTTGTTATAGCAGCCTGAATGGACTAGGACAGATCTTTTAAAAGATAAGACAAGTGCTAAAATAAACCAGGACCTACTGCATTTATATAGACTGTCTCCTGCTTTTATCATGTATGTACTTCCATTCATGTCATCAAATATTCACTGATATAATTTTTTAAAAATTTCTATTGTAAAACCAAAACCATTTTCAGTCATAGTTCCAAGTGATAAGCTAATAGTTTTGCTTCAGTAATCATGTTTTCTTCCTCTCCTTCTGTCTCTCTTTAAATTTTGATGATTATTTTGTTTTCCATGTTTGCTATGTGAATTACAGTTTATTTGCTCTTACTTTCATGGGTATGAAGGACACAGTTTTTAATTCTGCTATTTGCTACCTGTAGGATCCTTTTAAGTAATGTGCTCTTTGGAATTAACAAGTAAATAAAAAATGGAACAATAACACTGTGTACAGTATTTTTACCTATAGCAGCCAGGCGTTATTGGGACTTGCTCAACAGAATCTTGAGATTTCAACTTGGTTTGTTGTTAATAATTTTATTTTATATATATATATATATATATATATACACACACACACACACACATGTATGTATATATACACACACGTGTATGTATATATATATACACACACATATGTGTATATATATACACACACACATACATATACACACACACTTCCAAGAATTATTTTTAACATGAATTATATAAATATTATATAGTATTTCTTGAAGTCTAAATTTATTTACTTTGTTTTTTTCAAATCAACTTTGGAGTTGTATAATTTAGACACAGTAGTGTGCGCCAATTTGAAATACACAGTTTGAAGAATTTTGATAAATGTACTGTAGTCTCTCAATTATGTAGAATGATGTAGTCTTGAAATAAGATTGTATAGGCCTTTTAACATTGTTCTTCTTTTTCAAAATCCTTTTCTTCTCTTTTAGATCGTTAGCATTTCCATTAAAATGATAGAATTGGGGTCACAATGTTGGAAAAAAACCCACATTCTGGGATTTTGATTGGGGTTTACATCAATTTAGAAGAAACAATTAGCATTTTTGTAACATTTACTCTTTGATAAACATGGCATAACTATTTAGGCCTTTAATTACAGCTATGGGTTTTAGTTTTGATATAGAGGATTTACCTGTATTTTGGTAAATTTATTCCTGAATATTTCATATTTCTGTTGCAAATATAAATTGTATTGCTTTATTAATCTTTCATTTTGTTTATATTTTATTTTCCAATAGTTTATTTCTAGTGTATAGAAAAAATTAATTTTGATGCAGTGACCTTGTATCCTATGACCTTGCAAAATTAAATAGTTCTAGTGGGTTTTATTCTTTTGTAGATTCTTTAGGATTTCTCTATATGCACAATCATAATGACTGAAGATGAAAATAGTTTTAATATTCCTTTCCAAGTATTATTCCTTTTACTTATGTTTTCTTTATTGCACTGGATAAAACCGCAAGTAGAATATTTAATGTGATGGTTAGGAGCTTGCATTCTCACCTTCTTTCAATTTTGGAAGGAAAATGTTAATTATTTTGCCTTTAAGTTTCATATTAACTGTAGATGCTCATTGTTGTTCTGGTAGTTTCCCTTAATCAGGTAAAGAAAGGCTTTTTTCTTCTTTAATTCTGGTTTTCTATCATTTTTAAAATCACAAATGGTTGCTGGAAATGAGACTCAAATGCTTTATTTGCATCTATTGAAAAAATCTTATTCATTTTCTTTGTTTGGTTTATATGCTGAATTACATCAAAGCTTTAAATATCCTGTGCTTTTAAATATCAAAGCAATCTTCCATTTCTAGGATGAATATCACTTGTATATTTTTACTTTCTAATACAGTTAGAATGTTACAGCTTGGTGGTATGCAGTTTTCTTTCCTCTTAATGTCATTGTCTGACTGTGGTATCAGGATAAAGCTCTAGACACTTATTTCTCTTTTATTAGCTGGAAACATGTCTGTTTTGTGAAAGACTGGCATTTTTATTCCTTAAATATTTAATGGAATTCCCCAGTGAGGCCAACTGAGACTGAAGTTCATTTGGGGAATGGGGGAATTGTCATTGAGGTTTTATATTATAAATTCAAAATTTTTAATAGTGAAATTTTCTGTCTCTTCTTAACTGTTTTGATAATTTTTTGTTTTTCAGGATTTTGTCCAGTTTACCTGTTGAGTCTTGCAACATGAAGTTGTTTACTTTTACTTATTACTTAAGTTTTAGGTTGACATTGATTATCCTCCACACCTACTTCATTGTTGATTTTGGAGATTTGTGTCTTCTTCCACCCACCTGTTCTTTTTTCATGAGTCCACCAAATGATTTACCATTTTCATTTCTTTTCAAAGAAGTTTCATTTGTTCTTAATGATTTTTTTCTTGTTTTCTGTTTGCTTTTTCATTGGTTTATGCTCTCATTATTATATCTTACTGTCTAATTAGTTTTTTTCCTTGATTTTTAAGGTGGAAGCTTCACTGATTAACTTTAAATCTCTTTTTAAATCAATCCTTTCTAATGTATGCATTTAAATTATAAATTTATCTCTGTATTTTCTGCCTACTTTGCCTTTCTCTAGAGCTCCAATTATCCATATGTTAGACCAATTGATATTATCACACTTTTTTTTCTCTGTGCTTTGGTTTTCATAGCTCCTTTTGCTCTGTTTCAGAGTTAACTTATCTTTACTTCTGCAATGCTAGTCTTCTGTTAAACCAATCAGTGAACATTTCATTTAAGACAGCTTTTTTTAGCTCCATATTTCCACTGTTGATAGTTTTTGCATTCTTCCTCATGTTCATATTTTTCTTTATATTATTTAACATATTTATAATACTTATTTTTAAGTCTTTGCTTATTTTATTATATTATCTTTTGGTTTTGTTTCAATGGACTGAAGTTTCTCTTGGTTATGAGTTATATTTTTCAGTTTCACACATTTGGTTTTGTTTATTTCCTTAGATGCTGGACATTGTAAATGTTACTTTGTTTTATGTTTAGATTTTGATATCTTCCTTTAAAAAATGTAGTTCTCTTCTAGACTGCAGGTAATTTGCTTTTCCTGTCAAGGCTTATTTTTGAGCTTTGTTACAGTGGGTAACAAAAACTACAAAGTAAAGTAAAGGTTAACCTTTAGTCCTAAAGGGTAGTTTTAGACTAAAAGAGTAGTTTAGCCCTACTTCTAAGACATAACCTTTTGGTGGGGATCTCTGTTTAGTGCTTTAGGTATTTATTAAGGCCTCTCTTCTGGTTGGTCAGACTTTGAATGTTTCTTACCCCTGTGAAAGCTCTCACAATTTTTCAGCATATAACTTCTTTCCTTTTTAGCACATAACTTCTTTCTAGCTGTCTTTCCCTGGTAGTAGTTCTTAGCCAGGCCTTGTTTTGGCACCCTGTATCTGCACTGTTCATTAAATGTCTTAAGGGGGACCCTGTGCACATTTCTGGAACTTTTCTCCTAAATTGTTCTCACCTTTCTATATGTTGCTTTGCAAATAAATTATAGCCCATAGTCTCCAAAATGCAACACTCTTCTCTCAATTAAGCAAAACAACTGTGCTCTTTGCTTTTTCATCCATGGTGGGTCTCACATACTGTTGGGCAGAAAGCTAGGTTTATTATACCACCTGCCTTGTTACCATCCCATCTTTTAGGGATCATAGTTTTATACTGTCTAATGTTCAATGTTTGCAAACTGTTTTTTCACATATTTTGCCTGTTTTATGGTTTTGTTTTGCAAGTATAGACATAATAGGCCATCACGGTTTATAGTAGAAGTCTTCATTTACCTTTGTAACTACTTTTATACCAAATATGTAGACTTAATCTCACATTGAATAGATTTTACCTTTCACATCAATATTTGTATAACAGAACCTCATACTCTTAAAAAAAATAGTTCATGTTGATTTTATTACAGGAATTGACCTAGGGAGTTATAAGAAGGAATTCACAAATATTTCAAATCATTTTTATGTTTAAATCACATGCTTGAAATCAGTAACTGTGTTCACCTTAGCATTCTACACACATATATATAGGACAAAACTTTTAAATGTCTATTTAATAGTAGTACTTAATATGAATTATTGATTCTAGGCTGTGGGCTTGGTTTAACTTTACTCCTCTTTCTTCTCATCATGGTAGGACCAGTGACGACCTAGAATATATTCTCATAGGTATGACAGAAGCCCAGGAGGGCAAAAGCTGAGCCATACAGCCTCTTCTTATGGCATGTCCACTAATATTTCATTGGTCAAAGCAAGTTACATGGCCATGCCCAACATGAATAAGGCAGGGCAATGCATTCTGCCCTTAGTAGGAGGTATAGCAAAGTGATGTAGCAAAGGAATATGGATGTATAATTTGATAATGGTAAAAATGAGATAGTCAATCACAATATGACTGTACCATCTAGGCCTAGAAGATAATTTCTGAATGTACTCATAGAGATTGGAGAACACTCAGTGTTATGACAAAAAAAAAAAAAAAAAAAAAAAAAACTGGGGCGGAGGGAGAATGGTTGAGGAATGGTGGCCATGAAAGAGATTTATAATCTAGGGGAAAAGATGAAAAAAAAATAAGGAAGTAGAATTCACATATGTTCTTTTCCTTTCAGATGGCTGAAGTGCATTTTCAATAAATGTAACAAGCAGTTTGTGAAATGTTTTCCAATAATATCTTTCACCTGTTAACCCAGAAAGATAATTTAATCGGGTATACAAATTTTGAAAGCAACTAGTACAGAGTGTGATATCTATATACATGTTTATATTATTGTGAATTTTATTTTGTTGTTTGTGGCCTAGGATTTTTAGTGGCATAATTGTATGGGGGTCTCCTGGAAGCACTGATGCTGAACAGATATCAAGAGAGTATTGCTGGTCTGAATACTTTGCCAGGAAATCTGTGGTAGGATTTTTCTCCAGTATGAATCAGAAAGAAATCTAATCTAGTGGAAGAAAGGGTATTATTAAAATTGATTAGAAGACAGAAAAAGGGCTAGGTATTTTTAATTTCAGGCATGACAAAGATGTAATCATTAGTCAACTGCACAGTGTTTACATTTAGTATAGAGATGGGCCACAGATTTACTAGAGCTGATTCATCCATATGGGTCTGACAGACACTGGATTTAATACAATTTTCTGTTAGGTCAATGATATAATGAAAAAAAATCTACATTCAAACACAGAAACAGTAATTAGACATGAGTTAATATGTGTTGGAAATAATCCCCTCTTAGGAGTTAGGGGATAGTCTGTTAAGGCATTTGGAAGTCTGTGTAACAGAGGGAGGAGGTCACAGAGACCAGGTATTCCATTACCATAGTCTGTGAATTGTTACAATGCTTTTGTACCTGGTGGAACAAACTACTGCCTTGAGCTTCTGTCTGTCCCTCCCCTGGGCCATCCCTGATTTACCGATGATCTTACGCCTGGAGGGCTAAAGCAGCCTTGCAGCTTTCTGCTCCAGCATTAGGGCCTGCATCTATTCTGATTGATTCAAGGGCCTTTCTCCAAAATCATCCTTAAATAATTAAGCACAAGTCCTGCACAAAGGAGTTGACTTGGATTGTTAATAAAGATAATTACAGTTACAATTTCTTGAGCTCTGCAGACATGAGCTGTCTCTAGATGGTATGATCATAGTGTGTAAATAAATTAGGTGCTAGTGTATTTATATTTTGCCTCCTTTCTACCTGGCAAGCATGGATCTAAGGATGGAACCCAAGCACTAGCAGATGATCATGTTTTCTGGGTTGAGGTGGCTTTTGTCAATTGGTTGTGTTACTAGGTATTGAGGCAGAAACCCAGATCACTTTGCCTGCTACTTGTTAACAAGGAGAGTTGAGGTCACCAAAAAGGAGTGGAATGAGAAGTGGGAGGGAACAAGGATGGCTTCCCCCCCGCTAATTAGGACACATCTCCCAGAATGATATGTGGTGTATTTAGATGTTTCCTACTACTGCCTTTCCAGGTAAGTGCCAATTCACAAAGCTGATTTGAGACCAAACTTTCTAGTCTTAAATATTAACTCCTTTTGTAAGATCATTGTAATAAGGTTGCTTCCTAGTCTAAGAGATTATAGGGGGACAGCCAGGAAGAAAAGAACACAAAGTTACTGAAAAAGCTATAGCTTTAATTATTTTTGTTAATGTTCCTTCTGGGATGTAAG
The DNA here is from genome assembly GCF_000001405.40 of Homo sapiens. NCBI lineage: Eukaryota > Metazoa > Chordata > Mammalia > Primates > Hominidae > Homo > Homo sapiens. The sequence continues at coordinate 62,337,495 of NC_000014.9, forward strand.
TTGTAACAGACAGAAAAATATCAGAGCAAGAAAACCACAACAGTACATTTGAAATAAAGATTTATCCCCACACTACCATTATATGATAGAAATGAAATGGGCATCATAATTTCTTTAAAAGAAACCATCTGTTAACTTTTTACTTGAGTGTGGAAGTATAGAAAAAATGATTTTACTTAATTTCTAATGCAAGCTGGATAAAGTAAATACTATGGATCTGTTACTGGGAAATCTATTGACAAGATTAACAAGATGGCAAATTACATTTTCTACATTTGTACAGAATTTAAACTGAGCAGATATAAAGTTCTAGTTAGCTGTATAAATCCCTGTTTACCCAGAAGTATAATGACCTCATGTGTGCACAGGCCTTCTTATGTATGTGTACACATCCATGGCCAGCAGCAACATCATTCTAGCAATATTGACAGTCAGGTTGGCTACCATGGGATAAATTTTTATCAGTTATGTAAAAATGGCTTTGGAATTTAATGTGTGATGAAATATTCAGATATATATTTAGGTTTGGGATTCAGCTAAGAAGCAGCACCACCAAAAATGATGGGTTTCCTAGATTGCTCTTCATCCTTACCAAGGACAAAAAAATCATTGCCAAGGAAATAAGACTCAAAGTTTGCCAGATACTCTAATCAATATTTTTCTCTCACCCTCAATGCACTTCCCTTGCCAGTACCAGTAAAAATAAAATCAACATTCCACAAATGTGGAAAAGTTATAAACAACACTAGAGATTCAAGTTCTAATATTGCTGTAGAATTCAGCTGCTGGGGTGATATTGGTGAGTGGTTTACCTTTTAGAATTTTTTCCTCACTAGCTTCAGAGTCCTGTATTGAAATGCCATGGAATTTTCCAAAGCTTTCTTTTCTTTTTGTTATCTTCTAAAATGTCTGTTCATAATCAAACTTTATCATATCCAGTTTACAACCATGGTGACTTTTACTCACTGGTCTTCCTTAGATCCAGTGTCATAGATTCAGAAGTGAGTGACACAGTCTTCCTTCAATTTATATGATCATATTCAGAACAAAAAAAACTCAGGCCAGTTTCCTCTTTCCCTCTAAATGACTCAGGGAATTTTAATACCAACGACACTCCTATATGAATTAGGCCTTTTCATTTTGCATTGTGCTAAATGTCACTTAATCCTCACAATAACATTATGAGATGAGGATGGTTAGAATCAACCCCATTTGGCAAACAAGGCATCCTAGGTTAGGGAAAGTGAAGTGATTTGCCCAGGTTCAATCTCCTGGCATGGATCTGGAATTAGAACTAAGCCAGTCCAGTCCCAATGCTTGCCCTCAGCTTTTTCGCTCTACTGCATAAGCTGAACACAACATTTCCTGTCTGTGTCTCCCAGCGCTACCATGGGAAGTTAAGCGTTTAGGGACCGTTAAATTCTATTGATAATATTACCCTCTGTTTTTCTACCAAGATGAAAAATTTCCATTTTGACATAAATATTTGCA